>NC_000010.11:96052186-96355216 GCF_000001405.40 Homo sapiens | reverse complement strand
AAGACCAGTGCAGAATTTACAGTAGGTCTCCAGAACTCACATAAACCCCTCACACACGGTGATAAGTTACACAGACTTTCTTTTTTTTTTTTTTTTTTTTTTTTTTTTTTTTTTTTTTTTGAGACAAGGTCTTGCTCTGTCACCCAGGCTGGAGTGCAGTGGCATGATCTCGACTCACTGCAACTTCCACCTCCTGGGTTCAAGCGATTCTCCTGCCTCAGCCTCCTGAGTAGCTGGGATTACAGGTGTGCACCACCATATCCGGCTAATTTTTGCACTTTTTAGTAGAGACAGGGTTTTGCCATGTTGGCCAGGCTGGTCTCAAACTCCTGACCTCAGGTGATCCGCCCACCTCAGCCTCCCAAAGTGCTGGGATTATAGGTGTGAGCCACCGTGCCCGGCCATTTACATAAACTTTCAAAACGCACTGAGGAATAGTTGAGAGATGCTGAGAGAATTTATTTCCATTATAAAACTTATAAATACACATTTTGAAAAGGAAAATAGGAAAACAACAACAACAATAAAACACCTAAACTCTCATCAGCAGAAAACTGGTGTAACCCTTCCTGTCCTGTTTGGCGTTACATAAATTTTGACTTTTGTTGCCTTTGTACTATTGTTTTCTTACTCTACATATAATTTTATATCTAAATGTTTTCCACTAGTCTTTATAACCATAACTGTTATATGGTTAATCACATAATCATGTGATCATATTATGATCGCATAATATTTTTTCAAGTTAATTATTTCTTCAGTTGATTAACTATCATTAGGAATAACTTTGTGATACATGGCATTTTAGAGAATCCTTATCTGCATTTAAGATAATTTCCTTGTATGTATTCTAAAATGGGAATGATTGGGTCAACAAGAATGAACATTTTATGGCTCTTGATTATGGCATTTAGTTGCAAGTCAAAATTGAGGTTTTCAATTGTCGATGTTAGAGTTTCAATCCACAGCTGATCCTCCGTCTTCTGTTTGCACATTGCATATAGATAACACTAAGAGCCAAGGTTGTTATCTGATCAGTAGCACTACTATGGTTGAGCAAGGCATTTTTCTGGCCCAGTTTTTTAGTGGGCTTGGCTGTGCCACATTTTTCTGATAAGTTGTCTGGTTATTCAAAGAGAATAAACTGAATCTTACTCGTAAGAGGACTCCTAAGCCAGTGCTCATTTTACTGAAACATGGGGGCATAGTTCTAGAGAGTAGCATAAAGTTAGAACATTGTGACTTATTGCTGGACCTGTGGTGCCCACCACTGTCTGCCCAGACCTCTGTGAACTGAATACATTGGCACCTGCTCCAGCCTCTGGTGGGGGGCACTTCTGAACCTCCCCAACTTGCTCTGCTTCCCTGCTTCAGCTTCTGCCTGTTGGTTTCAGGCAAATTCCCTAATTCTTCCTCTTTTTCCTGTCAAAACCTTTTCCTTCAATCACTGCTGGAACTTTCCCCTGGCTGTTGGAACCCAGCAGGTCCATAGACACTCCAGGTTCTGTGTTATCTTGGCCCATCACATCAAGAGAATGCAGAGAAGCAAGAAGCCATTTCTTGGGGAGTGGGGGTGAATGGGGTGGAAGAGAGCCCTTATGTGGCCAGTCATCACCCTTTGGAGTACTCTCTTGGTTAACAGCTCATTTCTCTGAGAACTGTCTCTTCACCCCTTTGATCCCGTGTAGAGCAACCAACCATTTTGCTTTGCCTGGTGTTGTCTGTTTTTAGCACTGAAAGTCCTGGGCAGCTCTCTGGACAATGCGGATGGTAGGTCATCCTGCCTGGAAGTCACATTTCTACTGCATAACCCTTCCACTTCAGTGCAGCTGGGTAGCCTGGGAATGCCAGTGCCCTGGGAAGTGGGACAGAGGTGGGCACCTGGATCCCTCTCTGCGGGAAGTTTGGAACAGGGCTCCCTGCTGGCCAGTCCCTGCTGAGGACTGAAATGCCAGGTTCAGTCTATTTGTCAGTTCAGTCCATACTGAACTGTCAAGTATGAAAAATGGGACTAAGACACTGCATTAGGCCATGGAGGCCATGTAGCACAGTGGTTAAGAGCATGGATCCCAGAGCCAGACTGCCCGGGGGGGTGTCACCTAGGGCTGTGTGACCTTACACAAGTTACTTCACTTCTCTGTGCCTTGCTCCTCTCATCTGTAAAATGAGATCATCATAGTCCCATTACTATTCACTGGCAGTTGTATAGAATAAATAAGTCAATATGGGAAAAATTCTTGAACAGCCTGGCACATCCTAAGTGCTCCATGGCATTAGCTGGTACAATTAGCAGGAGTTTATGAGGGCAGAAAAGTCCATCTGGAGAGAAAGAGAGAAGCAAACATCAGAGAACAGTACAGGCAGAAGGCCGTGCTGCTCTGGAGCGAAGGAGAAAGGAGGGTGCCTTCGGTTCACACAAGTTCCCCGTTCCAAGGTCCACTCCCTGGAGAAACCAGCTTCCCACCTGTCCTTGGGCTCCATGGGACACTCCCATATTCTTAGAGTTAACACCTTCCTTTTTTTTTTTTTTTTTTTAGTGAAAGCCACCCTAAGTGTATTTCTGTACTCTGAAGACAGGAAGCCTTACCTGAAACAATGGCTGATTCTTCCTACTACCCTTAGAGCACCTTAGGGAAATGCAGGATTAAAGTAGTGTGGGGGTAGGGGTTGGGGAGATTGTGATTAGGTCAAAGGACAACCATTTAAGTACCAAGTTTCAGTGCCTGGTCATCAAAACCTTCTTTTGATGGGAGCTCTCTGGGAAAGAGGTCTGGGCTTGGAAGTCAAACATCCAAGTTCAGATTAGAGTTATGATTATCTGTGAAACCTTGGACAAGCCCCATAACTTCTCTGAGATCTATTACATTTTTTTTTTGTAAAATGGAGTTAATAATTGTCAAAAGTCCAAGCCCCAGGACTCCAGTATACTTGATGAGATTGCTGAGAGTATTAAATAAATAACAGATCTGGACAGAGCTTTGCAAAGTGTAAAGGGCTGACAAGAGTTCATAGTTCTGCTCCTCATTCAATCCTCCTAATAACCCTAGAGGCAGCTACTACTATCCCTGTAGATATTGTGTAGATAGAGACATGCAACCCCTTAGCTTGTAAATTGAGAAATGGCTGTTCTATGGCAGGCAGTGTGAGCCCAGGACCTGTGCTCTTAATCCCACAGCATACCACTTAGTGTAGTTTACATAGTTTCTCATGCAGAACTTTATTCCTTTAGATTTCCTAATCAAGGTAAACTCTTGCCTGAAATATCTTATAAATGAGTGAAATCCAATAACTCATTGGACCAATAACTCAGTGGACCAGAAACATGTAATGCATTCATTTCATGTAGAATTATCCCCAGGAGCATGGATATTTGACAACTTCTGCCATTTGTTTCATCACATACTTGAAAACAAGCAAGGCTTCCTTAAAGAGCCTTGCTTCCACCAGTATTTATATGTGTTTCCCTTCTAGCAATGGGGACAAGTAGGCCCAAAGTGTGCCAGGTGTGCTGACTAGGGACAGGAGGAAGCCCTTTTGAGTTGTAAAATGTGTCACGGTACATCCACAGGGTGAATAATGAAGACATTGCCTGAATTTCCTAATTCTTTTCTCCTTGTAGCCAAATTTTATTCCAATTCTTACCTGGGAAGCAATCAAGTTAGGTTCTGTTTGGTAGTTGTTAACAGAAAGTTTAGCAAAGGGATAAACTTTAGGCTTTATAGCCTAAACTTTGGCAGATTGTCTTGTATAATGTATATTCTATAGACTTTTTGTTCTTTTACAATATATGTTCTTTTTCCATACAGACGTCCTCTCCTGTCACAGGTGGGAAAGAAACGGTAACTATATCACTTAAATTTATAAAATGGGGATAATAATAATGCTCCATCCATCTTGAGCATTTGTTTTGAGCTTTAAAGTTTGATAGGTGAACTGTCACTAAGCACAGAATCTGGCTCAAGAATTATTCTTGACCAGCTCCGCTCAAAAGTGAGGGAGAACATGCAAAATCACAGATGGATTTCACAAAGGGTTGAGCAAAAGAAGCCAGACACAAAGAGTGCATATCTTATATTTGCATCTATATTATGCTGAAAAACAGACAAAACTACTCTATGGCAATAGATTTCAGAATAGTGGTCACGCACAAGGAGGCTGGAAGAGATTTGAGGGGGATCCTGAGATACTGCTAATGTTCTGTTTCTTGATCTGGGTGTTGGTCTTATGGGTGTATTCCTCATGTGAAAAGTCATCCACTTATATATTTGTGATTCATATACTTTATTATTCTTCAATAAAATCAATTTCCCCCTAAAGTGAAGTGAAGGTGAATCCATTATTAAATAACAGTTGCACTTTTATAGGGTTTCTGCAGATTATCTTCAATATTTCCAGATAGTCTGCAAATCTGAAAACTTATGTAACTAAAAGCATGACTATTTCCACTCCGATCAAAGCAAAATGGGAATTTGAAAATTAATAGGTTAATGCATTTATTGCAAATAAATTTTTTTTGAAAGGCTAAATGTCACTTTTTTATTTATTTATTTTTATTATACTTTAAGTTCTAGGGTACATGTGCACAACGTGCAGGTTTGTTACATATGTATACATGTGCCACGTTGGTGTGCTGCACCCATTAACTCGTCATTTACATTAAGTGCAAATAAATTTTTTTAATTCATATTAAAATAGTGTGGTATGGCTGGGCATGGTGGCTCAAACCTGTAATCCCAGCACTTTGGGAGGCCAAGGCAGGCAGATCATGAGGTCAGGAGTTAGAGACCAGCCTGGCCAACATAGTGAAACCCCATCTCTACTAAAAATACAAAAATTAGCTGGGTGTGGTGGCATGCACCTGTAGTCCCAGCTACTCAGGAGGCTGAGGCAGAAGAATCGTTTGAATCCAGGAGGCGGAGGTTGCAGTGAGCCAAGACTGTGCCATTGCACTCCAGCCTGGGCAACAGAGCAAGACTCCATCTCAAACAAAAAAAAAAGTGTGGTGTATAATAAAAGCTTTTATTTTTAGCCAAACAGGTGAAAATGACATCTAATTGTTGCTCTGAATTGTATCTCAGCTTTTCCTACATTGAAGAGACATTTGTATTTCTGTTCTAAAGAATACCTGTTCATATCCTTTGCCCATTTTTCTACTTGATCATTACTCTTTCCAACAGATTTAAACTGTGTAAATTAAGTCCTATGAAAGTAAGTCATTTGTCATGTGTGTTACAAACATTTTTGCACAGTATTTCATTACCCTTTTGATTTTGTATATGACGTTTATGATCCATGCAGATTTTTTGTTTTATTTTTATTCTATTGAATTTTTCCTTTATTATTGAAGACTCTGGGCTTCCTCTGACCCTGTGTTTTTCATTCTGTGCCAGGACTGTGGGCCCTCTCTTGGATTAGCGGCGGGCATACCATTGCTGGTGGCCACAGCCCTGCTGGTGGCTTTACTATTTACTTTGATTCACCGAAGAAGAAGCAGCATTGAGGCCATGGAGGTGATTACTAGCTTCTTTGGGTCCAGATGTATAGGCAGCCACCAGTATTTCAGTGAACTGGCTTTTGGACTAAGGGTGTCAGAATTCAGGGCCCATGTCTATTTCCTGAGGACAAGATGCTGGAAGTTTCTGGGCCATAATTTCCACTGCAGACATGACATTAGGCACCAGACAGAGCTGATTTGTCATAAAACCTTCAGGTCAGTTGAGGAATTCCTGACAAAGATGGTATTTGGGGTAACAAAAAGTAGCAGTGGAGAAGGATGTCTGTTGCCATGGCAAACACATGTCTGTACAGTGGGTGTGCTTTCTAAAGTTGAGAAACAAAAGCGCACAAGCTTCACAAAGAAAGGATGGAGATAACGTTAAGAAAGATAGGAGATGAAGAGGGGCTGAGGTGTCCATGATAGACACCATGATAGAATCACAAGGGAATCTATATCCTCCCCATCCAATCCACCCCTCCAATGCCAGACTGTTCTGGGGACTATGCTTAGAAATCAAAAGCCACCTAGACTCATATCCAACAAGGTTCCATGGTTGTGACACAACTGTGTCATGTGGACTCTGGGTTCTAATTCTATTCTCTATTTATTGACATTCAAGGTTGTTATCATATGGGTAAACATTAATTAAGAGATTGAAAATTGAGGTTCTAAACCTGACTCTGCCACTTTATGATTTATATGATCCTGGACAAGTGACTTAACATTTAATATGTCTTGGTTAGTTCAACTCCAAAATAGGAGTCATAGAAACTACCCTCCCTATTTTAAGAGGTAGGGAAAGTTATAAGGATGAAATGAGATAATGGATGATGAACATTTTTACATGTAAAGATGTGTTGACAAGCTGTAAATTTTAAACACATCAAGAAGTATTGTGGTTAGTGGTGGTATTGTTTAAGTAATAGTTTCTCAACCTCCAGTGCACTTTAAAATTATTTAGGAAGCTCAAAATTTCCAATCACCAAAGCCAATTAAATCAGAATTTCTGGATGACAAAGCTGTGGCACTGATCTTGAAAAAACAAAAACAATTTTTTAATTATAATTTCAAACATATACTAAAGTAGAGAGGATAGTATAATGAACCCAATTATTAACCCATGGCCAATATTGTTTCATCTCTACTCTCACCCTGGATTATTTTTGATAACTCACAATGATATTTCTTGGCTTAGGTATGGGTTTGGTTTGGTTTGAGGGGTGATGTTATTAGATGCCTCTGTGCTTGTTTTGTTTGTTTTAATGTACACTCAGATTTAAAAAGCACTGATTTTAATCATAGTTACGGTCAAATGCTATAACCCTTCACTTCTTCTTCTTTCTTTCTTTTATTATTATATTTTTTCCAATTTAGGAAAGTGACAGACCATGTGAAATTTCAGAAATTGATGACAATCCCAAGATATCTGAGGTAAGAACTCTTGGTTATACTCTCTATATACCATTCACACAGTAAACAAGCTAAGTGTTTGAAAGCCTTTCACCAAAAGAAGCACAGTATGAGCACATGTAGAAAAGAGATGACCAAGAGGAAGCTCAAGCACAAAGGAGGTTCTCAGTGCATTTTTATTGGCTGAACAGAAATTCAAGCTCCCTTTAATATTAGACAATCAATTTAATATAATTTATTTTACTGACAAACTAAAATGGAAAACTCATGTGACCATCTCAATAGGGGAAGAAAGTTCAAAAAAACTTAACAGTGATATGAACTCTCAGCAAATTAAAAATAGAATGGGAACTTCCTTGACTTGAAAGATGTCTTTTTCAAAAAATTACAGCTAACATCATACCTAACAGTAAAATGTTGAAAGCATTCTCTTTAGATCAGAAATAAAACAAGGATCTTCACTAACACCACTTCTATTCAATATTATACTTTAGATCCTAGTCAATGAAGTAGGATTTTTAAAAATTAGAAAGTATAGGTCCGGTGCAGTGGCTCACGCCTGTAATCCCAGCATTTTGGGAGGCTGAGGCGGGTGAATCATCTGAGGTCAGGAGTTTGAGACCAGCCTGGCCAACATGGTGAAACCCTGTGTCTACTAAAAATACAAAAAATTAGCTGGGTGTGGTGGCGGTCGTCTGTAATCCCAGCTACTCGGGAGGCTGAGGGAAGAGAATCGCTTGAACCTGGTAGGTGGAGGTTGCAGTGAGCTGAGATCGCACCACTGCACTCCAGCCGGGTGACAAGAGCAAGACTCCATCTCAAAAAAAAAAATTAGAAAGTGTAACACTGAAAAGGAAGAAACAAAATTGTCATTATTTGCAGATGGTATGATTGTCGACATAGAAAAGCTAAATCTGGCTGGGTGCGGTGGCTCACGCCTGTAATCTCAGCACTTTGGGAGGCCAAGGCAGGTGGATCACCTGAGGTCAGGAGTTCTAGACCAGCCTGGCCAACATGGTGAACCCCATCTCTACTAAAAACACAAAAGTTAGCCAGGTGTGGTGGCAGGTGCCTGTAATCCCAGCTACTTCGTGGGGGGCTGAAGCAGGAGAATCACTTGAACCTGGGAGGCAGAGGTTGCAGTGAGCTGAGATCACACCATCACACTCCAGCCTGGGGGACAAGAGTGAGACTTCATCTTAAAAAAAGAAAAAAAAAAGAAAGAAAGGAAGAAAGAAAGAAAGAAAAGAAAAGCTAAATCTACAGAAAAATTACTTGAATTAACAAGAAATTTTAACAAGTTTACTGGATACAAAAATCAATATATAAAAGTAATTTATACTTTCAACATCAACAACAATTAGAAAAAGTGATTTTAAAAATTACCATTTGTGATGGTAATTGGTATTAAAATATGTAGAATGCTATGGAATAAATCTAACAAAAATATGTAATACCTTTATGGAAAATAATAAAACTTTGGTTAAAAAACCCATTAAATAATACCTAAATAATGGGGGTTGCATACTATGCTCCTGGATAGAAAGTGTTAATAACATAACGATGTCAAACAATGTTGATCTATATAACAGATGTAATTTCAATATAAATCCCAATCAATTTTTTTCATGGAACTTAATGAGGTTCTTCTAAAATCTATATGAAATAAAGTAGAAAAAGAGTTAAAAAGACACAACAAACAGGTAGAACAAACAGAAAACAAATAGCAAGATGGTAGATTTAAACCCAACCATATCAATGATCACATTAAATGTAAATGGTCTAGATACCCGAATTAACAGGAAGAGATTTCACATTGGCTATAAAAACAAGGTCCAATCATATGATGCCTACAAAACTCACTTTAAATATAAATACACAAATAGATTAACAGTTAAAAGACAAAAAATGAGAAACTTTGTTAACAATAAACAAAAGATAGTTGAGTGGCCTGAAAGCTCTCCCAAAGCAGTAAGATCAGGTAATTGTGGGTCTCTCCTCATTTGTTTTCTGTCTCTCCAGGACCATTGTCCCTCCTTGCCTGTTGTCTAGTGTCTTGAAAACTATTGCTTCAAATGTTGTGTCTGATTTTGGTTATTTCAGGTGGGAGGGTCAATGTGGTTGCTGTTAGTCCATCTTGTATGAAAGAATTCTCTGCTGTAGTTTTTAAAAAACCTATTTGTTTCCTTAAGAATCCTAGGAGATCACCCACACATGAGAAGAATACGATGGGAGCACAAGAGGCCCACATATATGTGAAGACTGTAGCAGGAAGCGAGGAACCTGTGCATGACCGTTACCGTCCTACTATAGAAATGGAAAGAAGGAGGGGATTGTGGTGGCTTGTGCCCAGACTGAGCCTGGAATGATGCAGCTCAGTCAAGGAGCAGCAGACCTGGCACTGGAACAGGGTTGAAAACCCAGGGTTTTGTACTTGGAGAGGAAAGATGCCAAGCTGCTTCTTAATCAATCCAAATTTCATTTACAGCTCTGGAACACTTTGGGGCTGATTTGTCTCTTTAGGGGACATCCCCAACATGGTTAATTCCAACTCTCAGATCTTGTGCTTTAGTTAGTACATGTGACTCACCAGATGGGGTCCTTAGATCCTATTCCTGCTCCCAGTGGGAATTTGCTTTTCTTTGTCATTTTGGGAAAGGGGCTTGGTTTCTGAGTGTCTTGCCTTCTCATCTTTTTTTTTCATATCCTTTTTCTCAAAAAAGCCATCAGATCTGACTTTCATGGAAGTGTTGCTGAGGTCAGCCTGGTGCAAGTTGGGATACAAATGAAACTTATGCAGGATGTGTGAGAGGAAGCAGTTAATTGTTTCTGAATATCTCAGGGTAGGAACCATGTGGAGCCACACATTCCCTGACCACAGGGAAGCACCTGGCTCAATCATGTCACACAGCAGTGGAAAGAATACGGACTCTTAAGTCACACCTACCACTGAGCAGCTGTACGACTTTGGAGAAGTTGTTTAACATTTTCAAGCCTCAGTTTTTGCTTTTTTAAAGGAGGGGAAATATTTGCCTCATGTCATAATTGAAAAGATTAAATAAGAAATAAAGGGAAGTGTCTGCTACTTAGTTGCCAGTCAAAATGTTAGTTCTCTCTCTCTACCACCTTCTTCCTACCTCTTCCCATATTGCTTGCCTGATAAAACAGCTAATCACCAGCATTTGTTCCCCATAGTCACAGGGCCACACAAGGGAACATTTAGGACAAACTTTCTCCATGGCCTATGATCCAAATTGTTATCTAAAGATGATTCTAGGTGTTGCTGGTAGTATGTGAATCTTCCAATCTAGGTGTGATCGTGTCCTCATATGAATCAGGAAAAGGCAGTTTCTTACAAGTTCCGAATTCCAAATACAGAGACTGGTGGTGTTACATTTAACCTTAAAGATGTTAATGTTGATGGAAATTCATGTTTCATATTAAAACAACACTTTGTCTTTACAATGAAACATTTTGCTTAATTTTTAAAGTAAGACATTATGATACCTCTGATGGCAGTTCCTCAAATAACTTTAACTTTTGTGCTTTAGGGATAGTTGTTAAAGTTACAACTTCTTTTATTTTATTTTTTAAAGGCTTCAGATTAAACAAGAGCCCTTAAGCCCACGCATAGCATTGCCGCTTCAGCTTGCTGAGGACTGTCTCCAAGGAGGCCAAATGGAAAAGGAGAGGCTACTTCAAGTGGTGTTGGCCCATTGAGCCTATTGGGCAAACTATAACCAGGTTGCCTTATTTTGGGTGGATTACTCCAGGAGAGGCCACCCTCCAGCTTTCTCTTATCCCAGTAACTCCTCTTCCCATTTTCCAATCCATCCCCAGCCTTTTTTTTTTTTCTTCTGTACTCTTCTTTTGCCTTCAATATGAGTTTCATTTCCTCTGTGTCTTTGGGCAGACTTCCTTCTAACATGTGTCAGCTACCCTACCACACACCTGGCCTAGGAGACACATCATTCATTGCTCCTACTTGTGTCTGTAATCAGAGAGTATTTAAGGAGGGCAGTTCTGCGACGGACTGTGTGTGTGTTGAAAGTAAAGATGGGGGGCCGCGGGGAAGGCAAGAGTTTTTCCAAAAGATTATTAGAAATGAGGGCTGTATCTACTCTGTGGAGTAGAACCAAGTCTACTTGGAGAAAAGAACCAAGTCCTTGGATATCTAGGGGAAAGCTGTTTGGCAGAAAGAAAAATCAAGAGGACCCAAGGGGATGGAGACAGGACCACAGGAATGGGCCAAGGAGCAACGTGCCTGCCATTCAGCCAGCTTGGGACAGGCTTTCACTTTCACTCCCATGAGGAGGCTTCCAGGCAGCCTGGTTCCCCCATGTATAGCCATTGCCCTCTAGCAGGCCAGGCCTCCCAGTGGGAAGGCCTGGGTCCAGGGCATCTTAAGTTCATCCAGCAGCTCCATGAGCCACACAGATATCCTAGAAAATATTCCTTTCTCACACAGGGCTTCTGATTACTCAGAAACATGCCCCTCTTCCCTGAATAACCAAGAACATGTTCTATGAACCCAATCTCTGCCACATGTCAATACCTGCTCTTCAAAGCCCCTTTTGAAACTCAGTTTTGTGCCAAGTCCTCTGGATCTAATTACCTTAAACAAGCAGATTTAGCCATTTTTAAACAGACATTCCCAGTCATCCTGGTGCTTGTACTTCTCCTACATGTCATGAAGGACCTTGGATTTACTGAGAACTCAGCCGTGGCCTTGGCTTTGATACTTATAGGTGTCAGCCCTTGGGCCGATTGTTGATCATCCAGAGCCTCAGTTCTGTACTTGTAAAGTGGAGACAGCAGTTCTCATCCTCCATCCTTTTAGCCCATGGGGTGGTTGTAAGGCTGGATTGAAATATGCATGTGACTAAGCCATGTAGCTATAAAGTGAGGGATGACTTGTGTTTTGGATCACTTATTTTAATTCTACTTATAATCCACGGCTTAGAATATTTAAACATTGTTTCTATTAAACTAGAAAGGTTCAGCATTTCTGTCATTTACTTCTGCTATGATACACAAGAACTTATGTTGGAATGAAGTGAAAAGTAAAATGGCCATTCTTATGAACCTACAAAATGTTTGTGGCTTTTCTTTGCCTATATTAGAGAACATTGGCTCTGTCCCTGGAACCAAGATTATCCCAGGGATATTCCCGATATTGGCACTTTCTCTGCCAGGCTAGAAGACATTCAGTCTTTCATGGAGGGCAGCTCTGTGTGGTAAGCAAAATGATGAGACCCAAAGTCAGAAGCTCTGCTTCCCTAACCCAGGGCTGCTGGTAAGTTAAGTGACCTTAGTCAGGTTGCACGATGTGTGTGGGTCTCATTTCCTCCTGTATCATCTGGTGTTTGAATTGGTTTATCTATAAAGTTACATCCATCCAGTCCAAACATTCTACTTTGATTTTCCCCAAACCCTGCAAAGCACTCCTTCTGCCTGCCTGTTCCTCACTCCCATCAGCACAGCCTTCTATACCCTCTATGATTCTTCTCAGTTCCTGACTTTGCTGGTGGAGACAGATACTCACTTCTTCTTTATTTTGCCAAGAAATAACAATTATTAGTTTTGCTTAAGGCGTTTTTCCCTGCAACATTGCGATGTTAATTGAAGACCAAAAAGTGATAACTAATTTTTGAAAGATTGTGAAGTCATATAACCTTTGCCCTCCCACCATCTTGATGAGAATTATTGCTTAATGCGTGAATTGATTTAACAAATGTGCACTGGCTTCCTTCCAATGTCAGACAATCTGCCAGGTCCTAAGACAATGTTGGGGGCATAATGAAAATGCTAAACTGGGTGTTTGTGGAAACGTTTCTCTACCCAATTGAATGTGAATCTCCATCCAAGGAAATAATATCAGGAAAGCTTTTATACAGGTGCTTTGCCTCTAAGCTCAAAGACATAAAACTATCTCTCTTGGGCTCAAATAAGATAAGAATCTATACTCTTCTTTTTCCTTTACCTGAAGTTAGAGGAGAAGGAGAAATGGGCATAGCACTTCAATCCTCTGAGAATTCCAAATGGCTGAAATGTCTGGTTATGTCAGGGCATACATTAAAGTGCTGTACCTCCAAGTAAAACTCAGAAAAAAACCTCTCTCCTCCATCCTATAGAGAGGCTACCTGAACTCCAATAAGTTAAGGGGTGAAAAATACTAAAACTGGACAGGTGAGACTGGGGAACATTTTGGAAGTTGGCCGAGTTTGTCCAATAGGCTGTAGAACTATTTCTAAAACTGAAGGGGGCCTCTGGAGGACAGGGTGAGTGTAACCTGGGGCTTAAAATCTGATTTATAATGAAAGAGAATCAGTTTATCATAGACTTTCATTTCCAGGCTAAAATGATTTGAAAGATTTGATTGTGAGCGAGAACAAACCATGTTGACAAAATTCTACCATAAATGTGACTGATTTTGTCATGAAGAGTCAAACACTGATTACTGTTGACTCACCTGGCCAGGGATTACCCACTTATGAAAGCCAAGGTAAGGATATGGGTCTTTGTTTTGAGAGCTGGGGAAAGCCTAGTCTTGTGTCCCACCTCTTCTAGTTTCTATTCCCCAACCACTTAGGCCTCCTCTCTGCCCTTCAGATGCCATGGTCTGTCCACAAACATAGGCTTTCTCTCTGCAACTCAGACACGTGGGAACCTCCAGCTGCAAGAGCTTTCTCTCTGCTCATTTTATGCCATGGCCCTCCTGCCACGTGGGCCTTTTCTCTGACACCATGGTCCTTGCACCACATGGCTTTTGCACATGCTGTTAGTGAGATAGAGCTGGAAGTCCATGGAGGCCAAGGTGAATAGAATTTGCAGGGCAGAGTACTGGAGAAAGAGTTGCACAGAGACAGAGGAGACCTCTTGATTATTCCATTGATCAGCATATGCATGTGAGAAAACTACCCAAGGCTGGAGAAAGAACCACACAAAGGGATTAGAGGGAACAATACCCTAAGCTCTAATGGGCCAGGCCTCTCAGTGGGAGGCCACAAACCGTGCCTGTTCCCAAACAGCCAGAGTAGAAAACACCATAATTCACCAGGCATCAGGCAGAACACTGAGAAAAGTATTGCCTCAGTAGTGGGGAAGAATATTAACCCTGGATTAGACTACGTTAGTGCTGCCTAACAAAGCTCAAAAGTAAGATGAGTCCTGCCTAACAAAGCTCAAAAGCAAGATGAGGACACATCAAACTGTTTCCAAGTAAATTAACCACATCCTGGAACAAAGTTTAAGAATATTAACAGGAATACAAAAATATCCAGGAAAAAATTCACAATGTTCACAATGTCTAGAATCCAATATAAAATTACCAAGCTTGCAAAGAGGGAGGAAAATGTGACCCATAATGAGGAGAATACTCAGTTAATAGAAACTGACTCAAAATTGACACAGATGATATCATTAGTAGACAAGGACATTGAAACAGTTACACTATATTCCATGTATTTAATAAGCTAGAGGAAAAATTGAATATGTTAAATAGAAGCATGGAAGATAGTTTTTAAAAACTAAATCATACATCTAAAGATGAAAACTATAATGTGTGAGATAAAATACTGGAGAGGTTTAATGAAACTAGACATTGCAGAAGAAAAGATTAGTAAACTTGAAGATACAGCAATAAAAACTACCCCAAATAAAACACAGATTTAAAAGGCTGGGAAAAAAGTGAACAAATAGAGCATCGGTGATCCATGGCTTCTTACATATAGTTCCAATGTTTTTAACAGATAATCTGCTTCCTACTTGATCTGCTATATCATACTGTGCTTGCCTCCAAGGATTCTTCTGTCAGCCATCAGAGGGCGCTCTGCTGCCAAAGTAGGAGGCACAGGCGAAGGCTGAGTTCTGGTAACTAGTCACCACAATAATTGAAAAAAATTCTGGCCTACGGCAAAAAAAAAAAAAAAAAAAAAAAAAAAACATGTCCAGAACTGATAAAAATTCTGGCTTACAGCAAAAAAGAAAAAAAAGACATGGCATTTGTGGAATCTCCAACAGGCCTTTTCAAATAAGGAAAGTAGCATTTAGAATCTGTGAGGTTCTCTGATGGGGAAACTCCTCTGGCATGGACCTCCTGGGGCTATTGTGTGGTGGGGACCTCCAGAGAACAGGGCTGGGGAGTTGCTCAGTGAAGGCGACAAGGCCACCTGCACATTTCCCAAATGTCAGCCACCTGCGTCCCTCTCTCCTCATTCTTGCCACTCCCCCATTTCACTGGTAATATTTCCTAAATGATTTCCCTGACCTTGAGTCGCTTTTCTTATATAAATAAACCTATTCCAAAAAGGAAGCTTTATATCACTACCATCAATAAGGAACCATTTTCTTAACACCTTTCGAACACAAATAAACACCTTTCTAGAACATAAGCTTTATGCTTATAATCATACAGGCAGAGATTTTTGACAGTTTTGTTATCTTTTCTATGCCCTGTGCCTAGAAAAATGACTGACATGGTAAGCACCCAATAAATATTTATTGATTATATCAGTATGAAAATATTCATCTACTTACTACCTAGAATAATCTTGAATGTCATAACTGGGAAACACTGGGCAGCAGAAAAGACTAGAATACTTTGTGGATTTTGGGATTTGAGGCCAGTGGGGGTGGCTGCTGTCCACCCTCTTGTTGTCCCCAGCTTTTTTTAGCCATCAACTCAAGATGTGACAGGCACACACACCATCTGAGGCCCTTTCAGTGTGTTAGTTTCAGCCTGGACTGTCTTTGGGTTCCAGGATGGGCAAAAGTTTTCACCCGCCACTTCACACCCATTAAGACAGCTATTATAAAACAGATAATGCAGAAGATAACAAGTGTTGAGGATGTGGAGAAATTGGAACGCTTGCGCACTGTTGGTTAAGAATGTAATACGGTGCAGTTGTTATGGAAAACAGTACAGTGGTTCCACAAAGAGTTAAACATAGTATAGAATAGCCATTGAATCTAGCAATTTTATTACTAGGTCCCTACCAAAAGGATTGAAAGCAGGGACTCAAACAGATACTTGTAGGCCAATGTTCACAGCAGCATTAGTCACAATAGCCAAAAGGTATTGTATCTCCCAATATCCTCTTCCCAGAGGGACTGGAAGGAAGGGAAAACGGTCGTCATGGGCCTCCCAGCTCTTTAGCAGGCTGAAGACACGGAAGCAGCTGGAACAGATGACCTGTTAACTCCCTTCAAGGCAAAGGGTCTATGCCTCCTGGAGGAGGCAGGAGGAAAGAATGGGTCTGGAGCCTGGGAGTTCCAAAATTTCCCTCAGCCAGGGCTCCCTCCCTTCCCTTGGGTGCCCTCAGATAAGAAGCCAAGAGAGACTGACTTCCTGAGAGAGACTGAGCCATAAGGTGTAGACAGAAGCTCCAAGATGGAAAAAAGAGGGAGATATTTCTTTGATGGTTTAGGACATTGTCTTTCCTTCAGCACGATGGCAGGGAGAATACATCCTTTATGTGGTCCTGTGCTGGGATGCTTAGGGAACCAGCTGTATGATGGCCGGGAAGGAGCAGGCACTGAGCCGAGCTGAGCCAGTCCAGAGGCAGCACCCCTCCTCCACAAGCTCCAGAACGGACCCAAATCCCCTCTGGAATCTCTGCATCTTCTAATTAAACCTGTTTGTCCCCTTAAGACAAACTGTAAGCTCTTTATTCTTCCACTTGGTTACACTTGTGTTTTAAAATAGTTTATAATATTTGAGTGAAGAAAAACAGATTCCATCATCTTGTTTCCTCCTGTTTTTATTAGAGATAGACAGTATTTCAGCTACACTGCGAACAAAGTGGGCTTTGATGAGCTTCCCTGAATGAGCCACCAGTGACAACATCATTTCTCTTGAAAAATGCATTGTGAATTCTATGCAACAGTCATAAACATGGCCTATTAGAACCTTACCCATTACCAGTGGCACCTTCCCATGTTTCCAAAGTTATTTATTTCTAGTAGCAATCTGCATTTCAATAAGACCTAAATAACCCCAAACTCTCCTATGGCATCTTTTACTAATATGAAGCATAATTTATTTAACTTGAAAAGAATAGGAAAAAAATGTTGACAACACTTTCCTAGGCATTTCTTTCCCACGGTTCAATATAATCCAATCCCAGATGCGCAAAAATTTCTTCTTCACTTTCTGCTTTGAGGAATATCCTCTGAAAACATAACAAGAAATATGTGCATTCAGATATTTTTCATAAGCACCATGGTGTGGACACAGTGAAAGTGTTACTTATAAAATTGCCTTGTCAGAATGAATTACAGCCCAAACATAATTCCCTGCTTCTGAGTATAAAAAGTCATTTTAACTGACTTTCCAAAACATGGTACTAAATGAATTAAAGTAAAATCATAACAGCTTTAACATATTCAGCAAAAGCCATTTGGATATTTTTCCTACGGGCTGTAGTTCTGAACCACAGCTGTTTATTAGAACAACCTGATGGAGTTTAAAAAATAAACATTGAAGCTTGAGCCATACCCCAGTCCAGTGAAATCAGAAGCTCAGGAGAGATCTTATAATCAATCTATCTGAACGCACTGGGTAATTCTAACATGCAGTTATAATTTTGTACTGCTGGTAATTATAGGATACTTGTATGTGTTGGGTTTTCCTTAGCTTTCCATGCTTGCCTCTAACCCCAGCAGGATCCCACTCTGTGATCTCTTTAAGACCAAGCAGCTCTTCTCCTCCATCCCTTCTTGTACATAGCACGGTGCTAGGCACATAGAAGGTACTTGCTTACATTGAACTATTTAGAATGTATTAATTTGTAAGTGTTCCTTCATTGTACTATGTGAATCTGCCTTCACCCACATGCTTAGCATCCGAGGCTTTCCTGCCAGCATCCACAGCCCCCTCTTCTGTGAGCAGCACCTGGATTTTTCTATGGGAAACCACTCCTCTTGACTCTCAGTCCAGGAGGGTTAGGTGCAGCTGCTCCCAATTCCAAGAAGCAGCACATGACCCAAGTCTGGCCAATCAGAGCCACAGTAATGGGTTCAGGGATAGGCACATGACCCAGGCCTGGCCAATGAGCATCAGGTAGGATTCTTGGGGGAACTATTAGGAAACAGGCTCTTCTCTGTTGAAGTAGCTGGAAGAGTGGGACTTATGGGGAAACCTGCCTGAGAATAAAGGCAATACTGAGGGAAGCCTGCCTGAGCACCCATATTCGGCTGCCCCTGAACGCTTCGACATTGCAGTATATAACCCAAGTTCCCTTTTTTGTTTATGCCACTTTAGATTTGATTTCTAACATTTGTAACTGAGACAACTCTAACTGAATACATCTCATTTAGACTACAAGCTCCTAGAGGGAAATGATCATTACTTTTTTTTTTTTTTTTTTCCTGACACAGAGTCTCACTCTGTTGCCCAGGCTGGAGTGCAGTGGTGTGATCTCGGCTCACTGCAGCCTCTGCCTCCCGGGTTCAAGTGATTCTCCTGCCTCAGCCTCCCAAGTAGCTGGGTGTGTGCGAGCCGCCACACCTGGTTATTTTTTGTATTTTTAGTAGAGATGGGGTTTCACCATGTTGGCTGATCTTGAACTCCTGACCTCAAGTGATCCACCCGCCTCGGCCTCCCAAAGTGCTGGGATTACAGACGTGAGCCACTGCGCCTGGCCACTACCATTACTTCTAGTTATTTTGAGTTTTCTTCCCCATGGAGCCTATTTTGGTGTCCTTGATATCTGTAAGAAGAGTAGCCCTTAGAACTGTGGATTTAACAGTTGGATATTTAACTCTTCTAACTTCTACAGGCATCTATCGTTTTGCTGAGGGATGAATTGGATCATGACCACAGTAAGACTAGCACACCAAATGAGTGACATGGGTAGTCAATGAGACTAGCTGGATGCTCATTTATGTCTCAGGGCAGCTCTGTTGCTCTCTTTCTTGCAGGAGACTGTTGTTAATGGCCTACATGGCCACTCAAAATGCCACTGCCCCCTGCATTTGAGGGGTACACAAGTAGTATTTGTGATTTCTGGGGATCCCTGGTTTACTTTGGAGTTACTCATTGCCAACACCAAGGATATACCAAACCCAGTTAATGTTCACTGCTGGACTTGTTCTGGAAGCCCAATTAGCTCATCATGTTTCAGCCAAAATCTCTCGAATTGCATTCTGGGCCGGGTGGAAACTGCGAGTCTGTGGAAATCTTTCTTGCTGCCCTCAACTATGATGAACTGGAAATAGAACACGCATGACAAAGGAAACCATACCTGGATACTAAAATCAGTCCATGAAAAAAGCTCGGGGGCCAGCCTTGGGGATGAGGATCAAAGTAGCCCCTTTTAGGAAGAGAACTGTACCTTGGTCTTGTCATATAAAGCATGGTTATCCAGAATCATCTTCCGCTCATGTGTGGCATAGCGCCGGAGGTCTCTCTCAAACTGCTGGATAGGAGATAGTTAAAATAAATTATTAACACGTCTAGAATGTCTTCAGTATTAGGTGGCTACATCCCTCTAGTGAAATATGTAACTCCACTAAACATTCTCAAAGTGATTTTCCTCCCCCAGGGCCAAATTCTCTGGTGACAGAAGTCCGTGCTCCCATGAACACACTAGAATGTAAGCTCTGTGAGAGCAGGAACCTGGTTTGTTCTGTCCACAACTGTATTCCCTCAAATAGTGCCTCGCATGTAGAAGATGTATAGCAAATGTTTTATTGAATGAATAAATGAATAGCGTGAGCGTTCTACCAGGATAATGCCTGGTCCAGAGTAAATGCTGGATAAATACTAGTTTGGTGGGTGTTACATGATTTGGAATATTGTTATTGTAAAAGAGGATGGAGGAGTCAGGGAACCCGTTCCAGCCTGGACTTTGTCCCTACCTGGCTGTGCATCTCCTGTCAAGTCATCCAGACTCCCTGAGTCTTGGTTGAGTGAATGAAAGGATGGAGGAAGGACATGATTAAGACTCCCTCTGGCTTTAACATCCTTTCACACTGAGATGCCATGAAACTGATCGTCTAAGTCAACTGCTCCTGGATGACATCTCCCACAGTCAGGAATGGGCTCTGAGACTGAAGGGAGCAATACATGAAGCCTAAGACAGAGGACAGGAACACCTTGGGAAAGGAGGGCAACGAATTGTCATGGAGACTAGTTTTCCTGAGAGAAACACAATCTAGAAATTTTGTCCTCTTCATGTGGGAGTAGGGAGCAAGCCTGGGATACTGGTGCCCTCTAGTGGTAAGGAACAATTTGCTATTTTAGGAAAGCTCACCCGGGATGGTTGAGGAGATGGACTTTGCAATCAGAAGTCCTTTATTTGTTTAAAGTCACCCAGCTAAAAAGCAAAAGAGCTTAGTGCTCTGCCAGTGCCTTGCAGAACCAACAGCAACAATTTCTGAGTACTCTGAGGAAACAGACTAGAATGTGTTGAAAACATGTCCATCTTAAAAATAAAATGGGCAAATGTCAACCACTTCAGCCAGTGATGCTTAACTGGCATGACATTGCATAACCAAGGACTTCTTTCTGGAACGTTCCCCTTTCTCAATCAACTATGTGTTCCCAAAGATTTATGTCTATCAGACAAGTTGCATTTATGATATATTTTTTCTTTTCTTCCCCTTTTTTTAGGAATGAAAAAAGCATTTAGTTGTCAGTCAACATTTGTGATTAGAGTAAGAAATCCCAGTGCTAAGATGCTGTGCTGAATTAATTCCAGTCCAAAGCAAAGACACCTGACATTTAACCCACGGCTGAGAACAATTAATTTGTGTTGTGTCATTCATCTGTATAAAAAACCCTCTACGAACCCATTTCACTCAAAGCAACAACCAGCTACCTGGGAAAACAGGAGAAACAGGGTGAGGTGTTTAGTTGGGAGGGTGGAACACATGCGAATGGGACTCAAATCACAGGTGTCCTCTCCTGTGAGTGACAGGATATGGAAGCTACTACTTATCCAGTACTGGCCACGTGCTGGCTTGGTGCTGAGGCTTTGAGAACATCATGTCACCTAATGTCTCTGCAACTCAGGGAAGTAGCTAAGGTCATCGTCCTCATTTTCCTGACGGGAAAATTGAGTTTTACAGGATATAGAGAACTTGTCCAAGATCACCCAACAGTAAGAAGCAGTGCAGGAGCTTGCAACCAGGTCTGGGATGAACTCAACTTGTGCTCTTTCAGAAAAATTTTATAGCTTGATTTTATTTTTAATTAACATATAATAATTGTATGCATTTGTGGGTTATAATATGATATTTTGATACATCTATATACATTGCAGAATGATAAAATCAGACTAATTAGCATGTCCATCACCTCAAACTTCTACCATTTCTTTGTGGTAAGAACATTAAAAATCCTCTCTTTTAGCTACTTTGAAATATACACTTTTATTAACTATAGTCACCATACTGTGCAATAGAACAGAGTTTATTCCACCTGTCTGACTGGAACTTTGTACTTGTTGACCCTTTTCCCTGTCCATTTTCTGTCCTCATCCCCCAGCCTCTGCTAACCACCATTCTACATTCTATTCTGTACTTCTACGAGTTTGACTGTTTTAGATTCTACATATACAGAAACGAGATCATACAGTATTTGTCTCTCTGTGCCTGACTTATTCCACTTAACATAATGTCCTCTAGGTTCAACCATGTTGTCTCAAATGACAGAATGTCCTGTTTTCGAAAGGCTGTGTCATACTCCACTGTGCATATACTACATTTTAAAAATCCATTCATCTGCTGTGGATGCTTAGGTTGTTTTTATATAATATCTTGGCTATGGTGTATCATGCTGCAATGAACACGGGAGTGCAGACCTCTCTTTGACATACTGAGTTCATTTCCTTTGGCTATATACCCAGAAGTAAGATTGCTGGATCATATGGTAGCCCTGTTTTTAGTTTTTTGAGGAACTTCCATACTATTTTCCAAAATGTGTAATTTACAACACCACCAACAATACAAGAGGGTTCCCTTTTCTCCACAGCCTCACTAACACCTGCTGTCTTTCATGTTTTTGATAATAGCCAATCTGACGGATGTGAGATAACATCTTATTGTGGTTTTAATTTGCATTTCTCTGATGATTAGAGATGTTAAGCAAGATGGCAATATCTGCTTGCCATTTATATGTCTTCTTTTGAGAAATATCTATTCAAGTCCTTTGCCCATTTTTAAATAGGATTATTTGTTTTCTTGTTATTGAGTCTTTTGGTTTCCTTGTATATGCTGGATAATGGCCCTTATGTGATGTATGATGTGCAGATATTTTTTCCCAATCTGTGAGTTGCCTCTCCACTTTATTAATTGTTTCCTATTTCAATCCCCTTGCTGGTTTCTGTACTTCAGTGGTTCTCCTACTTGAGCTGCATCAGAAACACCTAGAAGCCTTTTCCAAACAAATTTCCGGGCTGAAATCCCCAGAGATGCTGATTTGATTCCATAGGTTTGGAGTGGGGTGAAGAATTTCCATGTCTAACCTGTTCCTGGGTAAGGTTGCTGCTGCTGGTGTTGGGGACCACACACTGGGAATAACTGTTCTAAATTAATCTGTCATACTTGGCCATGTGTGGACAGGATGCCTTGAGTTAGAGGTTTCTGGGTACTGGCCCCTCCCCTGTCACCCAGCCCCTGTTGCCGTCATCTCTCCCCTGGGCCCAGGTAGACTCGGCCTACGTCTTTCAGAAAGCTAACATCATCCCATGGGTCCATGTAGCACTTACCCGGGAGCCAGTCCATCCCAACAGGGCAAAGGCACGACGCTCGTAGGGGCACAGAACTAAATCCACACGGATGGCCTTCCAGGTCTTTCCTTCCTGCCAGCTGGACTGGTCACTGTCCACTCTTTGACGAGGCAATTTGAAAATCAGAAAGCACTTTTGAAAATGATCCAAAGCATCAACCTTCCTGCTAGGCAACCTGAGCTTTTCAAATGTTGACTCCACAAGGTCATAATATAAAAGTAATCCCTGAAAAGAAACAGAATGGCATCAGGAAAAGGCCCTGATGAAGAAGATCTATGATTTAACACTGGATTCTTAATGAAATCTTTTCAGATTCGAGCAGAACATGGACATGTGTTTGGCCTTGCATTAAAGGCCCACCTGCAAACACTAGGAGAAAACACTAAGAAAGTGGTTGCATTATCTTCCCTTTACGGAAAAGGAATTTAGCGATGAGAGAGGCTGAAGCAAAGCCACTTAATGGCAAAACTGCAAGAAAATCTCCCTCTCCACTTCTGAACCTCAGCTAGTGCTCTGGGCTCTCCTCAGTCCTTTAAAAACAAACCAACCATAAACAAAAAGCCACGCTGCAGGAATTTGAGACCAGCCTGGGTGACATAATAAGACCTCATTTCTACATAAAATTTTAAAATTAGCCAGGTATGATGGCACGTGT
Source organism: Homo sapiens (assembly GCF_000001405.40). Lineage (NCBI taxonomy): Eukaryota > Metazoa > Chordata > Mammalia > Primates > Hominidae > Homo > Homo sapiens. The sequence continues at coordinate 96,331,920 of NC_000010.11, read as the reverse complement.
CTATAGTCCCAGCTACTCAGGAGGCTGAGGTGGAAGGATCCCTGGAGCCTGGGAGGTTGAGGCTTCAGTAAGCTGTAATCACACCAGTGCACACTAGCCTGGGAGACAGAGCAAGACCCTGTCTCAGAAATAAATAAATAATAAAACTTAAAAAATCATATTGTTTCTGGGGAGCAGCTTTGAGTTAGTGTCTGCTATAGTTTGGATGTTTGTCCCCCTAAATCTCACGTAGAAATTTGATCCCCAATGTTGGAGGTGGGGCCTAATGGGAGGTCTTTGGGTCATAGGGGAAGATCTCTCATGAATGACTTGTGCCGTCCTCATCCTCATGGTAATGAGTGAGTTCTCACTTTGTTAGCTCCCGTGAAAGCTGGGGGTTACAAAGAGCCTGGCCCCTCCCCACTCTGTCTTGCTTTCTCTCTCACCCTGTGACCTCGGCACCTGCCAGCTCTTCCTTGCCTTCTGCCATGAGTGTAAGCCCCCTGAGGCCGCACCAGAAGCAGATGCTTGGTGTCGTGCTTCTTATACATCCTGCAGAACCATGGGCCAAGTAAACGTCTTTTCTTTATAAATTACCCAGCCTCAGGTGTTCCTTTATAGCAAGGTAAATGGACAAAGACAGTGTCCCTTCATATTATACTGATGACCAGGTTTAACCAGCCAAAAGCGTTGTGGCTGGAGGCTGAGTCTAACTTTGGGGCAAGATGACTTGCTATTTCTAGGTAGCACTTGGGAGACTCTTTCTCATGAGAGTGTTAGTCCACCTGCCTTGGAGAAAGTGGGATAAAGTTAATGACACATGTTTCACTTAAAGTTGCCTATCCAGAAAGTGGACAAGTGATTCTAAGATGTGCCCAATCGAGTTGCCATTCTTGGTGGGAGTTCCTGATGGCACAGGGCAGATGTGGGGACAGGAGAGAGAAACATGCTAGCAACCACTAAATCTGGCAACAAAAACAGCAAGTAACCCTCAAATAATGTCATCAAGCTACTGGGATGTGTGATTTGTTACCATGTACTCTTTAGGTTAGATGTTTAAAAGCGCTATCATCAGAAGCAATTGGAAGGTTTGCTAAAGCTCAGTTTGCAGGGCTCTGTCCCCAGAGTGATGCAGGAGGGGCAGGGAGGGCATTTCTGACAGGTTCCCAGGCAATGCTGGTGTTCCCGGACCAGGGACCACACTTTGAGCATCATTGGTAAATTGATTATTGTTAGGAATCATGCTTTGTCTTTCTTCTACAAACCTGCACAAGACATTATCTCAATTCAAAAAGATACTTTTTATTTTGTTGACCTCAATAGAGGGAACTCTTCACCCTTCAACGCCTTGAAGAAAAAACACCATTTGAAGGGGGAAGCACTAATGTTAGGAAGAACCTCTGGAGGAGGTGGTAGATGTTGCCGTAGTTAACCTCGAATCACCAGCTCCGGAAAATACAATTCCACTTTTTAAGGAAACTTGCTGAAACTAGTACAGAATAGCAGCCTTTTGTGTAAATTTCAATTATGTAAATTTGAAAAAGGAGATATAAAACATATGAACAAGTCTCACATGAAAGCCAAATTTGTAATAACACACCTTCCCTTAAAAAAAAAAAAAAAAAGCCCACAAAGCTGGATTCCTAACAGTAAACTGTCACTTGGTGGGTAAGAGAGAAATGGGCCATTCTTTATTGGGTTTTGTCTTGAATTTTGCAAGGTGTTTGAGAATGCATCCTTGAACGTAATGCTCCTGTCTGCATATTCAGAAGGTTGTCTGCAGCAGGCCACAGTTGTCAAACATGCACACAACCCCTGATGCCACCTCTAGATCTCCAGCCCCGGCTATCTACAGGGCAGCCCTCTGGGCTCTGGCTTCCCCATCAATACCCACTGGTTGACTGAATATTGACATCAGCATGTTCTTTTATTTTTCCTACTGGACACTGAGAAACTCCTGACTAGGAGGAGGCATTTCCCCACCTCTCCATCCTTCCCATCCTCCCCAGGGTACAGAGCGGCCAGTTCTCAGGAAGAGAGCTGTGGGGCAGGAGGGAGATGCACTCAGCTTGACCTCCCACAGGAAGGCTCCGTCCAAATTTAGTCTCAGGTGCCTTCTGAGGAGGGTTGCAAGGCTGAGTGTGAGGCTCTCTAGCCAGGATCCCTTCCCTGCCCTTCGCTTCTAATTCCCTCCAACTCCTTCTGGGAAGACTCGACGCCCAGTATTCAAACTCGTGTCAGTTTGGATCTGGTTCTAAAGTTGAGTCTTCACTTCCAGTGCCCCTGGCCCTAGGGTTGTGTTTCTAGCTTTTATTTTCACTTTATCTGAGGTTTTCCTTTTCTGGGATATCAGTAAGCTTGGTCCACACCAAACAGATGCAAACTACTCAGGAAGGAGGAAGCTGTGAGGAGAAACACCAGCCCAGCCAGACCTATCTACAGGTCCCAAGGGTAGGACCCTCTGGTCTCTCTAGGAAGTGAGGCTCTCACTAGAGTTGGACAGGAGTCAGGGCTTGCATGTGGCTCTGGCTGCAGGGTTAGCTTAGCTTACTTTGGTTTCCTCCACCAGGCAATAGGCCTGTCACAAGTCTGATCTCTGCAATGTATGGGGGCTTCTGAGCCATGACCTCTGCAGGGCTCAGCTTGCCCTCATTAGTTTCCTTCATTCCATCTCAGCACGAAGTGCCTCGAATCTATCGAGGCACTATCAACACCTCTTAGACTGATTTTATCCCAGTCTTTGCAGTCCTGCCCCCTCACCCAAGCTTGCAGCTTTCCAGCTTACATTTCCCAGGTCTTCATAGTGCATACTTTTCACTTTGATTGGGTGCTTTAATGCCTCTGCATGTCAAACACAAATGCATAGCCACCCTTGGCCCTGTTGGCAATAGGGTAAGTATAATAAACAAGATACAGGACATATTCATAACATGTACTCTAGGACCCAAAACAGGAAAGTCTTATTGTAGGTCATATGGCTTTGTATAAGCTGCCACAAATAATTGAGAATTGATTAGATGGTCATTACACAATTATAAGGCAAGTAATGTGCAAAATTCAAGTGTTAACATAATGTTTGCGTGTGCATGTATTTTTCATCTTTCTTCTCACCTTCTTTTCCCATAAGTTCATCACTTTCTGTAAAAGTTGCTCTTCATCCTCTGTTGATCCTGGGCTGGTAATTAAAAAATCTACATCATGCCCCATCTTCTTACCCCTAATTTTCAAAAGCAGTATAAAATGGAAATCAATTAGATATTAGTCTTCATTTTTAAAAAATCACCTTTGTTTCTATGCCCTATGCTTAAGATTTGCAACATAGAAGGTTCTTGACTTTTTTTTAAGAAACAAAATATCCTTGGTTACACATCGCTGTTCCTTACAAAATAAATTTATGACACAGAAAAAGTCATACATAGCATGTATCTGATTATGTATATCAAGGCAAAAAATAACAAAAAAATTATTTATTCTACACACTCACACAAACCTACATGCACCCACACATACACACATGGAGACAAGCATGACAACAAGCAAACTAAGAATTGTATTCACATAATACAAGGTAGCGCTCTTGGAATTATGACATGGAGTAAAGGCATTATCTTAGATTTGATCTTCTCTTACTTTCTTCCTTGCCCCAAACCTATTTTGTTAGGATGGCCAAAAGCCACCAGGTGAGAGGGCTGGAGAAAGAGGTAGAGGAGGCTGTGGGAGGAAAGAAATCCCTTTCTGAAATGCAGGCCTCAATATCCAACAACAACATACATCCTTGTGAAGCGTTCACTCATTCATGAATTCATTCAGTCAGTCATTTATTGACTCAACCAAGATTTCTTGAGCACCTACTTTGTGCTAGGCATCATGAACTAGTCTTGCTGAGAACTAAGCTCTACAAACTTAGTGGAGAAACCACACACAGGAACAAATCACTGTAACTATGTGGATCAAGGGCTTTGCAGGTACTCAGGGAGCATGGAAGAGGGGCACTAATCCAGCATGGAGAAAGAGGGAGTCAAGGAAGGCTTTCTGGAGAAGGTGCCATCTAAATTGAGTGTTAAAGAATGAGGGGAAGTCAGCCAAGCGACAATTTGAGGAATGGCAGTCAAAGCAGAAAATTCTGAGTAAGCAAAGCAACAGGCAAGAAACAGCTCTGAATGTGCAGGGGATGACAAGCCATTTGGGGTTGCTGAAATGAAATGTGAGAGGCAGGAGATAAAGCTGTAGAAAGAAGCTGGCACCAGATCACAGCCTTTTGTGCCGTTTCAGATGCCTGTCCAAGTCAGGGAGCCACTGAAGTATTCGGGCAGAGGAGGCAAAGCCACCCAAGTTATTTACCTCCGGAACCCTCCTGTCATGGTGACGAAAGCATCCGGAAGAAATGCCCAGACAGCCTCTTTAACCAGCACACTGACGGCCTCTGCTTCTGCCCTGGTCACACAGCTGACAAGGTCTTCATAATACAGAAATCCTGAGAGGCCATTTGACAGGTCAATGGAGAGAGTGACACGTGTGTGAAACAACCAGCCCTCAGTAGAAGGGGATTCTGTCCCCACGATAGAGCTAACATGACTACAGGCATCAACACCAAACTCCATTCCCACAGAGACAGAATAGTCCATGTGGTTCTCCTGGTTGTGAATTTTTCAGGGTAACAGTGGTTCTTTGCTTTCTAACCTAGAGGCTTACAATTTCCTGAGAAGGAGACAATATTTCACATCCCTCTGGAATCCAAACTGTTCAGATCTGACTTCCTACTGAAGAACCAGCCTTCTTGATCAATAGGCTGTGTCCTACTGTTTTTTAAAAGGTAACGCATAAAGATTTGGGATGAGGAGATTTAGAGTTGGAAGGTGATGGATCCATTAAAAAATTAAAGTCAAGAATAGGAGCAGAGTAGATGTGTGTCTGAAGCAAGGCAGGAAATATCTTAGGTGGTTTAGCTTGTTGCTTCTTTGCCTGACCAGCATGAATTAATGAAAGTTCAGAGTTGTTATGATGAAAAGCTAACTTGGTGGTTCCCACAGAGCAGTGTGGAGGGAGATTTGGAAAGAAAGAGGAAAGGAGAAGGGAGGCTTATCTCCAAGGATTGGGGTGAAGTATTGGTGAGGAGATGAGCCTGGTGATTAGATCCATAGAGCCTGAGGGACATCAAATCATGCTTCAGCATCGCTGCTCTCCTATCTAGGGTCTCCAAGAGGGGGCCATTCAAACTTTGCTTGACTCTAATAATGGGGAACTCTGATACCTCCAGAGGAGCCTGTTTCCTAATTGTAAACTCTGTTGTGCCAGTTCTTTCTTTTGAAAAGCCTAAGTCTACTTCTTTGCGATTTCACCTGCCACTGGCCCTCTGAAATGACAAGAGTAAATCTATTGGTCCTTGTTTCTCACCCTGGGATTGTGGAAGGGAGGCAGCAGGGTGGCCATTTGGCTTGCACACCCTGCCAAATTTCCCATGTTATCTCTAATGGGGACAGTCACGGAAACATGCTGGCAAGACCAAGAGAAAATGGTATTCATATGAATACACCTATAAACTGTGTCCAATACCAAACCACGCCACTTGTGGAACACTACTTTCTTTATTTCAATATGATACTTATTTTTTATTTTTATTAAAAAGCCACATTTCTAAAAATTATTGCAACATGGCCATTTTTGTGAGCATGAGGAGTTTGATCTAAGAAGCAATGCTCTATTAGGCTGTAATACAGAAACTGTCATCATGACTAATATTCAAAGTACAACTCACTGGGTAACCACAAACACCTGTGCTTATGCAGTGATATACACGATCCAAAAGTCAGGATTCACAACTATTTCTTTAAGAAGATGTGCAGCTATCAGGAATGAACATGTAAGACTATGATGATTTGTTGACATCCATGAAAGTAATTTAATTGGCTTTCCTTTTTGGTATGGCAAGGCGACTAACTTATTACAGGAAACTTATCACACAGTATAAGGTTAAATATGTGCTGCTATAGTTCATAAACTGACTTTTCAAGGCAAACGTGGCATGTGCACGCTCAAGCCTCAGGGAACTGCAATCAAGTGCAAATATGAGTAAAACTGGATCAGGTTATCCATCTGACCATGAACTGTCCTTTCAATATGTTCAATTAGCTTACCCTTCACAGTATTCTAAGCTATTCCCATTGGCAATTCCATTCATTGTAGTGCTGCTCCAAGGGGTGCCTATAACTACTTGTGGGGGTATAAGTATAATGGGAGGGCATTCCTTGATTTCTGCATAGAACTGGTAGCATTAAACAGTTAGATGGAAATCACTGATTGACTAAATGAATAAAGCTGTTTCATTCAAAGGGTTGGAAAAGCTCAACAGGAAGAACAAAAATCCAGTTTACAAAGCTAGGGAATTGGAAGCCCTTAGATCCTGAGAGCACTGGACGTCATTTGATAAGGGTTTCATCCAAATGAAACACTATATTGCCTCCCAATTTCTCTCTAAGCATTGAGAGTCTTTACTCATCATTCCAAACCATTTACTTGCTACTTATGTTTAATACTTATTTAAATTTCTTTTGAATGGCATCTTGAGAACTGGTGTAAATCATCCTTATTAAACGTGTGCTTTCAGGGTCCTGGAATATAAATACTGGATCTTTTTTTCTTAGACTCTTTTATTTCCTATGTGGCATTGTATTATTAGCAATCTTTCAAAGATTAGCAACTTTACAAAAAATGAGTAGGGACTATGGCTGTGACTCCTTTTTGAATCACAACTGTATTGTATTTTTATTGCTTGTTAAAAGTAAACATTTTTTTAAACACACAGTTTTTTTCACACTGTATTGCCATTCCTTCATTTTTAAAAAACTTACTGGGAGCCTCATAAATGGAAGTGACCAGGCTACCTTCAACCTCTGAGAGGCCCTGCCAGGCTTTCAGGTGGGTGATGACAGCACTCATGTCCCACCACGGTCTTGTCTTAGGCGAAAGAGTCCTGGTTGGGTATATCAACCCTGTGCCTAGATTTCCACCAGTTCCCTTCTATTTTCCTGGTGTTTTACAGTTTCTAGGGCATCTTCACATTTGTGCCAGGCAACAACTCTGTTCAAGTATTCTTAGCAGCCAACCCTTCTGTCTTTGACTCTTCACCCACAACTCTTACCCAGGGAGACAGCCAGGACCCAATGTCCGGAAGAGTCAGTAAGGACCAGATCAGCAGCACAACCTGGCTTGACATTTGGGTGAAGGACCACAAACAGCCACAGTGGAGGGCGCCTTTGCTCTGTGTCAGACACAGTGCTGAGGCATTGCCTGCATTATCTGATTGACTTCTCAGCTAAGTATCAATGTTATCTCTCTTTCATAGATTAGGTAACTAAGGTTCAAAGGTTTTAACCAACTTGCTCAAGATCACACAGCTGGAAACTGCTGGAGCTAGGATTTAGATCCAAGCATCAATGGACATCAAAGAAGTGTCCCAGCTCTCCCAGATTGGAGTTGCAGTGTAACTGACTTAGAGCTCCACCACGACCCGACCAGCCCATAGCAACAATGACTTTTAGGAGAGACAATTTACCTGCTTTCTGCATTCGTGTAAATTTCAGGCTTTTGTCCGACCTTACTTTACTCAGAGTTCTGAAACCCATCCTGAACCACTTCTCAGAAGTCTTCAGCCCCACTCCAAATACAGAAGTAAAGAGCTAAAATGGAGGGAAAGGCATGCCATCAGTCTCTAAGATAATCATTATAACATCCGAGTCATGACCCTTTCTAGGTCTCAGGCAATGAAGAAAAAGTATAAGCAAATCTTTGACCTAGTTTCTCCTGAATATAACGAGCAGGTGGGTGATGGTTATTTTTAAGGGCATTTTTTATTTCAGGTGAGTCCTTTCTTGACATGTGGCATTACAAAATGAAACAGAAGTAACAAGCAGGTTCTGGCACCTGTGCAGGGCTAAGGTATAGTCTAATTGACGGCCTGCCTGTGCTGTCCATGAGTGATACGCTAGCTCTATAGGGCTCTCCCTTTTGCTGGGTCTCTCACCGACACTCATGCTCTGCATAGGTACCCTCACATTTTGAAAAGAGATGCTCATGTAGGTTATATAGTTTCTCCACCATCATACAGGTGGGAAGTGGCACAGCCCAAACTTAAACCCTGGTCTGTTTACACTCCAAGCCTGTGCTCCTGCTCATGGCCATATTTTAGGCCTGTACATCACTTTTGCTTTGAAGGAACTGGTGGAAGTCCCTTCCACCTGCAACTCTAAGGTAGGGAAAATTGGGAGGTAATAAACCCTGCTTCCAAGTAAATGAAGATGCAGTAAGGAGATTTTCAGACACAAATCTGCTCTTTAAGAGCAGTTCCGTCCTGTCCCCACCAACCCCCCCATGGTCCTCATGTCCCATGATGTTTGTACCCATGAGTGACAGACTCTTGGAGGGTAAGGCAATTTGTACATCACGACAGCATGGCAATAATCTGGGCACCTGAATTTATTTAGGCATTTTCTTCCTAGACCAAAGCTATGGACGGAATTCCCCCTCCCAACCCATTTGTATGTTGAAGTCCTAATCCCCAGTATGACCGTATTTAAGACAGGGCCTTTGAGGTCATGAGAGTGGGGCTCTCATGATGGGATTAGTGTCTTTTTGTTTGTCTTGTTTTTGAGACAGTCTCACTCTATCACCCAGGCTGGAGTACAGTGGCATGATCTCAGCTCACTGCAACCTCTGCCTCCCAGACTCAAGTGATTCTCATGTCTCAATCTCCCAAGTAGCTGGAATTACAGGCATGCCTCACCACACCTAATTTTTGTATTTTTGTAAAATGATGGGGTTTCACCATGTTGGCCAAGCTGGTCGAATTCCTGGCTTCAAGTGCACCCGCCTTGGCCTCCCAAAGTGCTTGGATTACAGGCATGAGCTATGGTGCCCGGCCCAGGATTAGTGTCTTTGTGACACCAGAAAGATTGCTTGTTCTCTCTGTCTCTCTCTCACCATGTGAGCAGGGGAGCATGTGAGGACACAGGAAGAAGCCAGAAAGAGAACCCTCACCAGAAACTGACCCTGCTGACATCTTGATCCAGAATGGTGAGAAAATAAATTTCTGTTGTTTAAGCCACGCCATCTCTGTATTTTGTTATTGCAGCCCAAGCTGACTAATACAACCAGCCAGAATAAGTAATAAGATTAACTGAAAAACAATTTTCAATAAATATATGTAAAATCACTTACTTTGAAGGATTGATATCGTTCATCATTTAACACAGCTTTAACTTCAGAACTTTCTCCATCTTCAATAATCTCCTAATGGACAGTTGAAAAATATTTTAAATTAGTGATGTTGGACAATTACTGTCTAAGACTCTCAAATTCATGGACCTAGTAGTTTGGTTTCTCATGAAATGTGCATGCATCACATGCAGGGGTATTTCCCTAATTGATCTGGAGAAAACAAGACATTTCCCTACAATCTTGAAAATGCTAGCTCATCATATATCCAAGGACCCCTTTACGATCCTTAGGAACAAAGATACAAATGGTTAGGATCCAGATCTACAGAATCCCAAACCAAAATATTCACTGAAAAATGTATGTCCAAATATTGGTGATAATTTTCTCTTCAATGAATATGACCTTACTGAAATAAGAAGACTTTTCCATTGACAAGGTTAATTTTGGACCCACCAAAAAGCCAATCTACATTCAAGCCCTTGTGATGTCTAGCTCAGAGCCCCCTTCCTCTGAGTAGAGTTGGGATAATTGTCCTTGAATAATATACCTTGCACTTGACTATACAGAAACTTACTACCAGATGACCAACTTGCTTTGCTGGGGAATCCCTAAACACCGTTCAGTAAATAAGCACAACCTCTGGCGCTCTCCCTGGAGAGGTGTAGAACCACCTCCACTTCATGTCAAACGCACCACTGCTCTAAGGTGGCGCCCCCAGGTGGAACTGAGGGAAATCAGACCATTTCCCTGCTGTCAAGATTTAGGCCACTTGAGTCTTTCACTGTGATTAATAACAGTATGGGAGAGTTCTGCTTCTACTAGCTGGTTCCATGTAGCTCCAGCTGTGATAATATTAGGGTATGGATTATAAATAACACGTCTGTATCTATTTATATGTTAGAGTAGGTAGCTAGTCAGGCATGAGCAGGGCAGGAGAGGGCTCCCCCCTCCAAACCAGGAATGTCAGGCGACCATCAGGTGATGGTCCAGGAGTTATCACACTGTCTCTCTAAAATGATAATTGGTTGCAGCCAGTGCTAGAGAGAGGCAATTCCGTGATGGTCTGGCAGTTGTCACCCTATAAAATGATTAGTCACAACTGGCGCCAGGGAGAGGCAATTTCCCAATAGATAAAAACACTTGAAATTGGTAATCAGCAGCTTCCATTAAAATCTCAGGAATTGGGCGAGTGGGCATGAGCATGCACATTAAGAGACAAAATGGCAGATTATGACTTTCCGGAGCATTCCACCGGAAAAGGGAAGAATGCCTCAGGTGAGCATGCATACAACTCCAGTAGACACACTGCACATGCTCCCCTCCCAAGCACAAGGAGGGCACTGTGCATGCGGGTGGCTCACCCTAAGGGAAGAATCATGGGAAAAGTGACGCAGGACCCCAGAAGTATGCCAACATATACCCCAAGTCAAAAGGTCAAACGCTGCACTTGTCCTCCAAGTTGCCCACTTGGGTCTCTTCCAAGTGTACTTTCCTTTCTTTCCTGCTCTAAAGCTTTTTAATAAACTTCCACTCCTGCTCTGAAACTTGCCTCAGTCTCTTTTTCTGCCTTATGCCCCCCAGTCGAATTCTTTCTTCTGCGGAAGCAATAATTGGGGTTGCTGCAGACCCGAACGGATTCACTATCGGTAACTCTGACACCTGCCACCACTAACGTATTTTGGTGCCATGTGACTAGGATATTCACAACCCCTAACATATATATATGTGTATGTGTGTGTGTATGTGTATAAAAATAAACAGAGAGAGAGAGAGAGAGAGAGAGAGAGAGACAGAGGAGAGAGAGAGGAATATGTATAAAGGAAAATTTGTGATGTACACCACATCTACATAGTTGACAGGAAAATCTGTTAGCTACATCCCTCTCTCCCCCGTTCCCACCTACCTATTGGGAAGTGGGACAAATCCCATTTCACCCTTACCTCTATGATACCCTTCACCTTGGACCCCAGGCAGGGAATTCCTTCTGTGTCCTTCATACTGATGATTGTGAATGGCAGAGATTTCAATACAGAAGCTGCTCTCATAAATGTCACACAGGAGTCTTCATTTTCTCTAAACTCACAGTTTTCAGCCAGTATATCAAAGGCATCCTGCAGGATAAAACCAGATAAGCAGGAGATTTGCTTCCAAGCCCCTGAGCCAGTGGTCACTCACAAACGCCTCTTGCTCTCCTTTAAATATTGGAATACCACTTGCGTGTTTCCTTCTAGGTCAGGATGGGGTCTCCCATACCCTTGTATGCCTCTCTGGTGTCATGGAGTAGAGTTGAATTGAAAAGACAGGTACCAGAGTGCATTATGCGGAAACTTGGAGTACACTGCTATTAAACATTCACAGATGATTTAACTAAAAAATGCTTTGGTGCTCACAGCATCTTGCTAGTCATGACTCAGCATAATCCCTCCTTCTGTACTATCTTCCCACTAGCCTGTGGCTAGAATTCTGCCTTGATCACTGAGCAGCCCCATGAAACACAGCACTTAACACAGGCTTGTTGAATGAATGAGTGTAGTCGTAGGTCACACAGACCCAGAGCCAGGATTATTTAAGGTAGGGCACGTTTGTATTTCTAGCAGGGGAGGAAGCAGCTGTAGCTGTGTGATCTCATGCTCAGCATATCCAGTAGCTACAATTTCCTAGTCTTTCCAACACAGACATGGAGCTGGAAGTCTAGAAATGAGAAGCTCTGTATTGATCTACTACTACATGTTTCATCCAGCTAACCACTGACTCTAGGCTAGCAGACAAGCAGTTGTGGGTTTTAGGGCCATTCAAAACACAATTACCAATCTGAGGGCTGAGTGGAGCTTTAGATATGATCCATCCAATTTCTTTTTGAATAGATGAGGAGACAGGCTCAGAGAGAGAAATTGACTTGCCCAAACTAGTGAATATCAGAAAGGCTGGAATCTAGGTTTGCTCAATTTTTTGGTTTCCCAGCAAAAGCTGTTGATGTATTGTTACCATTTCTATGTAATTTGCTCTTACTATGTTTTGGACTAATTCCAGTATTTGTTTTTTCAGAATATTTGCTTTTGACAAGTGTTGCGCCCATTAATGACAACTATCTGTAAATAGTAATCCGCTGTCTCTAAAGAATATAACCTAAATGTATTTGTCTATTTCCAGGAAGGAAGGAGACCCAGTCTCGATAGAAAGAAGAAGGATAGAAGGATCAGAGATCAGGCTAGGGCTGCAGGTAGGTGGGAGGAAAACTTTCCCAGGTTTTCAGAAAAATTTATAATTTAATTTGCGGTCCACAGAAAGAAGCTGCAAGCCCTTCGTTTGCCCTGGGTGTTGATGTAAAGTCCCGTTACCGTGAATATCTGGTTACAGTTGTTTAAAGTGGTTCTTCTCTGACACGCATACTGGGAGATCTTTTGTACAGCAATTGGTGGAGTCTTCGGGGGGCCTGGGTTGGTGCTATCTGAATAGTCTCTTCTCACCTAAACAAATGCATAAGCATCCATTTTCAATAAAAATTAATAGTAATAACAGATATGTACGGAAAAAATTTGGAAGTAGTTGTCTGTAGTTGGAGGATAAAATTATAGGAGACTCAAAATTTATGTTATATACATCTCTAATATTTGAACTTGCTATTATCAACACGTATTATTTTTGAAATCAGAAAAAAAAATGAAAAGACCTATCAATTAAATATCATCTTCGTTTTCTATGAACTTCTGTAGTTATGGTCCAAGCCCTCTTCCCAAAGATTTTAGCACAATTGCTCAAATATTTGGAATTGAGAGCTTAACTTTTTGTTTTGTTTGTTTTGTTTTGTTTTGTTTTCTGAATGATCACAGTGAGAGAAAAAAAGGAATCTCCTGCTTTTCTGGCTGCTAGAATATCAAGGCTTAAATATTTTGAAAGATTTGTGTATAAATGTGTTCGGGAAAATAGCGACCACTCGTTAGATGCCTGCTATAGTCAACACATTGTGTTCAGCGCTTTACATGTGTGTTGTTCTAATCTTCATGACCATTTTGTGAGGCTGGCATTATCGTTATGTCATATTATAAAGGAAGAGACTGAAGCTCAGTAAAGCTAAGTGACTTGCCCAAGGTCACACAGGTAGTAAGCAGAGAATTTAGGGTTTACCCCAGCTCCGTTGATCCTAAGCCTATGTTCTTAACCATCAAGCAAAGAACAGTGAAAATCACACCCATGACACTTACAACAAGCTGGTGTTTTCCTGTCATTTCCACCGGTTTCCCTGCTCTTATGCATTCGATCAGCCAGGAGACATCGAGGAGCTCTGGTTGTGAGCTGACTTGTACTTTCTGTGCTTGAAGCCACTCCAGAACATCCGAACCCGAGTTGTTCTCTGCTACGATGTGGGTGACAGAATCACTGCAAAATGCAAGACAGAGTTACCAGCTGAAACATCTTTCAAAATCAGAAGCTCTCCTCTTTCCTCAAGGTTTCTGAGCATTCCATCTGATGGAGAAAGACACATGCTAGACCTAACCATAGGTGTGGAGAATTTAGGCCTCCATGCAAGGGAATTCTCTCTACATTAATTAGTATGGCAACAGTGGTCCGGGTTACATGTCAGATGCACGAACAATAAAGACAACATTAGCAGGACTGAGGCGTTGATGGAAAACCAAGGTCCAGAAAAGATGGAAGGTAAAACTGCTCTTAAAGTAGCACCTAGCATTCCACATGAGGTTTTGGCATGCTGCTCCATTTTTACTAGTGGAGGACTTTAATAATCCAATGGCCTTCAAACTTGTTTGACAGTGACCCACAGTTAGAAATACGTTTTATATTATGATCCAAAGTAGACATAGAAATAGGTACAGATGTAGCTATGCTTACATGGTTTAAGCAACTGTCTTAATCCATTTAGGCTGCTATAACAAAATACCTTAGACTGAGTAATTTATAAACAACAGAAACTTATTGCTCACAGTTCTGGAGGCTGGAAAGTCCATGATCAAGGGGTCGGCAGATATGGTGTCCAGTGAAGGCCCATTCTTCATAGATGGCACCCACTGTGTGTCCTCACATAGCAGAAGGGGAAGGCAGCTCTCTCGGGCCTCTTTTTTAAGGACATTAATTTCTCATTCACTAGGTGGAGCCCTCATAACCTACTCACCTCCCAAAGGCCCCACCTTCTAATATCATCGCTTTGGGGATTAGGTTTCAATTTATGAATTTTGGGGTGACACAAATATTCAGACCATAGAAACACCCCATTAAATGATCTCACAGTTTATTATTAACAATAAATTAATTATTTATAACCAGCCTTCAAGAAATTTTGATTTACATGTTTTCGAAGCATGGACAGGGATCTTTTTCTTAACAGGTACTAAGCACTTACCATGTTTAAGGCATTGGCCATGTGCTTTACCTACATCATCTCATTTAGCTCCTCAATAAGTGTTACATCATTCACACTTCAAAAATGAGGAAACTGAGGAACAGAGAGGTCAAGTGACATTCTAAAAGTCACACAGCTGGTAAATGATACTCATCTTTCTTTTATTGTTTTTTCTGGGCCAGATATGTTATTTCTAGTTTTTAATAAGTCTTCACATTCAGCATTATATTATTGGACCCAGTGATTTTTAAGATCCTTTCAGTTCAAATAGTCTATAAATCTGAGCAATAGCATGAGCACACAGCATACCCAAGCATCGAAGAGAAAACATAGCAATATTTTCTCTTTCTCCTCCTATTTTGTTTCCTTGATTTCCTCTTTCTCCATCTTCTTTTTTTGATAGAATCTGATTCATGAGGTATTTTTAAATTTGCTATTATATGCACAACCCTAGATTCCTTGTGATAGTGGTGGCGGTGATGGTAGTAGGAGGAGGTTGGGTACCAAAGAAGAAAAAGGAAGTTACTAGACACTAGTATGTTACATGAAACAGATGGCTTATGATGTGAATTATGACAAGACATGAGGCATGAAGATCTGCCATGTTCAGAGAAGGAAAAAAACATGGTGTAAGCTGGGAGAGGCAGCTGGTTGGTGGCAGAGCTGGGACTGTGTCTAGTCCTGAATGACACACCTAAAAGGCAGAACTTAGGGTTCTCCTGGAAGAAAAGGGTCAGGGGCCAGAAGGACAGGGAGGAGAATGGCCTGGGTTGGAGTGGAGAGTTTATATTGGGAAGTAATTGTAGATGTGGCTGAATTCGTAGGGACAACTACATTCTAGAAGGTCTTAGAAGCCTGTTGAGGAGGTTTGATCTTATTTTCTGGGGTTGTGGAGCCAGTGAAGGCTTTTGTGAGCAGAACATTGATAGCACTACAGTGTTATTTTAAAAGACGAGTCTGGTACATACAGTGATTTGGAGGGGAGCGTAATGGGGTAGGGAGGGTTGCGGAACTACTTAGGAAGATGAAATGATTGTGTAAGTGTGAGATGATTTTAACCCAGTCTGGCACAGAAAAGCAGAGGAGAAATATGGTAGACATCTGCATCAGCTCACCTATGAAAGATGAATTCAGGGAGGGAGTCAAATATTACTCCAGCATATTAATCACAGTAAAGTAATGGCACTTTTGGTAGAAATCAGATTTAGGAAGTTGCGTCTCTTTGGGGGAAGGGGTGGAGCGGTGGAACTGAAGTTTATTTCAGGCATGCCGCATTTGAAGGACAGCAGGAGATCCAAATTAAAATATCTGGTTGACAGTTGGGATCTGAGGTTGGTGCTCAGAGAGAGGTGTGGGCTGGGGTCAGAGCTGAGACCATCTGGATGGCAGGATGTGCCTAAACAGAAATAAGTCATGGCAAAGCAACATTCTACAAGAATTAAAGGAAGATGGATAACCACTTCCCTATTGTAGATCCATATTATTTCAAAATTTATTTATAATAAAATTCCTGAAGGATTCTTTGGATCAAGGATTAATAGGAAGTGTTATTCCATCTATATTTTCCATCTATATTTCTGCCTTTTGGAGGGAAAAATTATTATTATATTATTATACTTATGATACATTATTATTTATTATAATATTATTACAATAAATAGAGTTTTACCTAACCCTGAGAGGGAGAAGGGTATGTTAAAGAGGAACCCTGGGACCCCTAACCACCTACACTCTTACCACTCCCCCTACTGCCTCTTCTCCTGGGATTCTCTGAGACAGTGTGAGAATGTCTGCGCTCACATTGTTGGGTGAGAACCATATGCATTTCTTAATTAATACAAACAAATTTGTGGATGACAGGCTGTACGTCATATGAAGGAAGGCTCTGATTTAAACTCCCACTTCCTGTTCAATAAGCAACTAGCAAACAAAACAAAAGAGCAATAATAATCTTAAGCACACACAAAAACCAAAAAGTCAAACAAAACCTCTTAAGCCAATGCTACTCAGAGCTCAGTATTGGTTGCCACTAGTTCCCAACAAGGTAAGTTCAGAAATTGTAAGTCAGCATTTAGAAACTTTAATTGTAATTTGACATCACCAAAATAGTTTTATTGTGGCTTAAAAAAAAAAAAAAAGAAGCATTGGTCTTCAACACATTTTTTGAAAACTGGTCCTTTGCCACAAATAATTTAAGAAATTTTGTTGAGAGAATCTCTGTTGTGGCCCAGACTGTATTTCCCATCGTCTTGTGTTGCCTGAGTTCGGCTGATCCTCTGCATGTGGCCAGCTAGATCTGGGCTGTGATGTGCTTCCTCGTGTCGGGGTTGCCATCAGCCCCTCACAGGCAATTCACAGTCTCTGTGTGTTGTTCACTTTCAGCTCCGAGCCCTTACCGAGCAGTATTACTAAGGAGACCCATGGCCTCTAGTGTGCTCTGCTGATACTTTCTTATCACTATCTTGTGGCAGCTGTTTGTCTATTTGCTGGTACAGTGGTTTTCTCTCTGCTCTGAACACTCCAATACTGGAAATGTTAACAATATTAGAATATTACTATATGCTAGACACTCTGGTAGGCACACTTTATACATCACTTCATTTAATTATCAATAATGCCATGAGATAGATATGATCATCCCCATCTAAAAATGGGAAGAGAGGCTGGGCGCGGTGGCTCATGCCTGTAATCCCAGCACTTTGGGAGGCTGAGGGGGGCAGATCATGAGGTCAGGAGATCAAGACCATCCTGGCTAACACGGTGAAACCCTGTCTCTACTAAAAATACAAAAAATTAGCTGGGCGTGGTGGAACGCGCCTGTAGTCCCAGCTACTCGGGAGGCTGAGGCAGAAGAATCACTTGAACCTGGGAGGCGGAGGTTGCAGTGAGTTGAGATTGTGCCACTACACTCCAGCCTGGGCGACAGAGCGAAACTCCATCTCAAAAAAAAAAAAAAAAAAAAAAAAAAAAGGGAAGAGATAGCCTTGGAAATGTTAAAAATTTCACCCAGCGAATAATTAGTAGGTGGAGCAGGGATTTGATCCTATGGCTGTTCTCATCAAAGTCTATGTGCTTGGCCATCCATGACTTTGTGTTCTTTGGAAAAGGAGGGAGCTGCTCACTTCCTCTTGTTGCAGAGGGAGTAACATCTGGATGGGTATCATAATAATAAGAAAATCGATTTCCTCCCAAGGGCAGAAATACAGATGGAATAGCACCTCCTATATAACAGCAGTAAACGTATTGCCTTGCTGCTGCCACATAGAATTTGTGTTTTGCTATTTTATGTACAATATTATATGGACTAAACTAGACTACAGGACATGTAGAACTGCCCCAGAAAACTTGAAAGAACAGTTGCCATAGCCACACATCAAGACGGAGCAGCCACAGGGAGGCTGTCAGGCTCTCTGGGCTCTGGGTTTTCCCTAAACCTCTGAGGGAGATGGACGTGTCAAGGGGGAGCCCTGGACTCATCGTCCAAATTCTGGCCTGTCACCATCCACTCCTACCCTGCTGCTCCATCGCCACCATCTCTCCACCTAGGATTCCTCTGGACACAGCCCTGCCTCTGATGGGGACATTAGAATGCTGGGGAGTACAGATGGGATGGGGCTCAAGGCACTATTAAGTAACCAACAATAAATACTGGCATATAAAGGGAATCAGACTAGAAAGAAATACTTGTGACTATTAGCAAAGATAATGATAATGACATACACACATGTGCACATATTCTTACTTAATCCTCACAACAGCCTAGCACAGTAGGCAATGTAATCACAGAGGAGAAAACCAAGCCTGGGGGAGCTTACATGAAGCCGAGGTTCAAACCCAGGTGTGCCTGACTCAAGCAACCTCTTAACGTTCTGCTAGACTGTGGTTAGATGCCTGAGGGGAGCTTTGTTTGTGTGTTTGAAATGTTTTTCTTTATTTTCTCATTTTCTGTAATGAACTATCTATGGTCACTTTTCTACTTGGGGGAAAATATACATGAATGTCATTTTCAAGGGCAAATGAATCTGTGATTGAGGCTGAAGTTGTTTCTGCCTTGCCCACAGAGACCTTGGCTTCCTTCTTATAATAAAAGGTGACAGAAACCCTCCGGCAGCCAACCTCAACCTCAGAGATCCCAAGGTTCTGCTGAGATGGCTATTTCCAAAATATCAGTGAATTCAATCTTCTCCTAATTTCTTGGCCATGACCGATTGTTAGTGCTTTGGACTAAGTTTGGGAGGTCTTGAACAAATTATAGCAATTCTGAGAGAACTGGCATTGGTACCTCAGTCTCCTACAGGGAAGAAGATTCAGGGTCTCCTCCTTCAACTAGTGCTTGACTGTCAGGTGCCCAGCTTGGTCCTTGGTGTCCCTGAGAGCAGGGACAGTGGCATGGTCTCTGGGTTATGCCTGGAGCCCAGCACATGGCCAGATTTATAGTAATGGTAAAAAGATGACGGTAGACTGGATAGATGAATGAATGAATGAATAGCTCTAAAGGAATGTCTCTCAAACTCTAGTGTCTACCAGAGACATCCAGGAAGCTAGGTTAAAATTCAGATTACTGGGTCCCATTATGAGACTTCAGAATTCCTGGAGAATTGCACCTGAGGCCCAGGAATATGCATTTTGACAAGCTCCATTGGTGATTCTGATATAGTCAGTCTGTTTTCGTTATCTACTGTTGCATAACCAGTGATCCCAAAATGTAATGACTTAAAAAGGCAACTATTTTATTATATCTCACAATTTCGTGGGTCAGCACTTCAGGCAGGCTTGGCTGGGTGATCTCTCTGCCCTGTATTCTTCTGCTGAGGTGCTGATGTTCCCCGTGGTTCTACATTCTGCCACCTTGGTGAGGATGGCTGGAAAGCTGGGCTCAGTGCAACTAGGGACTGGGGACCCAAGCAACTTTATGTGGTCTAAGAGGAGGCGCCAATGTCTTACATGAGGCTCTGGGGTCCCAGAGATTGTGTCCCAGGGAAAGTCACACAGTCTCATTTCCACTGTACCTTACTGGTTGAATCAGTCACCAGCACTCTCAGATGCAAAGGACGGGGAAATTGCCCCTCCCTCTCCACAGGAGGACCTATGTTTTAAAACCACCCCACAGCCCAAGAACTCCACTTTGAGAAACACCACTGTAGAGAAAGATCTTTTCTATTGAACTGCCCCAGCCTAGATTTGACTCCCACTCGAGCCTTTGGCCTCAATGACAGCTGTGTTTTCCAACATGGTACTCGTTTCTCTGCAGGTACGTGACATAATTTTAGGAGGTACACAATTGAACATTTAAAAGGCTTATGTGTTTATTTATATCTGTATTTTAAATTATGCATCTCAGATCATAGGTTTTATGGATATTATTCCTTAGAACAAGGCTAATTTTATTTTAAATGAGTCAGTTTAGGGACAATTAAAAGAAACACACTGGCCAGGTGTGGTGGCTTATGCCTATAATCCCAGCACTCTGGGAGGCCCAGGTGGGCGAATCACTTGAGGTCAAGAGTTCAAGATCAGCCTGGCTAACATGGTGAAACCCCGTCTCTACTAAAAATACAAAAATTAGCTGGGTGTGGTGGCACGTGCCTGTAATCCCAGCCACTCGGGAGGCTGAGGCACGAGAATCGCTTGAACCCAGGAGGTGGAGATTGTAGTGAGCTGAGATCGTGCCACTGCACTCCAGCCTGGGTGATAGAGCAAGGCCCTGTCTCCCCCCAAACAAATAAACAAACAAAATAAACAGATTACGTATATATTATAATAAAAGATGTGGTAAAAGATATTACAAGAATCGTGACTGTGGCACTCAGATGTCTGAAAAGCCCTGGGTTATGGAATTAACTCACAGACTTCAGTTCTGCATTTTTTCCCTCAGGCAATAATTTCCCTGTTCTTCCTGTCTTTCTTTTCCTAGTTGATCCTGCCTCTCATGAAGTATAATTAGAAAAACCCTCCAGGAGGAAAGTGGCAGCTATTTTTATTTGCCTGGGTATAGACTCCTTCCCACCCTCTGTCTGACTTTCTGGATCCTCATGGATGGTCACCTGCTGTCTTCTTCCCAGGGAGAGGTCATTCCTGATTCTTCCCATCTGATATAGGACTTATTTTGTAAACAGTGACTTAAATAGTCATTTACAGTTAAACTGACCTGTTTACAGTTTAAAAACCCTTCTACCAATTTCACTTAGCAACTGATCTGTTTCAGTATCCTTGGAACAGAAAGATCATGCAGTTTTGTTTGGTTTTATTGCAAACTCTTACTAGCACCTAGCACCACTAAGGACAGGTTTCTGTCTCCAGCCCTGCTGTACTTATGACTGAGACGATCTTGCCTCGATTTTTTTTGGCCCACCTTAAATGGGATTAAGAAATTTTTTGTTAATTTAAAGCCGCAAATTTTGAAATACAAAGTAATTTGGATCAGAGCAAGAAAAAAGCTTATATCTCATGCTCATGCTCTTGAATTTATAAAAATAAAATATTTATTATGTTGCTGATTACAAAATTAATACTCATGCATTGCAGAAAAAAAATTCATTACAAAAATTACTCTTGGTAAACACAAGTTCCTTGGGCTGGTTTTATATTCACCAGATAAATCATTCTCTGAGCAAATATTTCTTGAGGCCTCCTATGTGAAAGAAAATTGTCTAAGTCTGTAGCTGAGGTCTACACGTGGCTTGTGGAGTCAGAGAGGGGTAATTGGATGAGATTAAGAGCCTTTGCTCATCAAAAGGAAAAGCTGGGAGCCCACCCTAGGCAGTGACTCCCACCAGCATTCTAGGGAGGAAAGCTTCTCTCTGGGGGCTTTCAGGAGTCTAAGGTCTGGGAAGCAGAGAGGTAAAGGGAGAAGGCACTCAAGGTGGTAGGGAAAGAGCAAGAAAAACTGTAAAGAAAACCAGGGAATCTGTGTTTGGATTCTGGGCCTGGCCTGGAGAGTGGCCAGTTCAACTTTTATTTTCTAGAGCAGGAAACTGACCTCCTTCGACTGATGTTCTGTTTATTTTGCAAACAATGACTTTGAATATTTTGATTTCAGACACCATAAATTTGAAGTGTAGAATAGAACATTGCCAAAGATTAACAAAGCTGGACACTAGTTAAAGTGGGAAGGATGGTTATATTCAGTCATAATGATGGCAATAGGAAAGAGGCCCCAGTGTTTATGGGAACAAAAGGCATGAGACTTTTAAAAAACTGGGATGTGCTGCTAGGGGAAGGGTGTGCCCCTGAGGGGTAGTAGGGGGGTTGGTCCCTGTGACTAGGCCATCTGGGTTTGTTAATTGGAGCTTTCCTGGAGGAGAAGCAAACTTTTGTGGTGTAAATTAGAGGAAGGTCCTCTGAAGTTAGGCCCTCCCTCCCACAGAATCTGAAAGTCGGAGTTACCTCTTTGAAGGGTTGCTTTTTTCAGATCCTTGGAAGACAGTTCTGGATGGTTAGAAGATTTACATCTCAAAGGGACAGAGAAAGGATTTATCATTGCAACTTTCTAAAGTAACTGCTTTAAGAGAGGGTTCACGGGCCAGCTCCCTGTTGCCTGCCTTTGGCTAGAATAAACAGGACATTCTCCTGGCAGTGATGAACTTTCTCAGGCAGGCATTTTAAAGGGGGCCATCCTAGGGACATGGCCTTAACTGCTAGAAGCCATGCTACAGTTTAGTCAAGGAGAGAGTCTTTACCAACATTCAGGTGGAAAAAAATAATGCATTTTACTACCATGAGATTGCCAGGGACTTTTGGAGGCGATGGTTTTGGGATAATGAGTGAGACAGAATCCACATGTCAAACATTATATAATGACTGAATGGAAAGGGCAAGCAGCCAGTTTAGATAAAACTAGACCAAAATAATACTAGAAGACTAAAAGTAAAAAATGAGCAGGCAAATGCTAACTTTTTTTTTTTTTTAAAGAAAACTTGTTCAAACTTGGAATATATGCTATGCTACTTTTTTAATTCCAGGTGATGACAAAGGTACAATTCCTGACTTTCCTGTCTGACTGTAAACTCCTTGTTTGCAGGACTCATGTCTTCCACTATTTTGTGTCTCCACAACCTGACAAATACTGCACAGAGTAGGTACTAACAAAGCCCTTTATTGG
The DNA here is from genome assembly GCF_000001405.40 of Homo sapiens. Classification (NCBI taxonomy): domain Eukaryota; kingdom Metazoa; phylum Chordata; class Mammalia; order Primates; family Hominidae; genus Homo; species Homo sapiens. Next base: position 96,309,271 of record NC_000010.11, on the reverse strand, counting down.
TGATGACATGATGCTGCATCTTGCTTTCACTGAAGACAATGCCTTCCAGTGGCATCCTTGTAGATAAACTATGGAAGTCTAGGAAGGATGACAGTATCCTCTGGTGGGTGTCAAGCTGCTTGAACAATGGAACTTGGCAAGTGTTAAACGGCTAGGTAGATGCAAAGGTGGAGAGCCAACCTTCCTGGTCGTGCATTTTCTTCCTCAGCATCAATGATTTGGGTCAAGACACAGAGAGTAAGCTTAACTAATTGTCAGGCCTCTGAGCCCAGGCCAGGCCATCATATCCCCTGTGACCTGCACGTATACATCCAGATGGCCTGAAGCAACTGAAGATACACAAAAGAAGTGAAAATAGCCTTAACTGATGACATTCCACCATTGTGATTTGTTTCTGCCTCACCCTAACGAATGTATTTTGTAATCTCCCCCACCCTTAAGAAGGTTCTTTGTAATTCTCCCCACCTTTAAGAATGTACTTTGTTGAGATCCGCCCCCTGCCCACAAAACATTGCTCCTAACTCCACCGCCTATCCCAAAACCTGTAAGAACTAATGATAATCCCACCACCCTTTGCTGACTCTCTTTTCAGACTCAGCTCGCTTGCACCCAGGTGAAATAAACAGCCTTGTTGCTCACACAATGCCTGTTTGGTGGTCTCTTCACATGGACTCGAGTGACACTAATGTGTTTATGGAGGAGGGTTGATAACAGAATGAAATTTTAAAATAGCTCCACGTATTGGAACTCAGGATGAAATAAGAAAGTGACAAGCAGTAGGTTCTGATCCTTCTCCAGCTTGACCCGGGTGGCAAATTGCTCTAAAATTTAGGAAGTTAGCCATGGAATAAAATTCAGTATTCTTTTCATAAATATGCAAAAATGCCTCAAGGGTTTTAATACTTTCCCTTATCTACGTTTTAAGACCAGCTTCCTATGGCACATTGAATGGCACGTATTTTGCAATATAGCATAAATGTTAGCAAAGCTCCACCCAATTATGTTGCATGCATGTTGCAGAATGAAATAGCTCCAGACAGTGCAACACTTTGAGGTACACCATTTCTAATTTGTGTGTTCAGGCCCAAGTAAAGCAGGAATCAGGTTTCTTCTCTAATTTAATCCTTCTGACAGCCAAAGAATGTGTTAGGAACAATGAAAACTGTTGCCTATCAGCTGAAAAAACAGCTTTCTTTGTTATTTTTATTTTTAAAGTACATGCTTATTGTAGCCTGGGCACGGTGGCTCACACCTGTAATCCTTTGGGAGGTGAAGGCAGGAGCTAGGAGTCCAAAACCAGCCTGGGCAACATGGCGGAACCCCATCTCTACAAAAATTAGCCGGGCATGGCCCGCATCTGTAGTCCCAGCTACTTGGGAGGCTGAGGTGAGAGGATCCGTTGAGTCTGGGAGACGGAGGTTGCAGTGAGCCGAGATGGCACCACTGCACTCCAGCCTGCGTGACAGAACAAGACCCTGCCTCAAAAAAAAAAAATATATATATATATATATATGCACACACACACACATATATATGCTTATATATATATATATATATATATATATACACACACACACACACATACATATATATATGCTTATTGTAAAAAATATATTGGAGGCCAGGCACGGTGCTCACGCTTGTAATCCCAGCATTTTGGGAGGCCAAGGCGGGCGGATCACGAGGTCAAGAGATCGAGACCATCCTGGCCAACATCGTGAAACCCCAACTCTATTAAAAATAAAAAAGATTATCTGGGCGTGCTGACGCGTGCCTGTAGTCCCAGCTGTTCAGGAGGCTTAGGCAGGAGTATCGCTTGAACCTGGGAGGTGGAGGTTGCAGTGAGCCGAGATCGTGCCACTGCACTCCAGCCTGGGACAGAGCGAGACTCCGTCTCAAAAAAAAAAAAAAAAAAAAAAAAAAAAAAACTGGAAAACCCAGAAAATAAAAACAGCCATAATCTCTCCCTACCAACCCCCACTCCCAAAAAACCAGTTATAACATGTTGACGGGTTTCTTTCCTGTCTTTGTTCTATTTGTTGATATCATTTGACCTTGTTCATATTGTGGAGGGAGAGCCCATTCCTTAGGGTTTTGCTGTAAAGGTCAATGGATCCAGCAATTCACAAGAAAATAATTACACTTTACATTTGTCTAACTGTTTTAATTTATCAAAGCACATTGACATGCATTATCTCATTTGGTGATCACATCAGATAGGCCATTTATCAGGATATTAAAATCAGTCGGGAGAGAGGGGACCTTGTCCCATACCCCATGGCTGGGGAGGCTCAGAGCCAGGATTTGAGGTTTCTAAATTTCGTATCTAGAGATTTGTCCCCTACAATAATTTTTATTTCTCTATCCAATTAAAGTCTATATATCTATGCACAGAAATTCCGTTTGAGACCTAGGACTTCTACTTCCTGTGGTTTATTTTTGCGCCATAGAGCACATTTGTATTTAATGTGTCTTCTGAGCTACCAGCCTGGGAACTTTGCCATCATCACATGCACAGCGGCAGTTTGCTCACCATGCACCAGTGAGCTTCCTCCGCCGCCTGAGCAGCTGGGCTTGGTCCCTGGCAGCAGGCATCTGGGGCATGTAGCTGCCTCTTCAGCTGTCCTGCCAACAGAAGAAACTTACCTCCCATCATCTCCCTGAGTGCCTGCCTCAGCCGCCTTGTATGTATTCATTGCTGTGTCTATAATAAATCAGCGGGTCCTTGCTGGAAGCTTGGACGTTTCAATGGAGAGCTTTCCAGTAAGTGGTGCTTCTGGTTCTTTCCTTCCTGCCTAACCCTTGTCAAATTTCTTTACCATGAAAAGCAGTTCCATATTTGCTAAGGCTTTTAATTTCTTTTCCAAAAAATCTATTTTTGGCCAGACGTGGTGGCTCATGCCTGTAATCCCAGCACTTTGGGAGGCCAAGGCAGGCGGATTACAAAGTCAGGAGATAGAGACCATCCTGGTCAACATAGTGAAACCCCGTCTCTACTAAAAACACAAAAATTAGCTGATTGTGGTGGCGCGTGTCCGTAGTCCCAGCTACTTGGGAGGCTGAGGCAGGAGAATCACTTGCACCTGGGAGGCGGAGGTTGCAGTGAGCCGAGATTGTGCCACTGCACTCCAACCCGGGCAACAGAGCAAGACTCTGTCTCAAAAAAAAAAAAAAAAAAATCTATTTTTTTGGCTTCTTTACCTATATAATCTTCCTGTCTTCTCCAACTCTAGCCTTCTATGTAAGTCTGTAATATCAGGCAGGCTTAACAGTTAGATGAAATCTAGGATTTTCTTGGAAAGGATGTTAGAAAATGAGATTCAGAGTGGCTGTAGGAGGTTACAGAGAGGCAGCAAGAGAGAAAAGGAGACCTTGCAAAGAGAAATCAGGTGGAAGAAGGGCCATAGGAAATTCAGGAATTTCTGAATGGGGCATTTTAGCAAAAAATGAATGAAAAGTCAATGTCATATGAATCAGGGTGTTGCGAACATTAACATATCTGAAAATTGACTTTTGAAATATGTCTCCTCAACACTTGGAAGCTGACATTTCTTCTGCATGACATGCTTGTCAGTTTTATTTTCAAATATCAAAGACTATTTATACAATCAAAATGTCCTTTCACATAAAATTTTTATAGTTTTGCCTGAAAATTTGTGGTCAATTTATTTCTTGCACAGTCAAAGCGGTCAACTGCATAAATCATTACTCCTTCATTGCAAGCCCCTTAACAGTTTAATCCAGAACCATCACTTATGTCAAGGTTCTAATACCATTTGTTTCTGGATTTTGCTTGTTTTCTCTTCATCTATTTGAGATCAGTGAAGAGCTTACACAGAAGTTAGAAAAACAACAAGAATAATTGCTGTTCAAGGTGAGTGGATTAGTGAGTGAACCAATCTAGGTGGTCCAAATGCTTCTATCGCCTCCTTGCCTGGGCTCTGATTACATCTCACTCAGTGTGATGTCTGTCATCCCTGGACAGAGCTGTCTTAACAGTGAATACATCTTTACCTAGCATCTCTCTTTCTAAGAACCCCACTAGGACCACTCTTTGGAAAAATGTGGTCAAGGCCACATCTGGGTGCCTGTGGTAAGCTGGCTAGTCATCCTCGCCCACCACAGATGCTAGCTGCCTTAGCACGCCCAGATGTATAGGTAAGAACCAAGCAACCAAATCATCTTTCTGCATCAAAGTAGCCAAAACTTTTTTGTTGAACCCAGTGATACTTTGTTCAAATTGGTCAAGAATAGAATTGAGTGGTTCAGCATTAAATTTTCCAATTAGTGTTCTGCTTATCATCCCTAAATAACACATCTCATAGGAGTGAAAAGCAAAAAACAAAAAATTTATCTCATCTTTTGGTGTCAACTAGTTTCAATATAATTGTATTCAGTCCCCACTTATCTCGTTTTCCTTAACTAGTTGTTCTTTGATTTCAAATCTGCTGTTCTCCCAGTGGGAAGATCACCTCTTCCACATGTGGAAGAAAACACAGGTTCCTTGGGTTCCCAAGAAGCTGTTCACAAAGCCTCTGCTTATTTACAAAGCAAGATCGATGCTGTCCTACCTGAGCTCATTTTCAACCCTGAACCCTTTCCTGCGGGCCAGCTCCATGAGGAACGCTCTGCGGGTGGTTCCCATTTTCTTCTCCAAAATGAAGACGACCAAATCTTGAAATTTGATGTCTTGAGGAGAGGAGGCCATCAAGGCACCCGTCTGCCGGGGTCTCTTCTTCCGAGGGCTCAAGTGGGACGCTCGTGGTGGATCCATGGGAAGAGGCTGCTGCTGCCTCTGGCTGGCCCATCTGGTGGTGTCTCCAGAAGGGAGGGAGACTGCCACCCTCCTACACGAAGGGTTTTGATGTCATCTCACCAGCAGACTCTGAAGCCAGGCCAGGGCTTCACAGGTGCTGCCCTGGCAACAGCTTCCTGCCAAAGTGTGATGGGGAATTTTTATCTCTGTTCAGTTCATTTGTCCAATATGGAGATCATAATGAAGACAGTCAATTAACTTTTGTTTTCATACGCACAATCTCATTAGCTCCTCAGAGTAACCTCGTGAGGAAGGTAGGGAAGCATCATTGTTTGCATGTTATTTATTTCTAAATGTACTGAGGCCCTTCTGTGGTCTTTATTTATTGATCCCCTTTAAACCTCCCAACTCACTTGCATTCTCCTCCTTTTGTAGACAATCATTACACTGTACTGGATGTCTGTTATTTGCATGGGTGTTATATTCTGCTTGTGGTTGTTTTGACTTTACATAAATGGCATTGTTACATTTCTCATTTTGCCAATCACCTTTTTATTTCACTTGGAACTATGTTTTCCAGATCCGTATTCTAATTGCTCTGTTGCTTCTAACTGCTCCATAGTATTTCATGGTGGGTATTACCACCTGTTCACTTACATAGGTACATTTTATAAGCAAGAGAACCAAGGCTCAGTTATTCAAGATCACAGAATAAGGGGCCAAGCCATATCTTGAATTCAGTTCTTTGGATTCCAAATGCTGTATGCATATATTAGTTTTTTAAGTGGATTAAGGTTGTCCAGAGAGTAGTCTGTTATAAACCCTAAAATAGGTCTTCTTCAGTGGGATGGTATGACTTTTAGATGATAACCACTGCCATAAGGAGACATTTTCATAACTTTATGTGCAAAATTAAATTTGTCTTTCACCAATACACTCTATAGATCTCATTTCCTGAGCAGCTACTACACGGCCAAGGCAAGCACCTACCAGCCTTAGCTGACAGGATCCTCACAATACCACTGTCAGGTGGTCCTACCTTTCTCATTTGGCTAAACAATTTGCCCAAGGTCACAGAGCTACTGAATTTTCACAACTGAGAAATGATTGAGCTAGGATTTGGACTCAGATCTGTCTGATTTTAAAAGACTACTCTTAACCACCAAGGAGCCTTCCTCTGTATTGTCTTCTCCAATAACCAATCTGAGCTCTGCTCACCCTTTGTCCTTTTTTTTTTTTTTGGAGATGGAGTTTCGCTCTTATTGCCCAGGCTAGAGTGCAGTGACACAATCTCAGCTCACTGCAACCTCCACCTCCTGGGTTCAAGCGATCCTGCTACCTCAGCCTCCTGAATAGCTGGGATTACAGGCGCACGCCACCACGCCTGGCTAATTTTTGTATTTTTAGTAGAGATGGGGTTTCACCATGTTGGTCAGGCTGGTCTTGAACTCCTGACCTCAGGTGATCGGCCCACCTCGGCCTCTCAGAGTGCTGGGATTACAGGTGTGAGCCACCATGGCTGGCCGTCTGTGCCATATTATTTGAGACTTTTGCTATCTCCAAAACACGTGAGCACCTCACAACCGTATTAGGGGAAGAGTCATGTGACAGCTGCCTTAAGGCATGGGTAAAGCACTCTGTGTTGCTCAAGAAAGCAAAATCAGAAATCTTCAGGTGGAAATTGTAGAGTAATAGATTCCAGTTCTCCGCAAGTAAGACCTGTTTAGTAACTCAGCTGTCTAAAAATATACAGAGAGCAGCTTTATACAGTTGTGTGTTACAAGTCATGAAAAGTATTCAAACAGATGCTGGATAACTGTTTATTGAGCTGTAACAGAAGGGAATTCAGACATCTGGTAAGGGCCTATAATGCAGCCCTGAAATTCCCGGATGCTATGACTGTTTGCTAGAGATCAACTGGAAGATGAGAGTCTATTTTGACCCTCACTATTATGTGTTTGGTTACTGAAGAGCTGAATGCTTCATGTTAGAATGCAGTCTTAGCTACCAAATGGTGCTGCAGCAGGGAGTTAAGTAAATGATTCTAGCAAGAGTCTGGGATTGTTGTGTTCGTTCCCAAGGTATAGCCACCTAATAGTAAAGGTGCACCACCTAAGCAGTAAAGGGAATGGGGAGGTAGTACTGAGATGTGGCTAACAGCTCAGGCTTCGTCAGGCTGCCCATAAAAATTCTGTCTCTATTGCTCTGAAGCTTCAAAGCAAGTTGCTTAACTTCTTTAAGCCTCAGCTTTACCCCATCTGTAAAATGAGGACTGAGATAGCCCACATAACCTGCTGGGCAGAGTGCTTGACACAAAGGTAGCACTTTCAATAAATGTCAGTTCGTAGTAATTTATGTTTTGTTTTTAGAGACATTCCAGTTCAATCTGAAATCGGATATATATGTTTTGTGAAACTACTAAATCATCAAAATATCATATTAAACAATGTCACATTTTAATTTGCTTTGAGTCACTGGTATTGAAAACATTACCAACAAAAATTTCAAATGTACTGATGCCTGTCTGGTTATCAGGCTATCATCTCTCAGCTGCAAATCTACCTTTTTTCTGATGGATTCCATGAGGTTGAGGCTGGGACTGAGCAAATTCTCTTTCTCATTTGCCAGCTGACTTTATGTCAGGCTCTGCCAATGGTGATACCAGAGGGAGACTGAAAGTCTAGATAAGAGGAAAGAGGTGACCTTTTTTGTTTGCTTGCTGCTACAAAGGTCAGGGTCTTCGCAGTAATGGTTCTCTACTCAGACAGCAGTGATTGGTTCTAGTCTTTAGCTTTTTTCTTTTTCTTTTTTTCTTTTCTGCACAACCAGACCCAGTCTTACTGTACCCTTCAGAGGTATCAATACCACTTAGGTGACATCTCCTCAAAAGTCTGAGCCCCAGCTCTGCAGAGGTTTCCCTATGAAATTCTATGGCACCAGGGACGACAGGCAGCACTTCCTTATTAAAGATCTGTGTTCCAGCTCCATGGGAGCCCTGCTCCAAACTTCCAGTTTTCAACAATCCCAGCTCCATCCCTTTGTTGCTCCAGCCCAGTGGTGTAGTGTGCTTCTTGCAGTTTCTTTCTCTGAGTTACCTCAATGTCCTCTTTTTGCTTTTTCAGCAATTAATGTCTGTTAAACCAATCCCCTGTGGTGAAGGGAGGTGTGAAATAAGGTCTGAGAGCACAGATGTCTCATCGCCTTCTCAGGAACTAAATTAAATCGTGCTCATGAAGTGCCTTGAAAATAATAAAACACTATACAGAGTTCTCTTATGCTCTTTGGCATTGCTGCCAATAGCAGGAATTGATTTCTTCTTACTATACTATGATTTTCTGAAGCTCTTTGCATCAGATGTTGAGCACTCTCCTTGATCTACTAGATTGGTCAATAATCTCCAAATCTCAGTGTCTTAACAAAAGTTTATTTGTTTATGCTACTTGGTGGAGAATTCTGCTCCATTTAAGACTCTTCAATATGAACAAATAGAATACAGGTGTTAGGAGCCAGACTACCTGAATTCAAAACCTAACCTTTCTTTGCTTTATTTCCCTTATCTCTGCAATGGGGGTTAGAATGATTTCTATCTTACAGGTGGCTATGAGGACTAAAGCACTTCAAAGACCACTGGCATGCAAGTTCCAAGAACTGTCCATTGCTATTGTAATAGTGCAGGTTTCTCCTTGTTCCCCCTTCCCTTCCCTGTGTTCCCATATACTTTGTAGGTAATCCTGTCACAATCCTTCCCAATGGTCTTTTGCTTTCCCTAGACTCTTCCAAAAGTGGTGCCAGCCCGCTTAGGAAGAGCTGACACAGGAGGATCACTTGAGCCCAGTAGATCGGGGCTGCAAAGAGCCCTGTCCATGCCACTGCTCTCCAGCCTGGGTAACAGAGTGAGACCCTGTCTCAAAAAAGAAAACAAAACAAGACAAAAAAATAAAACAGACCTAAGACTCTAATGAGACCAGAGGGGTGTCCTGCAATGATTTATGGGAACACTGGTCCCATGAAGTGTTCCAGGCAAAACAAAAATTCTGCAGTGAATTAAGTGTAGGGAAACCAGAGAAACTCTATACAATGTGTGTTAGAACATTAAAGGTTTGTAATAAACTGTGTTCGCCCACTGTATTCTCAACATGCTTACCTTTTCTTTGTTTGTTTTGTAGAACACCTACAGCACCCTTTTGAATGCAACTGGAAGTATTGGTGCCTCAGGAGCTACACAAGCCTGAACCACCTGCTACTTACCAGATGTATGAGCTTGGGCCATTCCCTTACCCCATGGGGGGTTCGCAGTTTCCAACATGTAAAATAGCAGTCATAGTGCCAACTTCTTCACATTGTAAGTGATGAATAAGATAGCATGACAACTGCCTGCCTGGTCCACATGGGAGCTGGGCCACTGTTCTGTCCTCCCTTTCATGCTGCCACTCCCATGATGCTGGCAGATGTGACCAATGCTCCTGCCTGTTCAGGTGATGATGGCTATGAGGAAACAAAGAACACAGCTGCTCACTGGTTTCCATGCTGATGCTCCCAGGCAGCCACTTCTCCCCTTAGTTCGGGATTGTTTTTAAATTTTTTCCATTTTGGGTAATATTTAGTCTCCACATGATCATTCTTAGAGATCTTTATTGAGTACAAGTGTATGGGGCAGGAAACAATGGGGAGGATTTTAGGTTTTCCATGGTTCAGTGGAGAAGTAGCCCTCTTCCCATCAGCAAACACTATTTTTATCCTTAGGAGTCCTGTTGTTATTCTCTGTGCACGTTGGAGGAAGTCAGTTTGAGAGAGAAAACTTCTGTTTCCGGCACTTTCATTTTCTTTTATATCAAATATCTTGTATCTTCTATTCGTTTCAAGGTGTAGATCTGGGACCTGTGCCATCCTCAAATGTGCGGGCAGGGTTTTGTTTTGGTTTGGTTTTTCACCGAGCACCAGCTTCCTCTGTTGCCTGAACAGCTGTGTTTGGTTCTTGGCAGCAAGTGTCTTCTGGAGCTTAGAACTGCCTTGCCAGGAGCATGTGTAGAGTGTCTTGAATGAAAAATAAACCTTGGAAAATTTGTTTCTTGCCATTAAGAAGCATTTGGTAGCTATATATGTTGGGTGCCTAACAAGTACAAGAAATTTCTATATTTTAGTTATAACAGGGGTTCACCTTCATCTACAACATGAGAAGTGATAGTTAGAACAATGGAACTGATGGACAACAGCAGCTTATTTGTGACTTCTAGTCTTTATTCCAAAATGTTTATTAAACTTAACTGTATACAAAATTATGGGTGACAGCATGAATATCAGGCATGGAGGGGAGAAAGTACAGGGATTTGCCTCAAGGACAAATTTGAATAGGACAGTTGGGATTTTATTTGCAAAGAGTTAGGAGCTGCTGAAGGTGTTTAAGCAAACACAGAAGGTGATCAAAATGGTGCCTTAGGGAAATTAATCAGGCAATAATGAATGGGGTGAATTGAGGAGGGAGAAAGAAGGGAAGGAATCAGGAGACAATTATAATAAGATATGACTTGGGGCCACTGGAGAGAATGAGAACAGAGCCTGAGTGAGATGATAGACGTTGTGCTGTGGATCAGTGGTTGGGGCCATGGCTCCTGGGTATCCGGGGGTAAAATCCTCCAGTCCTGCCAATATCCCATAACTTCCAAATCTTTATCTCTAGCCCATTTCTCTCTCTTCAGCACCAGGCCCGTTTACATTCCACTGAAAAATATTATTCAAAATGCCTGAAACAGAACTACTCATCATCACTCCCCAAACTGTTCCTTCACTTCTGTCACCAGATCCTTTTAATTCTTTTTCTTGACTGATAACGTCTCTAAGGTAAGCAGTTAAACACATCTTTCTCTCCTGCAGCTTATGAACTGACTGCAAAACAAGCATGGGTCAGTTGGCAGTGGGGTGCATGTGAATGTTTAGCAGTCGGCTCGCAGAGTTCCAGAACATTTAGCCATGGGTTCTTGTGAGCTGGCAGCAGCTGACTCCAGCACACCACTGTGACCAGAGTCACAAGATCAGCTTTATTACTGGTAAACTGGAGAATGTGGCTTGATGCTTTAGCTTCAACCTTCCAGACATCTATTACTGAATTGAGAAGTTTATGATACAATAATACTATCATGACATACTGGCAATAATAGTCATCTCTAAAGATGTTAGGCTTTGTGAAATGCTTTACCATTTATCCTCACATTCTTCAGAAGGCCCTGGAAGATGTTTAACTTGCCCCCTTACACTCATCTGCTGGAGGAATTCAGAGGAGGGCAGGAAAGGGTGGCAGGAAGGGCATTCACATGAGAGGGAGCCTGTCGGGGGCCAGGAGGGCTGGAAGGATTTGAGCAGATGGGAGAAAAGGAGAGAAGTTAGGTTTGGAGCAGACCTCAGAGACCACCCAGAGCCTGAGTTGGCACTAAGAAGTCATGGGAGCTTCTGAGCAGGACAGTGGCAGGCCCGAGGCAGGGCCACAGAAGGCAGCCCTGCAGTGATGTGTATATCCCGTGGTCCAAAACGGGATTCCTGGAAGGTGCAGAGAGCTGAAGCTGCTACTCCAGCTGGGTCACTATTGCAAATGGCCAGAAGAGAACCGTGGAAGCCTCAGCTGGGACCATTCATTCATTCAATGCATATTGACTGTGTGCCTACTATGTGCCAGGCACTTCTAGGCATTAATAATACAGAGTGAATAAAACAACCCCTGCCTCATGGGATTTACATACTTGTCTGTTACTAGAAGGAAACAGACAATAAATAAAATTATTCAAGAATCTCAAGCAGGCCAGATGGTGATAAATGCTGTAGAGAGAAATAAAGGGGACAGCGTATGCCAGGGTTGGGATGGCAGTCTAAGATTATCCAATTAGGCTTTATTGAGGAGGTGACATTTTAGCAAAGATCTGAAAGAAACTAATGATGGTAGCGATGGAAACAGGCATAAATGTGCCAGACCAAGGAGGCACATCATAAAGAAATCATTGTAAAAGGAGAGAGGATGGGTACATCAAAGTCTCAGAAATCACACCTAAACAACTTATCCATGTAACCAAACACCACTTGTTCCCCAAAAACTACTGGAAAAAAAAAAGACTACCTTAAAAAAAAATTGAGGCCAGGCTCATGCCTATAATCCCAGCATTTTGAGAGGCTGAGGTAGGAGGATCATTTGAGACCAGGAGTTTGAGACCAGCCTGGGCAACAAAACAGGACTCCATCTCTACAAAAATAAAAGTAAAAAAATTAGTTGAGTGTGGTGGTGCACGCCTGTCTTCGCAGCTACTCAGAAGGCTGAAGCAGGAGGATTGCTTGAACCCAGAAGGTTGAGGCTATAATGAGCCATGACTGTGCCATTGCACTCCAGCCTGGGCAACAGAGCCAGATCTGATTTCATAAATAAATAAATAAAGAGAGAGACAGACAGAATCTCACAATTATTTAGACAGTGAATTGGAAAACAATAGTTTTGGGTTATAAAACCAAAACTGTAAAATAGAATTAAACTAAACTTGAAATGTGTTTGACCTTTATGGTTTGAAAAGAGTCAGCTAAATATTTCAGCTATTCTTTACTGGATCTTATGGAGGACATTTTATGCTATAGTAGTATTTGTAGTGTTTATAACACTAGGGGATTGAGATGGTCTTATCAGAGTGAAATGAATAGCAAGTAGAGACTGATCATAACAATACGCTTCAGATTCCCCAGTTACTCCCAGTGCCTTACTAATGTACCTTTTTCCCTCGTGCTATAAACATTTATCCTTGGCCCAGGCACAGTGGCTCACACCTGTAATCCCAGCACTTTGGGAGGCCGAGGCAGGAGGATCAACTGAGGTCAGGAGTTTGAGACCAGCCTGACCTACATGGTGAAACCCTGTCTCTACTAAAAATACAAAAATTAGCTGAGCATAGTGGCACACACCTGTAATCTCAGCTACTCAGGAGGCTGAGGCAGGAGAATCACTTGAACCTGGGAGGCAGACCTTGCACTGAGCCGAGATCACACTGCTGTACTCCAGCCTGAGCAACAGAGCAAGACTCCATCTCAAAGAAAAAAAAGCAAAACAGCAACAACCAAAAACACATTTATCTTCAAGGTCACAGATCTCCCTCTGTAGTGGATGCTGTGGTGAGCTGCCCAGAGACCCCTTCAGGATGGAGTCACCATTCCTTTTGCTACTGACAATGGCAGAGCTGATGGCTCACTGACAAAGAGAGACACTTGCCTAAGGACAGACCCCTCCACTTATTGGTCAATGATCGGGGGAAGGTTACAAAGGTCAGGTCATCTCATTTCAAGGGGTGACAACTCTGAAGGGCCAGCCTAACTCTAGAGCATCCTATTAGATTGGCTGAGATCTGTACTACAATCAAATAGTGGTTCAACTCTTTCTCTGCCCAATCTCCTCCTTCATGCTCCCATAGATGATGATCCCAAGGGCATCCCCAATAGACTTCTGCACACAAATTCCCATCTCAGGGCTGGCTTCCTGGGAACTCACCTTAATAACACATTGTTGATACTTACCCTGTTTCAATTACCTTCTGCCCCTGACCACCTTCCTTTATGTAGACAAGTATGGCTCGTCTTCCCATTTAGAGTGTAACCTTCTTTGTATGTCTTAGAGGGCTTAGCACATGTCTTTGTACATAGATGACAGCCCAAAGTATAGGCTGTGAACACCATTCCTCTTCCATCCAGAGAGACCAGTGAGAATTCTGTCAGTGACACACCCCTAATGCATAGAAGGGGAGAGCTCAGGCCCACAAGTGTTTGTGCCAAACCATTTATCTAAAGCTGGTTTTGCTGGGGATGCAGCCAAAACCCTCTCTTATTCTTTGCCAGGAAGTGAAAGTCTTTCATCACCACCTGGGAGGAAAAAGGGGTTCAACGGCCCAGCAGAAACAATGTCACATCGTGAATTTGGTACCAAACTCAGCTCTCAATGCAACGAATTTGAGATTTATTTTAAACGTGTGTTTCTCAGAGAGAATAATTTGATGGGGGTAGGGGGAAGTAGGGACTCACTTTCAACATAGTAATCTTTTTTTATAAAGCTCTGTGAGTAATTGTTTACTTTTTAAAAATAACAAAATCTCATATTCAATATTTTTAAATTGTGGAGGTAATAGTTTATAATTAGGTGCTAAATGGTGTGATTATATTTAACTGAAATGTTTTAACTTGGTGAAAAAGGGCCTAGCTCCTTTCCAAAGCTTCTGAGAGAGCAGATTACTTATTCTCAGCGGAAGTAAACCTATGTACTACTAGTAAATCTCAGCTCTATTAGAAAGGGCAGAAGAGTGTCCAACAGAAAGAACTTCTACTGGAGGAAGAGGTTTGCCTTAGATAACTTAGGAGGAGGGCACAGGGAGAGAAGGGGAAGAGTGCCAGGAAAATCCAAGAGGAGGCTGGCAGCTCTTAGAGGAAAACTAGGTAAATTCCACACATTGGAGTCTCCCAGATCACCAGGGTGTCTTAGTCACTTCAGGATGCTGTAACAAAATTACCAGAGAAGTTTATTTCTCTCCATTCTAGAGTCTGGGAAATCCAACATCAAGGTGCCAGCTGAAAAGTTTCCTGGTGAGGGCACTAGCTCTGGTTTGCAGATGGCCACCTTCTTGCTGTATCCTCACATGGTGGGGAACGAGATCATCTCTCTCGTGTTTCCTCCTTTAAGGGCACTAATCCCGTTCAGGAGGGCTCCACACTCATGTCCTAATTACTCCCAAAGGTATAACTCCAAATACACCTAATCTCAAATGGGGGATTAAGGCAAAAACATGTGAATTTGTGGATGAAACAAACATTCAGCCCAGAGCAATGGATACAAAGCAAAAACAAACAAACAAAAACCCAGTTTGCCTGTTACATGAATACATTGTTACATAAATATTTGTTCTCTGTGTAGAACTTTGGTTCACAACCCTGGCTACACAATAAACTACCTGAGTTTTTAAAATATCAGTGAACAGGCTCCATTGCACACTAATAGAATCTGAATCCCAAAGGGTGGGGGTGGGGGTGAGTATTCATGTTTTTTACAAACTCCATAGTTATCCTCCTGTGCCACCGACCTTGAAAAACCACTGGTTTAGAATATTTGTTGAGCACGGCTGAGATGGATAACTCCAGTTGTCCTCCTTCATGTAAAGCTAAAAAGATAGAGAGGCATAGACTCCTTCCCTACTCTCTATTGATATTTGGGTTTGTTAAATTAAACAACTACTTTTAATTGGTGAGGCATTTTCCTTTATAGTCTGGACAACTCAAACTTGCACCACCAAGCCCTTGCCAGATGGCAGAAAGCAGGGCATTGGAAGGTATTTCCTCCCTGTTGAGTACCAGCTCCACTTCACCAGCCAACCCATGAGACAGTGTTCTACAATGCCACAAAGACAAATAGCCACATGCGTCTCCCATGTACCCGGATACCACCTTGAAGGGAAGGGACAGAACTTTGAAAGATATTACATTTCCTGAAGTTATCAAAGCAGAGAAAACTGAATTATCTGATGGGACAGTTAAAACTATTGGATTGGACTGAAATGGCAAGATGGAACTAAGCTTTAGTTCTTTTCCCACATCCCAGCAAGAAGAAAGTAAATCAGCTCTTCTATAGACAAAATAACAAAGCTCACATTTTCTCTGTATACATAAGGAAAGGTGAGGGATTTTGGACCCTGAAACATGAGTTTATGAATATACACATGCATACATCCATTTGCATGTGCATATGTGGATATGCACATTCACGCACTGTAGACCAAGGCAGAGAAAACTAGGACTTAAGAGTGCAGCCAACAGTGGGCTGCACCTGGCGTGTTCTGGGATTCTGGTGGCAGAGAAGGAATACCGGCTTCTTGGGAGCAAATCCTGACATACAAGTGTGGGAAATGCGGCAAAATGAAACTTGTTGAGCGCTGTTGACAAGACAATTTTTCTGGGAACTAGTGCAGTCATTCAGTGAGCCGGCCAGACAGAGCAGAGTTCATTTCAGATGTTTCTATTGTCCCAGACATGGGAGTTCTACTTGTCACCATTTGGTGTCAGTATTTTCTATCCTAAAAGTCCTCTGGGTTATAAAGCAAAGGCCCTGTTGGAGAAAGTCTGGAGTATTTTACTGTGAATAACTAACTTTATTTCAGAAAATTTTAATATTCCTTTTAGCCTTCACTGCTTTGTTTTCTGCTTTGTAATTGTTTTTCTTTGTGCAGAAAAAAGGCAGCATTCTCTTTATCTGCAAAGGCAAACATCAGAATTACACCATTCATTCATTTGACCAACAAATCTTGAGGACCAGCATCTTGTAACACAAGTCCCTCCACCTACAGAGCTTTTCGGATTCTAGAGGGCAACATGCTCAGGGCAGAGGCAGGTGTTGGAGGCAGCAGTTCTGTAGAAAGAAAAGCTAGCCCTGGCTTTGAGCCTGGTTTTGCCACTTAGCAGCTATGTGGCTGTGGGCAATAAACTTAACCTCTCTGAGCTGCAGTCTCTTCATACATAAAACATACATAATAAACACTTTTCTTCCAATTTTATCATGAAAATTAAAGAAGTTGAGGGATGCCTAGGCAGAGCACAGGGGATGTTTAGGGCAGTGAAGCTACTCTGTATGACACTTATAATGGTCATTATACGTTTACCCAAACCCAAAAGCGAACCCTCCTGTGTAAACTACAGAATTTGGGTGGCAATGATGTATCAGCGTAGGCTCACCGATTCTAACAAATGTACCACTCTGGTGGGGGACGCTGGGAATGGGGGAGGCTATGCATTTGTAAGGGCACAAGGTGTGTGAGATATCTCTTTACCTTCTGCTCAATTTTGCTGTGAACCTAAAACTGCTCTAAAAAATAAGTCTGTTTTTAAAAATTGAATGTGTTACAATGGTATGTTTGTTGCAGAACTATTCACAACAGGAAAGATATGAAATCAACCTAAGTGTTCATCAATGGATGATTGGTTAAAGAAAATGTGATATATATGAAATATACAATGGAGTACTACTCAGCCACGAAAAAAAGAATGAAATTATGTCTCTTGCAGCAACATGGATGGAACTGGAAGCCACTATCTTAAGTGAATAACTCAGACACAGAAAGTCAGATACTGCATGTTCTCACTTACAAGTGGGAGCTAAATCTTGTGTACACATGGACCTAAAGAGTGGAATAATAGACATTGGATACTTGGAAGGGTGTGGGACAGAGGGGGAGATATTATAAAATTACTGAATGAGTACAATATATACTATTCAGGTAATGGCTACACTAAAAGCCTGGACTTTTTATAACTATTATATCCATGTAACAAAACAACACTTACACCCCCTAAATCTATAGGAAAATTTAAATATTAAAAATGGAAAATGTTACTTGCATTCATAGGTACATATTAAATAGCTGTTTAATGTGTAGATAGAGGCTGCTCTGGTTGTGTAGTCTTCCAGCTCTGGACTGTGCCAATAGCATGGGGTTTGGAGTCAAATCCAAGTTCTATCATTTACACTTGATGGCATTTTGATGACAGATAATTTGCTTAAATCCTCTATATGTGCATTTAAATTTGTATAGCTATTGCCAATCTGCAAATTGCTCTCCATTGACAATGTACCAGTTTACACTCAGATTACACACCGGAGAGGTGATGGGCCCGTTGTCTCACGCTCATCACACATGGTGTACTCTCAAACTTTGGGTTGCTTGCAAATATGAAATGTAGAAGAAGCTATCCCAGTGGAGTTTTCATTTGCTTTTTCTTCAATATGAGTGAGGTTGTGCATCTTTTCATCTATTTAAGGGCTACGAGTATTTCTATAAACCATCCTTTCTATCTTTTGCTTATGTTTTATTGGGTGTGTGTGTTTCCTTATTTATTTGTGTGATTTGCTTATATATGACAAAATTAGTCTTCTTCCTGAGTATAGGTTTCAAATACTTCCCCCGATTTGTTTTCTGACTTCTGACTTGGTTAATGGTGGTGACTTTTAAACATGCAGATCTTTTAAATGTAGTCAAATATATCAATCTTATTCTTTATGGCTTCTCTGTTTGTGTCATACTTAGCCCTTTCCCACTCAGAGATTCTAAACCCTAAGCAGCAGCGGGTGGGATGGGGTGGAGTGGGATGGTGAGGGATGGGAATGATGTTCTCTTCTAGGTTTTTTAGGGATTTATTTTCACATTTAAATCTTTAATCCACTGGAATTTATTTTTGTGTAACAAGTGAGGTATTGGATCCAAGTTTCTCTTCCCCCAAGTAGCTTCCTACTTGTCCTAGATTCTTTTATTAAATAATCCATATTTTCTCCACTTATTTAAAACCTAGTTAACTTTTGAAAGAATACACGAAGGTCCATGACTTCTAAATTTGGCAGCAGGAGGAGGTCTAAGCTGCAGAATGTTAGATGAGGCTCTTAGCTCTTTCTGAATTGTATCTGTTGTTATTTGGAAAAAGAAGAAATAAAAGTGCATTGATCTGAAAATTTAATTCAACAAATAGCTGTGTGGGAGAGTGGAAACAACACAGGCTCTTAAGTTAGAAAACCTGACTTCACTTCTCATATTGACTAATTGTGGGGAAGTCATGCAACTGCTGTGTGCCTCAGCTTTCGCCTCTGTAAAAATGGACCTAATAATGGCATCTATGCCATAATATGCTGTGCAGTTAAAGTGCATTGGTGCTTTATAAACTGTACAGGACTACAGGCACATGAGCTGTTATCTGAATTTTTACAAGGTGGTACAGCATTGCCAGTTAACTTATACAACACAATTCTATATTTGTGAATGTTTCACCATTCTTGAAATCCTTTCAGCTTCTTTGAAGATGATTAGCTTCTTTCTCCTTGCTGGGGAGTATTCTGGGTTTGCTATTTTTAGTTTGCTTAAATGTGTTTTCTGACAGCTTCTGAGTGGCAGTGGGGGGTTGGTAGGAAAGGAAGAGGTGACCGGGAAGTTAGAATCATCCACTGGGTTTCGAGGGAGAGGGAGCTGAGGCCGCACCTGGAAGAATGATCTGGAAGGAGGTAGAAAATAGGAAACCATAGGGAGAGTGAATTAGCTTATTTAGAATCTTGTATATATAATGATTATCTAGTTAAACTTTTGTTTTATAATTTATAGCAAAGTTTTGTGGACAGTACAGAAGAATGGTGAGAGTCAGTTAATGCAGTGATCGAATCACAATCCCTCTTCTTATTAATAGTTATTTAACCTCTCCAAAGCCTTTTTCTCATCTGTGCCCAAGGGATTATAAAGATTGAATGAGACAACATTCATTTCTCATGCTTATGTGACTCTAGATAGGAGGTTGGAGTGGGCAATTGAGAACAAAGTGTAAATTCATGATGGTGACTTGTGTTTGCCCTTGGGAGATGCAGTAGAAATTGTCTGCAATCGAGAGGTGCAACTGGAATCTGGACACTCACTCTTCCCCATCCCATAGACAAATGCTCTACCTCACTTCAAAGGCAACAGAAGCCTAGGAGGAAGAAGATGCCTCTAATACCCTGTCAAGTTTGCAAGAAAGGACATGGGATGATGACTCCATTATCACAGGGGAAGGAAAAATGTCCAGGTGACAAGGGGTGGGGACAATGAGTGGGGGCTTAAGGGGGAGGGGGCATCCATGGGACCAGCAGAAGGATTGGGAGAAAGTGAAAACAGATA
This sequence comes from Homo sapiens, assembly GCF_000001405.40. Lineage (NCBI taxonomy): Eukaryota > Metazoa > Chordata > Mammalia > Primates > Hominidae > Homo > Homo sapiens. The sequence continues at coordinate 96,289,834 of NC_000010.11, read as the reverse complement.
TGGGTCACTAATTGAAGAAAAATGTGACTGTGATTTAATTTGTTGGAACCAGAAAAACCTGCTCTTCAGAGTTCTCTTCTGCAAGCCTGGCCTTATCAATACATCAATCTGGTCATCCATCCATCACATGGTGGCTGCTGTCAATCATGGTTCCCTGCGCTGGAGCCCTCCACACGCAGTATTACAAATGCTCCCAGCCCTGAGGGAAAGGTGGCTCTAAAATTCCTTTTCTGTCGAGCACATTTTGCGTATGCTTATTAAGTTTTAAAAATTTGGAAACAAGTTACCCAAAACATCCCACTCATCAGTTGGTCCTGGTGCTGTAACGAATTACAACAATATTTTCTCTCTGTCAATGATGGTAAGTGAATTCTCAAGAAGTATACTGGAAACCAGCACAGGATACTTTGGCCTTTTTGATGGGGGTCACGTGATTTAATTTTCATGGTGAATTTTGGTTAATTCTATACTAGTCTAGAGAATTGTACGTGTGTCCGTGTGTGTGTGCTCTCATGAATAAAAACCCACCCACAGAGCCCGCTCCATGGACCTGGACCTGTGCAGTCACAGAGGGCCCTACATTCAGAAGACTCTCACCTTGTCTCACAATTTGAAGAAGGGGACTCACATCTTCATTTTGCACTGGATCTCACAACATACATAGCCAGTCCTGCTCTCCATGAAATATTGGACTTTGTTCAAAAACACAAGCAAGTTTTTATGTTTTAATTTAATTTAATTAATTAATTTATTTAGAGATGAAGTTTCGCTGTGGAGTGCAGTGGCCTGATCTCGGCTCACTGCAACCTCTGCCTCCTGGGTTCAAGTGATTCTCCTGCCTCAGCCTCCCGAGTAGCTGGGATTACAGGCGCCTGCCACCAGGCCCGGCTTATTTTTTGTATTTTTAGTAAAGATGTGGTTTCATCATGTTGGCCAGGCTGGTCTCGAACTCCCAACCTCAGGTGATCCACCCACCTCGGCCTCCCAAAGTGCTGGGATTACAGGCGTGAGCCACCATGCCTGGCCACAAGCAAGTTTTAAAAAATTTGATAGTTATCAGTATTATTAAAATACCTACCATTCAGGGATATAGAAAAATCATATACCAATGCATACAGGGAAAAATGCTTCATCATGCCAGTATACACAAACATCATGAATCTTGAAAGAACAGCAGTAAAGAAATGGTTTTGTTTTGAAAGGATAAAAAAAACTATAGTTAATTTTTTTTGTTTGGGAGTATTAATTCTCACTATATCATATCCTGCTGTTAGAGGAAGTGAGAGAGAAACGAAAAGACTGAGAACAGAAGATCAGTCAAGGGTATAGAAAAGAAACAGAGAGGAATCAAGGAGTGGGAGATTGAAATGAATCAAGCACTAAGCCCTGTCGTCTTCTTTTGATGCAAAAAAGCAATTTGCATGGTCACTCCTTCTGATGGGGTCACCCTGATACTGATTTATCGGGGACACAGTTTATGTACTATCTTCACAGCATGCTTTTAAAATTTTTGTTCATCTGGGCTTGCTTTGAAAGAGACTAGAAACCTCATCGTGGAGATCTCTTTGGGTCGCTGGACTCAAAGTAAAACCAAGCTGTGCAGGAGGTTTTGATCTTTGAACTTTCCCTATGGTTGCAGGCTTGCCTTAATCTGTAATAATAAAGTTTTAAAAATAAGTTAACCTCTTTTCTTATATGGTGCAAATATATCTTTCTCCACTAAAGTTTCAGTGTTGCTTTTCTTTTGTGGCCCCTGCCATTTCTTTCACCTTTTCTTTTAAACAGATACATGTTCACTAAAAAAAAACGACTCTGTTGCTTTAAGAAGAAAAAAGTTACACTCGGTCAGTCTGAAAATGCAACACCTGGCGCCCATATTTAGAAATGTTAAAACACACACACATACATACACACACACATTAGCCTTTGGCACTGAACTGTGCAAAACATTACAGGAAGCTCATTGCTTAAGGGCAGTTGAGTTTAATCATTTATTTGTAAGTCAGTTGTTTGGTACTTAAAAGCACTTTTTCCCATAGAAGCAAAGCTATAAATGGTGTTTTGGTCCCCAGGCTCAAAAGACTGTTGGAGAAACGTCTGCCCTGGAGATGAAAATAGAAAATGATTCTGTGCTGATACAGTAATTGAGCCAAAAAGAAAAGCTAACAAAGCAAGGAATGGTTGGCCTTGAATGCTTATACTGGAAGAGGAATGGATTTCACCTGATGTTGTGGTGGAGGCAGCTGGGGATTTCCAAGGTGCCTGTGGGTCCTTCCAATGGCCCAGGCTCTTTGCGTGTTCAGTTTAAAGCCTGGGCATGTTCTTCATCCTCCACACCAGTCTGCATTCAGCAGTGCTTTTGTGTCGCTCCCATGTTTGGGTTCTATTTTGGCTCAGAATGGTAAAGAGAGTGAGAGAGGAAGGGAAATCTTTCTAGGGTGTCTAGGGTGTTGGAAAAAGGGTGGAGTAAAGGAACCCAGGTGACCTTGTGGTACCTTAGCTCTCTGTGTTCCTTTGGAATGGAACATCTTCTCTGTGCTCCTCTAGCCACACAGGAAACCTATTTGGATGTAAAGGTCCAGCTCACGTATGTCCTCTTCTCTGGGAGTCTGTCCCTAATTTTCTGAACTTCCCCAGTGCAGCTTTTCCATATGTCTGTGAAAGCACACTTTACATCATTTGGTTATTATTTATTTGTATATGTCTCCTCCATTTGACTAGGAACCCCTCAAAAGGAAGAAATAAATTCATTTTTTAAAAAATCTCAGGAACCTACACAACCTATAAATGCATGCTCCATTCATCTAAGTTGGAGCCAAGCTGTGAGCATTAAAAAAAAACAGGCCTGAGGGAGAAGACAGCGGGGACATCATCCCACCAAAAAGAGAGGTTGGGGGTTATGGGGAAGAGATCTGCACCAGAACCTGCCCATCTCACCCCATTTACCAGAGCTTCATTGGTCCAGAACCACATGCCTCTTATCAATGAGGAATGAAAGAAGGAGCCCTTGAGACCATGTGTAAGCTACTGCTTGACAACTATGGTGGATATACTTTGACGTTTCCCCAGCAGCCATTTTTCCCTTCTTCCAGTGACATCTCCTGATAGTCATGGAGTGATCACCCTATATATATAGGCTTGGGTGTGTACTAACCTAGCTCTAGGATGGAGGATAGGGTATTACTTTCCCTCTGGCTTTGGTGTTTGGCTCAGAGATGGAAAGACAGACAAAATATCCAATCAGGGTGAATCTCATTACTTTTGAGGGTGCCATCTTTATCCTGCTGTACTTGAACCTGAGGGGCTGTGAGTCCGGGGCAGCTGGAATGGTGGTGGTGAATATTTAACAACTGGCTCTCGAAAAACAACTCTGATTTGTAGCATTTGCCAATTCGTGTGGTGGAAACACTTCCGTCATGCTGATTTCAAGCTCTAACATAATGTTGCTGACCATCATAGTATTTCCATTGTAGACGTAAGTACAATAGATGAAACTCACCTCAAGAGCATAGAAAATATAAAATGTAAAATAGGAAGACATGAATTTTGAGTATTTATAACATTTTAAAAATATAATTTATTGAATTATAATCTTATATAATTTATTTTTTTCAAATAATGGCTGTGTTAACAATAGATTCACAAACTTTCTGAAAATTTAACAATTTTCTCTGAATAGTTGATATGAGCTAGATCCAGCAGCACACTGAGCCAGAGCCAGCTGGCCACCTTTAAGGAATAAATTAGCTACGACTCACACAGAGTGAAAAAAAATGGTCCTAGCCATAGTGTTTGGTTCCTAAACTCTGCAGCCTGCTCAGATGCAGCACATTTGGATATACCAACAATTTCCTTTTTTTAAATCCAGCCTGAGTTGGGCTGTTACTTGCAGTTAAAAGAGTCCTAAATGAAACACAAATATTTTTTATATGTTTGACATTTGTAAGTAAAACTACCATCTTACAGTATATAGCAGGTTTGATGCAGGACAGGCAAGCCCTCAAATTGGGGCTTAGCCTGGGAGCCTTCTTGGCGTCACCTAGGAAAGAATTCAAGGGTGAGCCAGTGGTGTTAAACTGCAACTTTTATTGAAGCAGCGGTGTACAGCAGCAGCAGAGGTTCTACGCCATAGGCAGTGTGCCCAGAGCATCAGCTCAGAGATAGTGCAGCATTCATATTTATGCCCACTTTTAGGCGTGGTTTATGCAGAAATTTCTAGGATGAGGATGGTAACTTCCAGGTTGTCGGGTCATTGCCATGGAAAGGGGCAGTAACCTTTGAGTGTTGCCATGGCAACTGTAAACTGACACAGCACACTGTTGGGCGTGCCTTAGCGGGAGGTGCTTCTGCCACGCACCTGTTTTAGCTAGTCCCTCAATTTGGTCTGGTGTCAGAGCACCGCCTCCAGAGTCCAGTCCCACTTCCTACCCCAGGTTGAATGATAGTCCTCCAAAAGATAAGTCTACTGCCTAACACTTAGAACCTGTGAATGTGACATTTTTTGGAAAGCGAGTATTTGCAGATTTGATTATATTAAGGATGCCAATTTGAGATTATCCTGGATTAAGTGGGTGGGCCCTAAATTCAGTAACAAGTGTCCTGATAAGCAACACAGAGGAGAGACTTGGAGAGAAGTGAGAAGACCATGTGAAGACAGAGGCAGGGATTTGAGGTATACAGCCACAAGCCAAGGAGTGGCTGGAGCCACAAGGAGCTGGAAGAGACAAAGAAGGATTCTTCTCCAGAGCCTTTGGAGGAAGCATGGCCCTACTGACACCTTGATTTCAGACTTCTGGTCTCCAGAACTGTGAGACAATAAATTTCTGTTTTTTTAAGTCACCATATCTGTGGTCATTTGTTATGGCAGCTGTAAGGAACTTATACAAAGCAGTTATATTTTACCTGTACACAAAGTATGTTTCCAATTTTTACTGTAATTTAAAAATAAATCCAAAGATCTTAAGATTTTAAGATTCTTTAAATTTAGGAACATTTTTTAAGTGGATATGATAATCACCCAGAGAGAATCACACTTAGACTTAATGTATCAGTGTGTTTTCCTTTGTGTTTGTGTGCGAGATTATAAAACCTGAATCAAACTATATGGACAGTTTCAGGCCCTGCCCTTTTTTTTTTTTTTTTTTTTGGTCCATTGTAAAGATTTTCCTATATGGTTATAGATTATTTGAAAACACTGTTTTTAATGGCTGCAGAGCATTCCACTTACGGCTATATCATAATTTATGAAGTTATTATATTATTGTTGAATGTTTACATCGTTTCTAATTCTATACTGGTATAAATAATTCTACACTTAGGAAAAATTAATAAAATTTTATATTTTTCTTTTAAGCATATGAACATTTTAAGAATCCTGATACCTAGAACCAAACTGCCTTCTAGGAAGTTTCTATCAATTTGTTGTCCTGTCAGTGGCAAGAGCACCCATTTAACAATGCCTTTGCCAAACCTGAATTTTATAACTTTTTAAAAGCTTACTTTGGTAGGTTAAAAAATCAGTGGTATTTTATACTTGGTTTAATTTGTGTTTCTTTGGTTTAGTGGGATTGTGAGCTAGTTTATATTTTTATCAGCCATCTGGATCTCTTCTCTTGTGAATTAACCTTTTGTGTTCTTTGCTCATTTTTCTATTGGAATATTAGCCAGTTACTTATTGATTTGAAAGACAGTAATGTTATAGAATATCTAAAAAGATTTCTTCATAAAAAGTGGCTTTCTATAAATATTTGTTACACTTTATATACCGGGTCTTCTCATTTGTAAAAAAGCAGAACGTTGAAATCACACAGATTGGCAGTCGTGGTCTGGAAGGATGGTAGTGACGCATTCAATTCCCTCGCTCCAGCTCCACATACATTCTTTGATATTTCCAGTCTGTCCAGTCTTTGGTTTGCCATTTCTTAAGAAGGAATTTGAATTATTCCACTCAGATAATCTCAGGTTGGAGATCTGAGAATTTCCTTACGCCATTTCATCCTAGAGGCCCAAATTATTTGGCTAAATAATTAATAGAAAACATGTACAAAATTTTTTTTCATGAGAAATTTGCTTCCTTGTACTGATTCAACATATCTTGACCACAGACATTGTTGTTTTTACACATACACACACAAAAAACATTATACATGGGTCAGGAGTAAGGAGATCTTAGTTCTTTCTGCTCCTGTTTTTTTCTGGCTTGGGGTTTTTCTCTAAAATGGACTTTTGCAAGTCAGTTCACTCTCTGGGCCTTGGTTTTCTCCTCGTGGATTTCCCAGATGAAGGACAGGACATTATGCAATATTTGGGATGTGCTTTTACTGAAAAAGCATTGTTTATCTAAAGTGTAACTAGGCATCCTGTATTCTTATTTGCTAAATCTGGCAGCTTTCTCTTGAAGGCCTATTCCAGATCTGTCAAATTATGACTGAATGCTGAGCATAATGTAGTCCAATATCACAGCACTTTGAAGCCGAGGGAATCTGGGTCCCATACTGCAGGGGATACCATCGTCCAATGGAGACTGTTCCAGGGATGATAGTAAAGGAAATGCTGATGAAGCCTGGAGAGTCCAGGGATCCGTTTGGAAAGTTAGGGGACTAGAAGTAGAGTTTGGAGGTAGGTAAGACGTGCAAGTGGAGTCAGAAAGACAATATGAAAGAGACCGTAGTACTGGCGTTAATGACAGATGGTGAGTTCTAGGAGATGGAAGTTTGATTCCTTACTCTTCTCTTTGGACAGTCTGACAAATACATTTCTGCTGGACTGTCCGCTCTGAGTACTTAGCAGTGACTTCCTGAACACGTTTTGAAAAGGACTCTTAGTTTATGACCAGGCTCAGTTGAAAGAAATACTGTGATTGGAAAGCAGGGCTTCCATGGCCATGTAGTTCCCCATTCGGCATAGGTAAACTATTAGAATTTCAATGATTTTCAACATCAATTCAGTTCCTGAGTTTGAAAAGTAGTTGCATCTCACAAGTATTTTTTTGTTGATGTCTTTTAATAACTTCCACATTTAATTCAGAACATATTTATTCTATACAAAGAATGGTCTAGTTTTGTGCTTGCCACAGAGAAAGACCAAAGAAATAGAATATAGTCGTTTCGCGGGGATGTTTATAATTTTATCATGGTAACAGGATATATACTTATGAAAAATAAGTCAAAACTATGCTCAAAAGACAGGGAGATAGAGGAGATCAGAGTAGAGGCCCAAGTGGACTAGAAGGAAATAGGAATAGCTTCCAAAAGAAAGTGGGCCTTGATGGTGAGTGAGATTTGGACAGGCCACGAGAAATAAGAAAATGGTCAAGATTGGCACAATATTTGGGAGATGAGATGACTATGACAGGAGGGCCCCAGCCAGGATTCTTCCTTGATGGAAAGAGCACTGATGAGGAGGCCTGGGGCACCAGGCAGTTCCAATATCCCAGATGGCTCTCTGGAAAGGGTTGAAGGTTAGAGACATTTCAAGTCCTGCCATTTTTAAAACTCTTACATGAAAATTTCAAATATGTAGCAAAGTTGAAAGACTGGTACAATGAATACCCATACACTCATCACCCAACTTTGATCATTGCTAACATTTTTTTGAACCATTTGAAAATTAGTTGTAGACATCATGACACTTAAACCTTACATTCATCAGTGTGCACCTCCCAAAAGTATCCGAATAAGGATCTTCCTCTACATTACCATGGTACCATTACCATACCTAAGAACATTAACAATTCCCTAATACCATCTAGCATTCTTGGTCTTCTAACATTAAGAAGACCAAGTGGTAGTCTTGTAGAATTTCTACATCTGGATTTTTAAATTATTATAACTGTTTTCTCTTAATGCTGTTCAACGTGTTCCTGTATCCCCTTTATTTCCTATAAACCTAGCAGGATCTCACATTCCAGTTTGCCTAGGAATGTCCTCTCTGTTTACACCTGCAGTCCTGCTATAATTGTTGGTTGAGTCTTCTTTCACTCCCAGAGATGCCCTACTTTGGATGATTCATTATATGTTCATTCTGTATAAGCTGGAAGCTAGATTTAAAAGTTGATTAAATTGAGATATTTCATAGGTGAGATGTACTTCATTTTGCATCAGGAAGCAATATGGATAATGCTGAATTTGATTACGTGAGTACCAGTCAGCTGTCAACTCTGTAAAGGTCAGCTTTGCAATCAGCCAGCAGCCTCGGGCATGGGACTTTGATACCTTGTGATGTCATAAGGATATGATGCTCCCCAACAACATTTTACCTACTGGTTTTAGCATTAATTGATGATCCTTGCCTAAATAAATTCTTCATTTGGGGTTGCAAAATGGTAGTTTTCTAATTCTATCATTCATTCTACATTTATTAGCTAGCATTCTGTGAAAATTGAGGATTTTTAATTTCTCCTAAAAACATCAGGAAAATTGCTTTATTATTCTTTAATTTCCAGCTGATTTAATTTTTTACATTTTCAATTAAAAAGCTGACGGAATAGTTACCTTCAGTGTTGGCAAATGACTTTGTTTTTTGGTTATGTTTTTATGGACTGGTGGATTTTTATTTTTTCCATGTTTTAAAATAAATTACAGTCATTTTTTATAAATGCTCAAATTGTCCCAAAATTGTCTACTGGACCCTCTTTCAAGGATCTGCTCCTATGTGCCTCTTTCAAAGATCTGCACCACATTAGCTGGGCATGGTGGTGCGTGCCTGTGGTCCCAGCTACTCAGGTGCTGAGGTGGGAGGATTGCTTGAGCCCAGGAGATTGAGACTGAGGCTGCAGTGAGTCATGATGGCGCCACTGCACTCCAGCCAGAGTGACAAGTGAGAACTTGTCTTAAAAAAAAATCCAGGGAATCTATCTAATTCCTATCACTTCTCCACTATTTCCAACTCCTTTTCCCTCCCATGGGTGACTACTTTTATGGCACAAGGTAGTCCAGGTTCTCCTTCTATTTTCCCTGAAATCAACCCTTTCTTCAATGAGAACCTGGTTCCTTTTAGTGGAGAATCCTTTTCTTACTATATTTGTAATTGAACATATTTGATGTATGTAAAATTTGGACCGTCATTACTTCTATGACTTTTCAGTGTCTAGTGCTAGAAAAATCATAAGTTCAGATTGATATTTTCCATTAAATTTGAAATTACCACATTTTTTCTTTGATTTTATATTTTTACTTTTTTCTCCTATACCAAAAATCTTCATTCCTACTAATTTTTCATACCATATACAAAATTTCACTTCAAACAGCAAAACCCATAGTTTTACTACTAAAAATAAAAATACTGAGTAAAGTTCAAGATTTCTTTGCAGTTATTTTTATTCTTAGAATAAGTTTCACAGAGAATGCTCAGAGGACTGTGTTCAAGAGTCACTTGAAATAATTCTCTCCTCTGTGATATGTTACCATCTAAATTCATTTTTGTCTTTAAGATTTGCCTTTTTTTCTTTGCCTTAATTTTTTTTTTTTTGTTTATGTCAAACGGTTACCTAGTTTAAAAGACAAAACTTAATAAAAAGATAGATCCAGGCAGGGCACGGTGGCTCATGCCTGTAATCACACCTTTGGGAGGCCAAGGCGGGCAGATCACTTGAGCCCAGGAATTTGAGACCAGCCTGGGCAGTGTGGTGAGACCCAATCTCTACAAAAATCACAAACTAGTAGCTGGGCATGGTGGTGTCTGCCTGTGGTCCCAGCTACTCGGGCACTGAGGTAGGAAGATCACTTGAACCCAGGAGGTTGAGGCTGCTGTGAGCCTGATGCACTCCAGCCAGAGTGACAAATGAGACTCTGTCTCAAAAAAAAAAAAAAAAAGATAGATCCAGAGAATCTATCTAATCCCTATCACGTCCCCACTATTTCCAGCTCCCTTCTGCCTCCCATGAGTGACTACTTTCATTAGCTTCTGATTTACCCTTCCGGTGTTTATTGTTGCAATAACAAGTGCCTGTGTATGTGTGTGTGTGAATACACAAAATGTATTCAACCAGTCTCCCATTGCTAGACATTTAGGTGTTTCTGATCTTTTGCTATTGCCAATAAAACTGCAATAAATGTGTGCAGATGTTGCATATGTAGGTGTATCTTCAGGATAGGTTCCTAGAATTGAGGTTGCTTGGGTCATAAGGTAAATTCAAGTAATTTTATTAGGTATTGCTGATGTAGGACAGACAAGCCCAAAATCGGGGCTTAGCTCCAGAGGGTCCTTGGCTTTGTCCAGGAAAGAATTCAAGGGCCAGCAATAGTGTTAAACAGCAACTTGTATTGAAGCGGCAGCCTACAGCAGCAGCAGAAGCACTGCTCCTTGCAGAGCAGGACTACTTATAGACGGTGTGCACAGAGTAGCGGCTGAGAGGCAGAGCTACACTCATATTTATATCCACTTTTAATTAGATGCAAATTAAGGGGTAGTTTAATGCAGAAATTTCTAGGAAAAGGGTGGTAACTTCCAGGTTGTCAGGTCATTGCCAGAGAAAAGGGTGGTAACTTCTGGGTGTTGCCATGGCAATGGTAAACTGACATGGGAGGTGCTTCCAGCCTGACTTGTTTTATACAGTCCTCAATTTGGTCTGGTGTCCAAGCCCCACCTCCTACCTCATTGCCAAATCCCCTCCTAGGGGAGTACAACATTTTGCAAGCAAAGGGTGTCTTTTCCTCACAGCCTTAACAACAGCATCATCAGACTTTTAGATTTTTGCTTATCTGAAATATTTCTTCAGCATGATTATAATAATCTTTCTCTTAATAGGAGTGTGGTTAAGCATACTTTTCATCCATTTAAAGGCCTCCTGCCTTTCATGTTCATGGTTTTGCCCACTTTTTGTCTAGTTGGTTTTTTTTTTTTTTTATCTCAAAGTTTAGGATCTCTACCTATTAAGGAGATATTAGCCTTTGGTTCTGTGATATATGATGCAACTCTTGACTCCCAATTTATCTTTTATCTTTTGATACTGCTTATGGTGTTTTTTGCTATGAAAAAATTTTTATGTTTCTCAGGTTAAATTTATTAAGATTTTCTTTTATTAGTTCTAGATTTTAAATCATAGATAAGTTTATAAAGAAATTTAACTGTGTTTTCTTCAGGTATATTATGGCTTCATGTTTTACATTTAGATTTTTGATCCATTGGGAGTTCACTCTTGCAAATGATTTGAGGTATGAATCTAAGTTTTGTACTTTTCCCAATGGCTGTGCAATTGTACTGTTTATTGAAAAGCCTATTTTTCCCCATTAGATATGCCACATTCATAATATACTTAATTTGCTTATAATCTTCTATTTATCTACATATTTTCTCATTACTTCCATTGGTCATGCAGCAATACCACGCTGTTTTTATTAGAGAGGCTTCATACTGTACTTTAATGTCTAGGAAGGCTAGTCCCTTCCCATTCCTTGTTTTTCTTTTTCAAGGGTTTCTTGGCTATTCTTGCTTGTTTATTTTTATAAAGAAGCATTAGAACCAAGTTGTCTAGATCTGGCTTGGGAGGAGGGAGAGGATCCTCTTGGTATTTTTATTGGGATCACATTAAATTTATACATTGAATTGGAGATAAGGGAAATCTTTATGATATCTTTATGATGGGATTGGGATCACAAATATATATTGAATTGGAGACAATGGAATATTTAAGAACATAAAATATTTGCTCAAGTCTGCTCTGCTTTTGTTTGGGGACCCTTTGAATCCAGATGGACTGCCTAAGTAGAAAGACTGGGAGACTAGTCAAGCTTCATCAGATAAAAGGTAACAGAAAATGACAATCAACAGCCACAGCATTTGCTACTGAGGACATAGGGCAGACAGAGTGTATTAGTCCATTTTTACACTGCTGAAAAGACATACCTGAGACTGGGAAGAAAAGGAGGTTTAATTTAACTTATAATTCCACATGGCTGGGGAGGTCTCATAATAATGGCAGAGGGTGAAAGGCACTTCTTACATGGCAGCAGCAAGAGAGAATGAGGAAGAAGCCAAAGTGGAAACCCCTGATAAACCCATCAAATCTAGTGAGACTTATTCCCTACCGCAAGAATAGCACGGGAAAGACTAGCTCCCATGATTCAGTTACTTTCCCCTGGGTCTCACCCACAACACATGGGAATTCTGAGAGATATAATTCAAGTTGAGATTTTGGTGGAGACACAAACAAACCATATCATAGACCCTCACCTCTTGGAGGCCATGAGTGTTATCTCAGCTTTCCACATCTCTGATACACCCATTCCTTGGACCGAAAACTGCCTCTCCACCCTTGCCTGCTCTTTGGCTCCATAATGGCCCTGACTGATGGAAATTACCTGGACTCCTGATTTCCTAAGGCCTTGTGTATCTGCTTCTTCACTTCTGGGTGGTGGTTCTGACTAGCGGCTGGGCCATGTGACTGATGAGGAGAAAAGAGTGTTTGATGACCCGTCTGGCTAAAGGGATGGTCACCTGCTGGGAATTAGTGAGGAATAAGATGGACCATCAAGGAGACTCAGTCACAGTGAGGCATGAATGACATTGGTACTTGGTTCTAGAAGAAAGGAAATTCCTCTGAGGTCCTTAAGAAAGGTCAGTAGCTGGAGGCATGGGGATGAGATTGGGGGTGGATCTCACTACTGAGAAGTAGCAAGAGGCTGATCAGTGAACCAAGTGGGGGCCTGGGCTATAGTGACAGCAGGGTAAATGTGGAAATATTTCCAAGGAGAATCTTGGCAGATTGGCTCTGAGGACAGAAGGCAAGGGAGGAGGTAAAGATGACACATAGGCCAGGAGTTGTCCATCCCAATATTAGGCTATTGTAATGTTCTTGCCAATAGAGGCTGGGCTGGATGCAATGAGTAAACGATGTTTTCATCTGAGTCATTCTCCTGATAAAACAGATGCCCACTCCATGCCAATCTGATGTATAGAATGTTGAGTTTACTGAACAGATAAAATAGGGAACCAATTTGTCTCACAGAAATAAAGCCTTGAGCCTAAAAGGGCCTTTGCCCATTTGCTCAAGTCTCAGATGTCTTTTCTTCTTCCTTCTTTCTTCCTTGTCTCCACAAAAAAGAACAGAAAAACCACTGCCAGCATCTGCCACGCTTCCTTGTCTGTCTTTGCCTTTCCCTAGTCTCTTCCGCTGTTTTCCTCCACTGGTTTACCCAGGCTCCTTAGCTTCCTCCCAGCCTTTTTCCCTCTGGCTCTTCACTGGCACTGGCTGAGAAAACCAGGCACGGGCCTGTCCATCCGCAAGCTCCTGCCACTTTGGCCCGCATGCGTGGGAAAGCTACTGGGTCTGTGATTGCTGCAGGATGCATCCCTGTCCCAACCCTGAGAAAGGGGGCCAGCACAAGAAAGGAAAGGAGGGTGAATGGTTTGGGGGCTAAAGGCCCTAGCTCTGATGTCAAGAAGATGGGTGGCCTTGAGTAAGTTTTGTCACCCTTCTGAGGATCAGACTTCACATCATAAAATGGGAATGACCATAGTACCCTTTGCCCCCATGGAGTTGTTGTGAAGCTGAGCCTCTTGGAAACAGGTTATAGTTCTGCATAGAACCAGACTGCATAGCACCAACATCACACCTTGCCAACTTCCTGTGGCAGTTTGCCTAAACTGGCCCTGGCAAGGGAAAAGCCATCAGTGTGTGGGTAGCAGAGAAGAGAGTGAACTGTGCCTGACTTTCCAGTCCCAGTGAGGACTTGGACTCCCTCCAAGGCACTGTAAACTGCCACAGCCACTGAGCACTTCTTTGGGAAGCAGTCTAGTAAAGAGAATTCAAGACTTCTCTTCTAAAAGCTCTGAGAATGTTTCCACTGGCACTAACCGGTTTCTGTGCACATTGGCAATGTCCAGATTCCAAGTCAGATGGAGCCCCAGCCCCTTTGAATCCCTTGCTCTAGAGGTAAGAAGTTGAGGTGAGGGAGACTAAAAGACTTGCCCAAGGTCATGGTTAAGTTGGTGCCTGATGCCAGAGCAGGCCTGTCTGCTGAATCACAGAAAATCTCTCTTGCAGTGGCAGAGTCTATGATTAGTAGCTTAGACTATGGAAACAGACTGGGGTTTGAGTCCCAGCTTTTCCATTGATGAGTGGTGTAACTTTAGACCGGTTTACTTAGCCTCTCTCAGAATCAATTTTTTCACATGTAAAATGAATGTCATCATAGTAAAGGAAACACAGAAAGCATTCAGTAAACATGGTGTTGTAGTTGTCATCCACAGATGCAAGGCAAAGAGCCCAAGAGAAACCAGGGCTGGTGGGGTCTCAACCCCAAGAAGCAGTACAATCCGTCTTCTTGTTCTCAAGTCTCATCATCTCACAGAGATGGTGGATCACCACCATCTGACTTAGGTTTAGGCATGCTATCTTGACTTTGCCCCATAATTCTAGACCAGATATTTTTTCTTTCTTTTTTTTTTTTTTTTTTTTTTGTTGTTATTACAACACAAGTTCAAAGATAGATCAGATCTTTTAAAATTTGTGTTAAATATATAATACCTACAATATGTATAAGATATAAAGAATAACAATAAAATGAACACTTATACCCACCATTCAACTTAAGAAATATACTACAATTGCTTGGAAGCCCTGCATGTCCCTTCGCTCCAATCCTGCTCCCTGGTGACTTATTCATTTTTCATTCCCTTGCTTGGTTTTACCATAGATGTACTTATCCTAAATAACATATTACTTAGTTTTACATGTCTTTAACCTTAATATAAAAGGGATCATACACTTCTTTAGCTTGCCTTTATTGCTCAAATTATTTTTGTTATTTATCCATACTGATGCAACTGGGGTTCACTCATTTTCACTGTTGAATAGTACTCCATTATGAAAATATGTCACAATTAATTTAGTTGTTCTCCAGTTGATGGACAACTGGGTTATTTCCAGGGCCATTTTTTTCCCCTATTAGAAATGGTGGCTGGGCTTGGTGGCTAGGTCGGACGTGGTGGCTCATGCCTATAATCCCAGCACTTTGGGAGGCTGAGGTGGGTGGATCACCTGAGGTCAGGAGTTCGAGACCAGCCTGACCAATATGGTGAAACCCCGTTTCTACTAAAAATACAAAACTTAGCCAGACATGGTGGCATGCAACTCTATTCCCAGCTACAGGGGGGCTGAGACAGGAGAATTGCTTGAACCTGGGAGGCGGAGGTTGCAGTGAGCCAAGATCGCACCATTGCACTCCAGCCTGAGCAACAGAGTGCGACTCCATCTTAAAAAAAAAAAAGAAGAAGAAGAAAAGAAAAGAAATGGTGCTTCAGTGAAAATTCTAGCACATGCTTTGATATACAGAGTTAGGAGTGCTCCGCAATATCTGTGATCCATGCTGGGTCATAGGTATGCATGCCATCAAATTTATTGGAAAATACCAAACTGTTTCCAAACCATTGCACCTTATACTTTTAGCAACAGTGTATAGGCACTCCAAATTTTCTTTAAGGTTGGGATTGTCAATTTCTCATCTGTGAATCTAGTGATTCATTAATTTCCATGTCCACTGTGCTATGTAGACCGACCTTAAAGGCTTATCATGGTATATCGTTCTGTGTGCGCTGTGGAACCACGTTGTGTGGTTTCATTCCTTTTATAAGTTACCAACTAAGGCTTGGTATCATCAGTTTCCATCTTTGCATTAACCTTTTTGGTAATCCAGTTATGGGGCCTGTCATTTGTATTTTGACTTTCATTTATGGTGCATTTGTCACATAAAAGTTTAAATTTATATGTATCTAGATTTACCACTGTTTTTCCTTTTTGTGTTTTGCTTAAAAAGGTTTTCCCCGGCCAGGTGTGGTGGCTCACATCTGTAATCCCAGCACTTTGGGAGGCCGAGGCGGGCGGATCACGAGGTCAGGAGATCGAGACCATCCTGGCTAACACGGTGAAACCTTGTCTCTACTAAAAAATACAAAAAATTAGCCAGGCATGGTGGCGGGTGCCTGTAGTCCCAGCTACTCAGGAAGCTGAGGCAGGAGAATGGTGTGAACTCAGGAGGCGGAGCTTGCAGTGAGTCAAGATCGTGCCACTGCACTCCAGCCTGGGTGACAGCAAGACTCCGTCTCAAAAAAAAAAAAAAAAAAAAAAAAAAAAAACAGGTTTTCCCCACTTCAAAATTAGAGTCAAATAATTTAAAATTTTCATTTAGTCATGGAGCAACTTAGAAGCCAAAGCAGTTGTGGCAGGCCTGGAACATTAGGCTGTCACACTGTATTTCACATGGGGTAAAATGTCCAGTCTGGAAACACAGTCTCTCATTTTCATCATGTTAGACTAAATACAGTAAAAAGAAGAAAGACCAGTGGCTGTAAAAAGAAAAAGCAGAAGTGTAACCTTTGCCTCTGGTCTTTTTCTCTGGGGAAATATGAAGTTGTCAGCCAGGTGTTGAGCAAAGTTGTTGGTGGAGAGAAAAGTCAAGTGACTTATGGGGTGCATTTTACAATAATTCAGAAAGAACGAGCTGACTATTATCATTTCATTCAGTGAAGCCTGAATTTCCTGATCTTTGATGACATTGTATGTGCCTTTACCATCCTAGTCTACTTGTTTCTTTCAGTTAGGAACTATGGGAGAGGAGGAGGCAGGGTCTAGAGCTCCTTCAGGATGCACTGCAAGAAAATTGAGCAGCCAGATTGGGGAAAATGAATGATGGCAGGAGACAAGCACTTGCATTTTTCTCATGCAACATTGTCTGCTCTCTTGCTGGCCTGGCCAAGTCAGTGTCCTGGCCAAGCAGAAGGGCCCCACCCTTCAACAGCTCTGAAGATTCTGCTCCTAAACATCTGGTCAAACCAGAAATTCATAGGCAGTGATGAATGTGAATAATCAAGGTTACCTGGAAAAAGACAGAACATCCATTTGTGCAAAGAAGAGGCACAGGAGGGAAGAAATCCATCCACGGTTTCCACCTCTACCACTGCCGCTGTTCCTTCTCCCCCTCCTCCTCTGTCTCCTCCTCCTCCGCTTCTTCTTCCTCCTCCTCCTCCGCTTCTTCCTCCTCCTCCTCCTCCTCTTCCTCCACCTCCTTCTCCTCTTCTGTCTTCTCCTCTTTCCCCACTGTCTTCAGCCAGATCTTGGGTCTGCAACAGGAGAGGTAACTGAGAGCTCTTTACTTTGTCCTGCTGTGTATTCTGACCCAGGAGAAGACTGGTTCCCTTGATAAATGTTGGAAACGTGTACTTTATTCCACAAGGGTGAGCAGGGCATTCTCAATGGCTGCAGAAAAGTGTGTCCAGGTACAAAAGGTCACTTCCCTCCCATTTTCTTCCTCCTTGACCCTGGACTGCGGGCTGCTCTTTAAACAACAGGTAAATCAGCATTTTTCAGATTAGGCAGAAGGAAATATAAAGTCTTCCAGGAGGGAAGTAGAGTTCTCTGAATAGGTTCAGCCCCTACAGGTATGGCTCCCTCCTCCCAGCCTCACCCCACCTGTCTGACCTTGAGATGGCCTCGTGTCTGGCGTGTCACTGGGTGTGATGAGCAAGTGGTGGACAGGACAGAAAGAGGCAAATGCAAGGAGGGGAATGGCATTCTGCTTTTAGGACTTCAGAATGGCCTGATGTAGGAATTGCATTGTTGTGAAACTGTTAGATTTGTTCTCATCTGACTTTTGGGTACATCCTGGTTTGTTTGAAAGCATCTGGCTATCGGCGAGGTAACTCCTGACTCTATCAGGCAATAAGGAGGCTGCACATCTGACGATAGAGTTCATCTCCCCTTTCCTGAGTCATCCATCCCTACCCCCAGATGAACAGAGAATTGCCCATCCCATTTTAAATAGAGCTCCAGAAAAAGAGATACTCTAATTCTCTGAGTAAACTGTTACCACCATGCCACTGACAACCTGATATTTATTTTTAAACGTATTGCCCGCATCGGGGGGTAGGAAAAAGCACAAAAATGCCATTTTTATATAATGGTTCTATAAGTAGAAAAAGCTTATCCATAACTTTATGCAAATAAGCAGAAAGTCTCCAAGAGAGGTTCAGATGGACTTGATTACTCTGCTTTTCCTTGAGCCCAGGAAGTTCCCAGTTATAGCATGCACCTGCTGGAAACAGACTATATGTGTTTGGGACAAACAGGAAGTAGTGACCAGCCAGAAACTTGTCCTAACCTGGTTACAAATCTGATTGTAAAAGAAAGCAGCTGGAAAGAAATTTGCCTGCCCAATAGGTTTCATTATTAAAGTTTACACAAAGTGGAGTAATCACCAAGCTGGCTGGCTATCCAGATCACATGATTATGTAGAAACATGAAACTTGACTATGTGCTCGGGCAAGTTTTACTTCTCCCTAGAGCAGGGGTGTTTGCCAGCAGCCTGCACTCTCAGAAATCAGACTTGAGTGGCCGGAACCCTTGAGACCAGAGGCTTACCATGCTGCTCCCTAGGAGGGCCAGGAACTGCTGACGTGACCACTGGACAGTTATTCGTGTCTCTTACAATTACCAAACAGAATGGACAAGCTTAATAAAATAACCGTCCCCGCCAGTCAGAAGTTGAGGTAAGATTTTCCCCACCCAATACCCTTCTTCATCTCCTTTTTTTCCCCCCAGTGCTCTTATGGCATCTCAGAAATACTGAAATCCTGGAATGCTTTGCTAGTTTCCAGTGGGTGGCACTTACTATAGGGAAGTGGACTGAGCTTTTAGGGAAAGCATTGGGTGGCACTTGCTATAGGGAAGTGAACTGAGTTCTTAAAGAAATGTGTAGGAACAAGAGAGACTTGCTTTAGCTGCCTCTTACAATAAAGTGTAAAGCTCTGGAAAGATAATAAAACAAATGCCAAGGGCTTAGATTCTACTGAAGGTCAACTTTTAGAATCTGAATGCAACCAACTTTTCTAAGGAAGGGTTTCTCTAAACTGAGTCCTCACCCATTTTATTGCAGGTTACTATTTAATTTTAAGGATAGCTGTAATCATTTGTTATTCATTGTTTTATTGTCTCATTTATTTTGTGGGTGTATATGACAAGTGTGTTTGGGGGGATTAGATCTGTCTTTCCAATGCCCTCATGTCAATGTAACAATATCCATAACAAGCCTCTCAAAAAGAATAAACCAGAAGCGGCCCCATGGGCGTGAGTCAAGGAGCTATGGAAAAGACAACTTCCCCAAATTTTGCTTTTGAAGGTCTTCTTTTTGTCTCATTGTAATGGCATCATGGCTTTCAGAGACTGGAACTTTTAAAGTTCTGGGAGTGCAGTTTTTTTTTCACATTTTTTAACAGTTTTTTTTTTTTATTATACTTTTAAGTTCTGGGGTACATGTGCAGAAGGTGCAGGTTTGTTACATAGGTATACACATCCCATGGTGGTTTGCTGCACCCATCGACCTGTCATCTACATTAGGTATTTCTCCTAATTCTCTCCCTCCCCTAGTCCCCCACCTTGACAGGCCCCGGTGTGTGATGTTCCCCTCTGTTCAGGGAGTGTTTTCTATTCTGACTACATATTAGAACTTAGCCAAATGTTCAGGGGGTGATGTGACACATGTAGCAGACAAGTAATCACAGATAACAATGAGCCAGAGAATTGAAGCTTTTGAGACAATATTTAAGAGAAAGTCTGGATTGGCAGAGGGACAACCCTTCACAGTAGAATACAGGTCTTATGCCTAGGAGGTGCTTGGTAAAAGGTAATGTGAAATGCATCAATGATCTGGGATCAGTAGGCAACATCAGCTGTGTTCAACCATTTCAAGAACATGCTGTTGAGTGCTGCTGTGTGATCAGCACTGACGGGACAAGAAGGCACCTCATTCTTGCCCTTGGTCTCAAATAGCTACACCCTCATGAGGGGCGGGGGTGATACAATGGAAGCTGTAAGCGACAGAAGGAATGTAAGAAGAGACTTAGAGTAGCAGGAGGAGGTTTCATAGAGAAGATACTTTTAAGAGGTAGGCTTTGAGAGGTGGGTAAAATTATAAAATACTGGAGAATTGGAGGAAACATGTTATGTGCTGGGAGGGAGGAAATACAGAGGCTGTCACTCAAAGCTTAACACAAGTACGGTCCATTTGTGGGATAGTGAGGAGAGTTTTCTGTCCAGCAGAAACTAAAGAGTAGGGAATGTGGGACCTGAAGGTCCTGGTATGATTGGACAAATAAGGTGGGTCCAGGTTGCAAAGGATGGTGAGTGCCCTGACCATAGGGAGTTGGAGAACAGGTTATGCTGTTAGCTGTTAGCAATGTCATGACAGTAGGCTTAAAGGAGCCTGGTAGGATGCGTTGGAGTGGGAGGGACACTGGAGGCAGGGATCTGGTGGGAGGGAGGAGCGCTTAAGTAACCCAAGCATCCAGGGTTGTAGGCCTGGACTTGGGACATGGCAGTGAGAAGGAAGAGGGAAAGAGAGGGCAGAAAGACATGGCAAAGAAACTAACTAGGCACCTTCCTCTGAATGAACAGGAGGATTCCAAATGTTTTTTTTTTTTTGTTTTCAGACATATTCCATAATGTAGAACTATACAGAAATGCATTCTCTTTCAGGGAATCCAGGTGGGAATTTAAGTAAAGGTGCTAGAACTTAAATCATTTTATGATTCCTCCCTTTGGGACAAAGTCCAGCTTGATCACAGAGTAGTTGATGGGCAATATACAACCATAGATTATGGGATAGAAAACCAAAATTATACCATGGATAATCATACACTACACTCATCTGCTTACATAAAAGTAACTTTTTTTCCACTTGATTACTCAGTTGTCTTTATAGAATCATCCTGTTGTGGTAAAATGTACTGTTGACGTGGAACTTTTCAAAGAAATGAAATTGTAAACTCAATGGGCTCGAAGCACCATCTTAACTCTTTTCCATAATTAGATAGATAGGATGGTGAGGAGTCAATAGATGAAATACTTGCCTCCTGTGATTTGTGTCCTCTGTCCTGACTGGTTGACATCAATTCTGAAGGTTGATTAACCATGTAATTATTTGGCACCAGATGACCATAAAAGTGGACAGTTATGTTTATACTCTTAGGCTTAGGTGAGAATTTGCTCAAATTCTTAGCCACAAAAATAGAAGGACAGTGAGTGTCCATCCAAAGGACTGAAAGGAATGACCTTGATCCAGGGAGTATATTCCCAGGACTGAAAAGAGAGTGGAGCAGAAGGAATTACTAGGAGGAGAGGGGAAGCAGAGTCATCCAAGGAAAGGAGGGCATGCAGGATTGGAAGGAGACAAGGAATTCTCAAAATGAAGAAGAAAGGGAATGTTCTGGATGAACCCAGTGGGGATGGGTCATCACCTTGAGAGTTTCTGCTGTATAAGAATAGAGATAGGTGAGATGGCTAAGTTGCTTGTGACCACAGAGAGGTGTGAGCACAGATTCTCATGTCTTTGCTCCCACCGAGGCCTGCTAAAGTAGGCTTCTCTGTCAGTAGGAGTCCATAGACACTTAGGGTCTTTTAGTTGATTCCTAGCCATGATTTTCCCTTAATTGTATAAGGTAAAGTTATGATCAGAAACCTGGCTAGAGCTGGGTTTCAATCGTTCCACAGTAAACATTCCTATGATCATAAAAATTTCACCTTTCTAGGGGAACATTTCAAAATTTACAATCCTGAATCACTTTGCAAATATCCCTTTTCAAATTAGTAAAACTAACTTGAAAATGAAATGTTTAGTTTTTAATAACCTCCCAATTGATTCATCATCTGTGCTTGTGTATTTTTCTTTGTAGCATAAACAAACACATACCTGCTCATTTTTACAACTAGAAAAGGTCTTTGACACAAGTGTGGTCAAATCGGGTCTCCCCAGTTATCTTATTGATTAAAGAGTATGGCATTTTTCCATTAGAAAAATCAAGATTTGTGTGATTTTAGGCAAGATTGCCTAATCTCCTTGGTTTCCTCACCTGTAAGATAAAGATAATAATAACAGTACCAATGTTGTAGGGCTATTGTAAGGTTTAAATAAATTTTTCTGTGAAGCAACTGGCACATAGTGATTATAGGACTTTCAAAATAGTAGCTATTAATATCATTACTGTTGTTATTCTAATTCTATAGTTGTGTAATTGATTTTCTGAAAATAAACAGGGACTTTCCATTGATCCCTGATAAGTTTCATGTTGGTTCCTTTTCTTCTTTCTGACTATTTTGACTATTTTGTCTATTGATTCTGACATCTGTGACACTTGGCTTTGCATGGACTGCAGATGTGACAAACATTCCTTCTCTGCGTTCATCTAAGTGACTAATAATGTTAAGCATGACAGAACCCTGCTGTGGGTGTCTGGGTCTTCCTGGTAGGGGTCTCACTGAGACCTTTTCTAATGGATTCTGAGACATGCCTTCTCTTCTCAGGGTTTGGAGTTTTCAACTGGAGTTTTTACTTCCTTGATTTTTCTGGTTCAGTTCTTCAGAAACAAATTCACCTTCTTTTCACCTTTCCACAACTAGCTGTCTCTCAGATCCTCCCTGTTTTGGTCGATGGTATCCTCGTCAGCCCTCACACTGACTCACCTTTCCCTCTTCACCTCAGCTGACACCCACTCACCTACCACACCCTGCAGGTTTTCTTTATGGCTCTTCTCTTCCATATATGGCTTTTCTTTCCTTTTCTTCCACAACATCCCGGATAGGTTATTAGCTCCCCCATGTCCCCTATGTTTGTTTGGTTCAAACTACAAAATGAGAACATTTCCCAAAGTCCCTCTCAGCTCTGATGCTGTGATCCTTTAAGCACAGAGACCACATTTGACATATGTTACATTCTCAAAGGCTACCATTTTATCTCAGGACTCTCAGGAAATATTTCTTGATATATTTAGAAGGACCATGCCATTGGGGCCCAACAGGGCTGATTCTAATGGCCAGTTACTAGCTGAAGCCATTCAGTTTCTCTACACCTCAGTTTTCCCAGCTGCCAAACGAAGCTAGAGATGCCTTCCTCACAGGCTTGTGTGAAGACCAAGTGAGACAACATGGACTGAAGTTCCCAGAAGAGTATTTGCCACTTAGTCAGTATACCAAGTCAATAAAAAGCAAACACAACCACCAGTACCTCAAACCACCCAAGCTGAGTGGCATTTGCTGTCTCTCTTGCTCTTCATATTTGTGGTTCCAACTCCTTTTAACTGGGGTGGCAAACTTCAGGGGAGCTGCAGGCAGGAGGCACAGCATCTAGTGGTGGAGATTAGATCCACTTCCTGGACCGTCTGGTTTCCCATCCCCTCACACTGCCTACCTGCATCCCACTGGATGAGAAGCCACTTAACTGGACCATCTTGCGGCACACCAATGGATGGACTACCCAGAGCAGCTGAGAAGGGTTCTTTCTCCCTGTGGGCAAGTCACATGGGAGCCACGTTATCAGAAACTGGCTTAGTGCGAGTGGACTTCAGAGTCATCAGCCAAGAAAACTCAAGGCAACTTCCTCACCCACTCTGGGCATGGCTGTGCTAGGAAAACCCTAAACCAGAGTCCACATGTCCGAGGAACCTCTCTTCTGGACCCAGTGATTGTGTACCATGGCTGAACAACACCTTCCTCTTCACACAACATGTTTCCAAATGGACTATGATACAATTGATTAGGTTTCCAAGGACCAAATCACAGTTATTTTCCAGCCCTGCCTCCTAGATTACTGGATTGAAAAGAACTGGGCTGGTGCCAAACTCTTCAGGCATGTATTTACAGACGATCTCTTGTTTTCTCCCTACAGGTGATTTAACCCCATCTGTTCTTGGGAGAATTTATCAGCTTGGTTCATTTTCAAAGAAGGTCTTACATGAGCAAGAAAAAAAGGGAGAGAAAAATTAAAGGATAGCTTGTTCTAGGGAAATTAAAACACTTCGCTTTCTTTGGCTTCTTAATAGATTCCACAGAAACATCCTTCCCCAGCCTCCCGCAAGACATAGCTGGATCATTTCAATCAATGGTTCTCCATCAGGGGCAATTTTGTCCCCAAGGGAACATTTGGTTGTCACAACTGGGGAGTGTTACAGACACTAGTAGTTAGTCCCCAAGGATGCTGCTAAACATCCTACATTGTACAGGGCAGTCTCCACAACAAAGAATCATCTGGCCCAAAATGTCCCTATTGCCACTGTTGAGAAACCCTGATTCAGACTAAGTGACATGTTCTCTTCAGAACAATAAGCAAATATTCATTTCTATTTGCTTATAGTGACAACGTGTATTTAAAGTTCAGAATAGGCAATACATATCTTTGCCATTGTTGTGGTCTTTGCTCAGATCACACTGGGTTTCCGGTCTGGGATGGTTTGGATGAGGGATTGCCTAGAGGAGGGGCAATAAATCCTTAGGCCTGCATTTCAATTTGATGTTCCTTTTTAAAAGTTGTGTCAAACAAAACTAGATCCCATGAACTATATGCACCATTGAGCTATAAGTTGCTCTCTCCTGGGTAGAAAAGTGAGAGCAGGAAAAGATTTCCAGACATAAGGTCATCTTGTAATAAATAGTCTGTTTCTACTTCTTCAAGTAGACTGAGCAAATCTTGAGTGGAAATTCTTAATGTTGAGGTAAAAAGCATATTATGTCATAACACAGCCATTAAGAAGTTCAAGGGCTTGTGAGTCTGATCCAATGGCCAAATTCTGGCTGGGTGTAGAGAGTCATTCCTGCAATCCCAGCACTTTGGGAGGCTGAGGCAGGAGGATTGTTTGGAGCCAGAAGTTCAAGACCAGCCGGGTCAACATAATGAGACACCCATCTCTACAAAAATAAATAAATAAATAAATAAATAAATAAATAAATAAATAAGTCTGGTGTGGTGGCATGCGTCTGCAGTCCCAGCTACTTAGGAGGCTGAAATGGGAGGATCGCCCAGGAGGTTGAGGCTGCAACGAGCCAAGATCATGCCACTGCACTCCAGCCTGGTGAAAGAATGAGACCATGTCTCAAAAATAATAATAATAATAAGGCCAAATTCTGGACAGAGGTGCACACACTGTGCTTATCCTAGAGCAGAATATGTTGCCTAAGGACATTGGATAAAAGACAAAGCAGCTGGTGGAGGAGAGATGAAATGCGTTTGCTTGTCCATCCTTTAATCTTCTTGGTTATATATGAAAATTCTGTGGCAGTGTCCAAGAGGCATGTATTTGGAATAATCCTTCCATGAGCTGGGAGAGTTTCTGGAGCAGGATTCACCCTGTCTTGTCTGGTCTCCCTGTGGCCAGTGTGTATATATTTTTTTGAAACCGATGGGTAGGCTTTAAGGGTTCAATCTTTTTCATTAAAGACTTTTTTCCAGCTCTATTAAGCATTTCTATGTCTCCCCGCCCCCCTCCAAAATAACTCTTTAAATTGGTTTCGATTGAATCTGGATCTCAGGAAACGCTTTGTGTGATTGTTCTGCATATTAGGAATGATGAGAGGAGGTCTATGTGAAGGACCCAGGGTCCTGTGCTCAGAAGAGCGCTGTCTCTTGTAATGTCAGATGCTCAAGGCTCTTGGGTAATCCTGCCCCCAGGCTTGCAGGGCTGTGGTGCTCTTGCCCACTGTAGACAGAGCCTCACTAAGGAGGCCTTTTAAGTCCACCTAACCAAGACTCCGTCTCTGCAGATTGGAGGTCAGAGAGGTACCGCTACTGCCTCCCATTGGACACCCTGTGTCTCTGGATTGGTGATTACATTCCATCAGGTCCCCCTTAAATCTCACAGACTTGGGGCCATTCTGCTTCTTGAGGGTGACCTTGCTTCTCTGTGTTTGCTCTGTCAGATGTTGAGGTTTAAGCGCTCAAAGGCAGCCTTAGTTTTTTCATTCCACGTTTATGCTGGGTTTCCTAGGCCCCTAGGAACCATGCACATTATTAGGAATTTAGAGTATGTTTCACCTGTTGCTCCAGAAATGGGCCTCACCTGCTGATGGGGTGGAATTCCAGCCCCTACCCAAGTCCCTGCTCCAGATCAAGGGAGCAGAGAACCCTGAAGTGTGATGCTGGCTGCCGTCCTCTAGGTCCCACATGACCTCGGGGTTCCCCAGCACAGCTGTAGGGAAGCAGCTTTTGTGTTGGGCTGACACTGGACACTGGGGTTGGCTGCTGCGGTGGAAACCCTCTCTCAGGAGGTTGCTCCTCTTCACTGTGTGTTAAGCCTCCTCATTACTGGCGTATTTGTCTCCATCCAGCAATGAGCAAGAAAGTCTGACTTCACCTCCTTCCTCCCTGTGCTTTGTTCCAAAAAGAAAAGAGCCCTCCCCACAAGCCCCTCCTCCTCCTTATTTCACCACCTTTTCCTACCTGTCCTGCCTTCACCTCCCTTCTGAAAGGGAGTCCACCAGAAGCTACACCTGAAGCCTTATTTTTTAACCTAATGTTTTCACAACCCTTTTGCAGCACTGTGGTCTAGGCCTCCAAACAGACCATTTCCCTCAGCCCAGCATGGCTATTTCAATGCTTATTTCAAAAGCAAGACAAAGAAGCCAGCTTGAGGGACATGTGGTGACTGTTTGCTGAGCCACACTTCTCTGTTGGCCAGTTTCCTAAGGAAGGCTCTCATTACCCCAGGAGCATCCCTGCCTCCCATGCTGGCTGGGGGCCCCAGACCTACTCCAGATTCCCTTCCTTCACACATTGTAGGGAACACGCAGCACAGGTCCCTAGCTTCCTGGGCGTGTGGCCATACAGTCGCACAGGGTCCTGTGCTCGGAGCTTGTGCCTGGTTTAATGCTCTGCTGTTGCAGTCCTGAAATTCTTAACAATTTCGACCAAGGGGCCCTGCATTTTCATTTTACATTGGGCCCCAGAAATTATGCAGCCAGTGCTGGTCGGGGGTTCCATGAGGACTCGGGCCTTGCCTGCTTCTACAATGTGCAGAGACACAGGCTTCCATGGAGAAGCACAGAGATTCGCCTTGCGAGGACTGAAAGGACACCTCTCCAGCCCCTTTATTCCACAGGTGAGAAAGGTGAGGCCCAGAGAGGCCAGGTCACCTGTTCAAGCTCTAGACGACCCCTCCATGTCTGCCTGTGTAATTTACTGGCCAATGTAACATTCAGGCTTTGTTCTTCACTTTTCATAGACGTTTGTTTTAAAATTAAAAAAGCAGTCACTTACTAGTCAGAAAGCCTTCTGAGGATTCCTGCTGTCAGTATTTCAGACAATTGTGTGTTCCAGGCCCAAACTTGAATTCCACACTGACTCAGGTGTGTCTGGTATCCTACTGCTATATATTTTGCAAAGAATGCTCCCACAATCGTTCATGTAATCTGAGAGTGAGTTATAATTATGAAGAGCAGAGCTGGTCTTATATACAGACCAAGCACACAGCACCAACGTGGTATTTTAAGAGGTGCCCTTGGAAGGTGTTTTTGTCTTACTGAAAAGAAAGAATCAGGCAGATGTGGATTTGAACATTTGCTCTGCACTTACCAGCTTGTGGTCTTTGAGAAGATCACTTAATCCCTTTTAGCCTCAGGTTTTTCATCTGAAAAATGGGAATAATAATATCTCAATAATATATAACATAAAGCAGGGGTATTAGAACAGTACCTCTGTATACCGGAGAGTAAGAGCTCAATGAATGCCCCCTTCCTCCTGGTCTGTGCTTCCCTGGTGCCCTGGATTGTGTTGTTAGAGAGGCATCTACTTGGGATATGGCAGTGTCTCAATGTTCTGGTTCAAAATTAAACATCATTAAGTGTAATAGGTTCAGGCACTGAGTCATCTGTCACTAGCACCCACGCAGGACTCATTTATCTGATAACCAACTCAGACCAAGGGGGCAGAGAGCTCTCCTACCCACTCACAGAGGTGGTTCAATCAACAGCCTAGCTGGATAAATGGATCATTGTTCAGGAACATGGTGATAAGGAGGGAAAGGCCAGAGGTGGGAGACCACACCTAAGTAAACGGGAGTTCCCCAGAGGGAGGCTATGACCAAGGGTGCTTGGAGTAGAAGACAAGAAAGTCTGAGCTCGTACCTAGAGTGAAATGACCCCCAGCCCCATTCCATTTTTTACCCCTTCATTTTACAATCTTACTTGGTTCAAAGTATAAAAACTTCATTATGAAAAATAATTTTTTAAGCATAAAAAGTGTATTAATGTCCCTACTCAATATTGAACATACTAGGAAGAGTATTTCATTGCACTGCAAATAACTATGAGAATCACATACAAACATGAGAACTATAATTTCAAAAAAGAAAATGGCAAATGTAATATAAAATCATTGAAAAAAATGAACTCTGTACATATATATGATTGTTTTGGCTTTTAGATGATCTTTACAGCCTGTTCAAGGTCAGAGTTCTCTTTTTTACCATGGCAGGACTTCAGATTTCACATCATCTTCATACTCGAAGATCATCACAGTTGCCAAACCGATCTTAGATGATTGGGCTTAATATACCCGATGCTACCTATTAGGGTAAATTCTATTAACAACCTCTTAGCATGATGAAAACAAAAGCTATTCATGAAAATACCTCAAAAGTAAATTATTTTGAAAATCTGCTTTAAAATTGCCAATGACTGCTTCATGGGTCTGGGGTTTTATTTAGGGGTGATGAAAATATTCTGGAACTAGGCAGTGGTGGTGATTGCACAATATTGTGAATTTACTAAATGCCACTGAGTTGTACAATTTGAAATGGGTGAAATGGTGAATTTTACATTATGTATGTTTTACCACAATTTAAAAATTGATAATTAAACAATTTCCTATATTTACCATAAATGAGTGTATTTTGGGGACCCACGATTATATATTTTTTTGACCCACTAGATATTGTTGGCCAGGCACAGTAGCTCATACCTGTAATCCCAGTACTTTGGGAGGCCGACGTGGACAAAGCCCTTGAGCTCAGGAGTTTGAGACCAGTCTGGGCAACATGGCGAAACCCTGTCTCTACAAAAAATACAAAAAATTAGCTGGGCATGATGGCACATGCCTGTAGTTCCAGCTACTCAGGAGGCTGAGGTGGGAGGATCACTTGAGCCAGGGAGGTTGAGGCTTTAGTGAGCCGAGATAACGCCACTATACCCCAGCCTGGGTGACAGAGTGAGACCCTGTCTCAAAAAAAAAAAAAGATATTGCTTCAAAATTTTTATTTAAATGTATTATTGACAAACATTTGTAGATGCTTTTAATGAATTACAATGCTTCCTTTCACCCCTACCCCTACATACAAGACATTCCCAATATCTTTGTTTTCTCAGAGCTAAGAAGAATTTAACTGGGTCAAACTTTTTCAATATATGAGTTCTTGAATGCCATCCCTCAAAATCACTCTTTACTTCCTGAAAATATCTTTGCTTTTACCTGCAGAAATGGATGCCAGGACAAGTAGATGACAATACTATATATATATCATGCCATGTAGATATAGCCAAAGTTCCTTTTTCCCCCATTAAGTTAATTTTTAAAAGAACATATTCAAATTCTTAAGACACTTTTATTTTCTGGAATTATGTAGAATTGCATTTTCAGAAACATGACTAGAACTACTTCTCAGTCGCTTGGTTTTACAAACCTATTGGCAGCTGGTTCGATTTAAGAGACGTCAGTTTTGCATTTTTATGCTGGTAGAGGACAGACAGTGAACACATGCACGGTGCAGCTGTCAGCACCTCATCAGAACAATGAGCACATCAGAGTCAGACACAGTGAAGGGACTAAATGACATGACCTCTTAGTGTTCTTCCAAACCCAAGAGTCTGTGTCATCTATGAACACAGGAGTCTCCCTTAACTTTTTTGGTTTTTGCAATCTGCTTTTATGTAGTTTTGTGAGGAAGTTTTCCTTTATTCAAGACCTCTGCCAGGTGGGTGGTGAGAGCAGAGTCCAGCAAGCATTCCAATGTGCTAAAGGAAAGAGAAGTGTTGTATTCCTGGAGGCCCCAAGGACCACTGGCCCCTAAAGTCAGAGAGGGGAAGGGCCATGCCAATTTCAGCTGTCAAATCAAGTGACAAAACTTCTAAGAACTTCTTAAGGCAGGTATAGCATCATTTCCTTGCCATCTCATCAGTCTCAGGGTGGTGTGCCTGATGCATAACTGCCTCTGATAGGGTAAGTCCTACCAGGGTTTTTGAAGGACACAGGGTATTAGTAGAATCATCCCTACTCCTGCTTGTGCCAAGTCAGCCCAATTTCTGACTGCTTATAACCAAGCTCAGCCGTTCAGACATGCCAAAGACTACCACAAAATATTTGCAGATCTCAGTAGGAAAAAAAAGAAACAAGCAAAAAAAAAAAAAAAAAAAAAAAGGTAGGGTGTGAACTGTTTGGAGAAACTTATAAATTACTTTATACGGTTAATAAGTGGATAGTAAGAAACAGCCCTGGCAGCAAGATGCTTGTGTGTAAGGGAACACAGCCCCTCCACTCCAGGACCCTCAGGGGGCCTTTCTGCCTCGGGTGTTGAGAAAGGATGCATGGATTATGGTGGCGTCCTTCCAGCTGCTCTGTTCAGCCACCCTACTTCTGAGCATATTCCAGACCCCAGAGGGCCGCTACCGCATTCCCTCCTGCCTCCCATGTGCCTTACCCCCTCTCCTTCCCATTTCCCCTGCCATCTGTCCTTTCCTCTTTTTACTCTCCCTCTTCCTCCCAAAGTCTGAAACAGGCCCTTAAGAGCTGACGCTCCCCTCTAGCAAAATGTCTAACCTTGGGGACCAATAGCAAGGCAGGGGTGGGGGCACATGTGTCACAGTAAAGATTACTGGGTTGGTAGAGGGAATGGGTGCTGTCTCCAGGGACAGAGAGGAAGGTATCCAAAGAGGCAACGTAGGTGCTGAAGCCAGTCGCCTGCCCTGGTGAGGGGCCAAGTTGAAACAAGTTAGCCTGTATCATCCAGAGTGGGTTGAGAGCATAGGCTCCGGAATCAGACCTGATTTTGAATTCCAGCTCTATCACTTATTTGCTGTAGGATCTGGGCAAATTATTTAACCTCTCTGAGTCAAATTTTCTCATCTATAAAAACAGGGATAACTACAACTATGTGAATATATTAATGCTATTGAACTGGATACTTAAAAATGGTTAAGATGGTAAATTTTTTGTTATGTGTTTTTTATCATAATATAAACATGGGGATAATAGGACCTCCCTCACAGGGTAGTTGTGAGGGTTAATGAGATAATGCACACAAAGTACCTAGCACGTAGTACATGCTCAATAAATGCTGGCTTTTACCGTTATTGATTTTCCAAGTCTGATCACTGGCATGCATGATGCTTCTCTCAGCAATGGCTTACTGGGCTTGTACTATAATCACAGCTCTGAACTATGGCATAAGAAGGTGGGGGTTACCTCTGGCCATGGAGGTACCCCCCACCTTCTCTAGCAGGGGGCTCAAGCCTTATGTGGAAGGGGAAGGAACAGGTATGACTAAAAGAGTTGGAGGAGTCCTCAACTAAATTAATCTCAGGGCAATCACAAAATTTCCCTGGAATTTAATTTCCTCCCTTGGCATAAGAGGAGGTTGACCCAGGATATTCCCAAAGTCTCTCTCACTTCCAAATTTCTGTGACTACCTTAATTGTAGGCAAAATTCGGAGTCAGCTGTATAGTCTGAGACACTCATGATCTCTGATCTCTTTGGGCTTCAGTATCTGCATCTGTGAAATGGAGGAGAAGGCCACTAACTCGACCTTGAGGGGCTTGTTCACATTATCACACCATGGAAGGGACTGCCAAAGCTGTCAAAACTCTGCCAGCTCCACCATGAGCTCACTCCCCAGAAGGAAGCAGCCTGCAGTGCTGAATTCGCAAATCTAAATATAATTCCTGTTATTTCATAGCAAGGCCAGGCTGGAGGAAGTGAGCATTAGGAAGCCGGTGCCAGAAATGACAAGGCTTTAGAAAGAGTGGAGGGGGAGAAGTTGTCATAGGAGTCCTGCAGCATGCAAGTAACAGGATAGTCACTAAAAAGTATCATGCTGCTTCAAAACGATGGGTTGGTGGCTGAAAACTTCAGCTTTAAGACAGGAGTGACCTGAGAGGAGGATGTTTTGTGTGAATCAGAGAATTCTCCGGTCTGCCTATATCTGTCCCCTGGCTTCACATAGGCCAGAAGGTTTCTGTCATGTGATAAGGTGGTGAAAGGAGCCCCTTTCCTGCATTACAAGAGGGTCGGGTTTGTGTTCAGGTTAGCTCTGTGGCCTGCATGTGCCATGCCCAGTGTGCACACACTGAATATTTGTGGAATAAAACAAAACGAGTCATGTATAAAACAGCAAAGCATGACATTAAATTTTAAGGGGTAACCCTCATTAATAAATTGATACAAATAGTATTTAATATAATATTTTAAAAATCAAAATGAATGCCCAGAAATCCATGATGAAGAAACTACTGGAATTTTAGATGAAGACAGAATCAGTCCTGCTGATTTACTTTGTCTCAGGCCCCAGTATGGCCAACATGGCACTTTGTCTCAGTAATGTCCTCTTTGAGAGTTGTTGGTCCTTTCGCACAGCTGAGGCCCACAGGGCACTCCTAGTGTTATTCCATTGCCTTTGGTACCACGCTGTCACGAGCTCGAGGCTTGGGCCTGGCACAGTTGCCTCCATACTGGTGTCCCAGCCACCACTGTCCCAGGCCGAGATCCTCCTCCATTCTTCCACCCTCATCATGACACACCCCGAGGAAAGGTCTCCAAGGGCTTCCAGCAGGAAGCCTGTAACCCCCCATCTCCTTGGCCTAACAGGTCCCTTGACTATCTGTCTCTGCTCCCAGCGGTCTCATCCTTGTCTTGTAAACATCCTCTCAACACCTACTTTCCTGACACTCTCAGCTGCTCACTGGACCCGAAACATCTCAGACAGTTTCACCTCTGAGCCTTTGCACTTGCTGTTCCTGATACCTGGCTGCTGTTCCTGATACCTGGCTGCTGTTCCTCACCCTTTTGATGTGACTAGAGATGTGAGATGAAGAGTCAAAGAGAGAGAGAAAGGGTTAAAGAACATTCAGAAGTTTCAAGCCTGAAGATCCAAGGATGCCAGCTTATAAATTCCATTTGCTTCTTCTTCTGCTGCTTTTTTTTTTTTTTTTTTTGAGATGGAGTCTCACTCTGTCGCCCAGGCTGGAGTGCAGTGGTGCAATCTTGTCTCACTGCAACCTCTGCCTCCCGGGTTCAAGTGATTCTCAGGCCTCAGCCTCCCAAGTAGCTGGGATTACAGGCACACGCCACCACTGCCAGCCGATTTTTCTATTTTTAGTAGAGCAAAGGTTTCACCATGTTGGCCAGGCTGGTCTTGAACTCCTGACCTCAAGTGATCCACCCTCCTTGGCTTCCCAAAGTGCTGGGATTACAGGCATGAGCCACCATACCCGGCCCTTTTTCTTTTTCTTATTGTCAGTTTTCAATTTTCTATCATATAGCTGTTTTAAAATTTAGTAACAAAAATAAAATATACTATATTAGTAGCATCTTAAAAAGAAACCCAGAGTCAATTACATTAAACACCTAAAAAAGGAGGAAGTCAACTAGAGAATCAGCAGACCTAATGATGAACATTAATTTTTTTATTTTTAAATTAAATGCATTTAAATGTATTTAAATTTTAAGTTTAAAAAAGTGTTTTTAAAAATCCATTCATAGTAAAAAGTATTCATGGATGCATTTTTGTTTCTATATATGCCAAGGAAAACATTACAGAGATTTCTACTCCAAATTGATTTTAGAAACATATAAATTGGAGATACCAGGTCAATTGCACCAGCACAGATGTTCTAAGGATACCCAAGTATACGTGGATAAAGCAAAGGGCTGAGCCAGCAGCCCCCAGGGGTTCTTGCAGTACTTGAACTCCTGACCTCAAGTGATCCACCCTCCTCAGCCTCCCAAAGTGCTGGGATTACAGGCATGAACCACCACGCCTGGCCCTTTTCCTTTTTCTTATTGGCAGTGTTCAATTTTCTATCATCGAGCTGTTTTAAAATTTAGTAACAAAAATAAAATTTCTATATGGGCATGGAGCTCAGGGTGAGACTGAGTGACTGAGCCATGACAAAAAGCTCAGGCTTGATTCAGTAGATACCGGGGAGCTGCTGCACTCTTGAGGAAGGAGTGATCGTTGAAATCCAGGTTTTAGAAACATTTGCTGAAAGAGGCCCTAACAAGCCCTCACAGCATGGATGGGAGGGCCCTGCTGCCAGCTGCTGCATTTTCCTGTTGTAAAGGGGAAAGTGTAGGCTTAGATCTTGGCTCAGAGAGGAGGACCAGCCTATGAACACTGAAAGGATGAAACTCAAGAACTGGACCTGAGGTTAAGATGCGGGGGATGAAGAAGGAAGGATTTATTTATTCTGTTTGTTTACAAAGAGTCACTTTCACCTGAGACACTCTTTAATCCATTCCTACATGCAGATTAAACAGGGATTTTCTCTGATTAGCAATACTTTGCATTCCACCCTTTCTGAAAGACAAATGAAAAAAAAAAAATCCTGAAACCTGCCTATCATTGTCCTCTGTGACAGCACTAAAGAGCTACAAGGAAAACAAGATGTTTTATGATCTTATTTCTACTAAACTTTTTAAAAAAGTACTTCTTACAGATAATATCATCTGTTAAATCATCTCCTGTATTTAATAAAAATTATTGGAAAAGTGTTTTTGTCAAATATGTAATTTCTTGGACACCTCTGGTGATCTGGCCGAAATATCTGCATGCAGCTGCCCTCCCCGTGCCCTCTTGGCCCTGGAAGAGCTCGCTGTCCTTAAACTCCATCCTTCCTGAACTTGTTTATCCTTCTATGTGCCTGGGGCTGTTCTCAGTCTGCAGATACCCTTCTGTGGATTCTCACTATGGATTCCTCTCCTTGTGCTCTCTTGGCCAGACGAACTTCCCTGGGGTATGTACAAAGTTCTCCTATCCTGAGAACACTGTCAGTGGTTCTTAACCTTGGCTGCACATTGGATCCCCTGAGAGTCAATGACTCTGGTTTAAATGGTCGGGGGCAAGGCCTGGGTGTCAAGATTATTAAAAGTCCCCTAAGTGATTCTAATGTGCAGCCAAAGTCAAGACGATTTCTTTAACCTACCTTTTCATCCAAGAAGGAGATGTAGAAAGACTGCCAATTGATGTAAGGTCTAAACTTCAATTCATAAAAGACTCATTGAAGGGCCAGGTGTGGTGGCTCATGCCTGTAATCCCAGCAATTTGGGAGGCCGAGGTGGGCGGATTACCTGAGGTCAGAAGTTCGAGACCAGCCTGGCCAACATGGTGAAACCCCGTCTCTACTAAAAATACAAAAGTTAGCCAGGCGTGGTGGCAGGCGCCTGTAATCCCAGCTACTCGGGAGGCTGAGGTAGGAGAATCACTTGAACCTGGGAGGCGGAGGTTGCAGTGAGCTGAGATCGTGCTATTGCACTCCAGCCTGGGGGACAAGAGCGAGACTTCATCTCAAAAAAACAAAACAAAACAAAAAAAAAACTCATTGAAGAAGGCTGAGCTGTACACAGTCAGCTCCTCGGGTTAGAGTCCCTGCTCTGACACCAGGCTGCCTGGGAAGAGAAGGCAGGCAGGCTGGAAGCATCACTGTGCCCGACTTGTATTAATCTGAGTCCAGGTAAAGGTGAATGCCTGGCCATTGGCAACCACAGCCGATTCCTTCTGCTGTCTTCCCCTTGTTGAAAGCAGACATCATACCATTGACTAAAATTCCATTGCCAGTGTCTTTCCTTTCCTGGGGAGAATGCCTGGGTAAGCCTTTGGCCACTCATTATGGAGAAAATAGTAAGATTTGCTGTTAAAGCTATTCCAGGCTATGGTGGATGGGGGAAGATACTCTGGAGGTTGGGAAGTCGTCTCTTTTGCTCTTTCCATTTAAACTTAGCCTAGAAGGGGATAAACCTGGCCTAATCCTTTTTTTTTTCCTTTTTTTTATTTTTTTAATTTTTTTTATTTTTTTTGAGACAGAGTCTTGCTCTGTCGCCCAGGCTGGAGTGCAGTGGCACGATCTCGGCTCACTGCAAGCTCCACCTCCTGGGTCCATGCCATTCTCCTGTCTCAGCCTCCCGAGTAGCTGGGACTACAGGCGCCCGCCACCATGCCCGGCTAATTTTTTTTTTTTGTATTTTTAGTAGAGATGGGGTTTCACCGTGTTAGCCAAGATGGTCTCGATCTCCTGACCTCATGATCGGCCCGCCTTGGCCTCCCAAAGTGCTGGGATTACAGGCGTGAGCCATCGCACCCAGCCTGGCCTAATCCTTTAAAAATGGCTGTCAACCTTCTGTGTGCATAAGAGTCACCAGGCCTAGAAAATTTGTTAAAAAGCAGATTGCTGGGCTCTATCTGGAATTTTTATTCTATTGATATGGTTTAGGGTCCAGTGATCTGAATTTCTAATAAATAAATACAGGCAATCTTTAGACCTTACTCTAGAAAACACTGTTTCAGAGGGTGATCTGGAAGAGAGGCTGGGTTTGAAGAAACAAGAGGGAACCTGAGATTGTCCCCTCCCTCTCTGCCCCTGAGGTCCAAGCCTCTTGATCCCAGGCTCCCAGAAGCAAGGCATTCGGCACTTATTCTCACACAGCCTTTGCTTCTCCTGGTCTCAGATTGCCATGTGGTCTGGTCATCTCTCTGCTCCCTCAAGCTGAGGGGTCCTGATTCACTGCTTCTTGTCACGCCTACTTGGATCAGAGTTTCAGCTATTTAAAAGCCCCTCAGATAGCAGAGGAAAGAAAGATGCAGATAAAGCCTAAGGATGGTGCTCACTTATGAAAATATTCACAATATAGTAAGTGGAACACACAGATTTCAAAATGTCAAGAGTGATCTTAGTTGTGTAAAATCTGTACATCTTATGCATGGGTAGTAAAAATTGGAAGGCTATTCAATGGGAATCCTTCTAGAAGATTCCTCTATTCAACCTGCAGCACAGGGACCAACAACCAGGAGGCCCCGGGAAGACAGGAAACATCACAGTACCAAGCCTGAGGCCTGCCTGCCACATCCTCATTTTCTTACATCCTTTTTCTAGGTTGGAGTCTTTGCAGGATGAGTGACAGCAAAGACAGCCTATCCCCCACCAACAGGGATGAGGTCGAGTCTTAGTGCCACCGCCACTGCATTCTGTTAGTCACTTAGAGCACCATATTATAATAGCAATGGCAAAATGGTCCCGACCATGGCACTCTGCTCCAAGAAGGGCCAGTCCCTTTTCCATTGTCACGCAAGGAGAGGGGCATGTTCTGCCTGCAGTCACTTCATCTCCATTCTACAGTTTTGCAAACTGTGGCTCAAGAAGAAAGTACATGACTATAAAATAAATTAAAATATATAAGCAGAGGTTAGTCTGAATTCATACAGAGAAAAGTCAACAGTCCTGCAAAGAAGCTACAGACTGAAAAGCGCACACCCAAATTATGCTTCCAATTGACCACCCAATTTATTTGTCTGAAACTTTGCACTTGAGTTAATGAGAACTTAGTTTTTCCCCCAAACAGGTATTTGCTTTACTTGGGCACAACTAAAAGGCCCACAATAGAAAAAGGCATGATCTATCATAGACATGCACAAAGGATGGTCTCCCAACTGGTAGCATCAGCACCACCTGGGAATTTGTTAGAAATGCAGGAGCTGGGCATGGTGGCTCATGCCTGTAATCCCAGCACTTTGGGAGCCCGGGGCAGGCAGATCACGAGGTCAGGAGTTCAAGACCAGCCTGGCCAACATAATGAAACCCTGTCTCTACTAAAAATACAAAAAATTAGCCCGGCATGGTGGCAGGTGCCTGTATTCTCAGCTACTCGGGAGGCTGAGGCAGGAGAATCGCTTGAATCTGGGAGGCAGAGGTTGCAGTGAGCCGAGATCACGCCATTGCACCCCAGCCTGGGCAACAAGAGTGAGACTCCGTCTCAAAATAATAATAATAATAAAAATAAAAACATAAATGCAGATTTTCTGACGCACCACAGACAACCCAATGAGAATCTCCAGGGGTGAGGCCCAGCCAGTTGTGGTCCAATAGCCCTCTTGAGATCTATCGGATTCTAAAGTAAGGCACTTTAAAGGGAAGAAACTGCTGTAACTTTCAAATGGTGACTTTTCTACTCTCAGTGCTTCCTGGAATTTAAATCTCTCGAGATTCAGACTTACCCAGGGTCACACTACTACAGTGTGACTAAGTTACGTGTCTTAATTCAAAAGCTTGAAAATTAAAAACAAAAGAGAGAATATAAAATTTGATTTGGTTTACACAAGTATTATAATTATTTATATGACCTGCTCACCATTTTTAAATACCAAAATGCCATACTGCTTAAAATTACAATACTTATATATTTTAAAACATGTATTAGATAAGCTTTGTTCTTCATTTTATTTTGTTACATGAGCATGGCTCTCTCTCTATGACTTTAGAAGATTAGGACATTGTGACCTTATTATCCATCTCCCCACCATGGAAGGATATCTCTGAATGAGATAATCAAAGTGAAGCTGTTTTATGCCTTACCTATCTTTACCTACACACAACTCATCTCAGTAAAAGGATTGCTGTTTGAATCCAGAACAACCCCTCCTGGAACAGACCAGTTGTGCATTCTTTTGCTATGGCATGTGCTATAAGTTGTAATAAGGAGCAAAAAGCACTTCAAAATGAAATGGCCAATACTAGAGAGCAGCAGAGCTGTGCATCACCAGATGCGTGGACAGTTGACATAATGAGCTAACAGCATCACAGCAAATCTTGGTTTTGGGTCACTATGTCTTCCCAGATCACAGAAGTTTGGCAGTTGTAACAAAGCAGTCTATAGACATCAGAATTTGTGTGAACGAGATACAGAGAGAGAAGAAAACTTTAAAATATAAAAAGTGTAATTTATCTAGGGTGACTATAGTTAACTATAATTTATTGTATATTTCAAAATAGCTAGACGAAAAGATTTGGAATGTGTTCAGCACAAAGAAATGATAAATGTTTGAGGTGAGGTGATGGGTTTCCCAATTACCCTTATTTGATCATTACACATTGTTTGCATGTATCAAAATATCACATGCATCCATAAATATCTACTGCTATTATGCATCAACTTTAAAAAGTATAGTTTATGCAACACTTCAGTAACTTACTGTAATTATATAGTTACATAGTATAATTGTTATTGTTATAATAATACACAATAAAAAGTAATTAGGAAATGCCAAGAAGCACCAAATGCCAAATTGAGCAAATGACAAAATTGCATCCAATTCTTTTGCAACATTTTGCATCTGTTTATTTACATCCACAGCAAAATCACTTATGCAAATTGGCCCCTGGTTCCCTATTACTCTGCCTGTGTCCCATTTTTGACACATTTCTGATAGGATTCTTCACTGCTGCCTCATTTTGCTCCTCAACCTGGTTAAGCATTAACTTAGCCTAAAGATACTCCATTCAGTTACAGTCAGCTTACAACGAGCTGCCCTCTGCCCTCCATATGAAATTATTGAATTTCCTTGCAATCAATCCACTTCAACCTCTCTCTCTCTCTCTCTTTCTCTCTTCCTCTCTCTCTCTCTCTCTCTCCCCCTCTCTCTCTGTCTGTCTCTCAATCTCTCTCCCCACTGCCAGACCCCTTATTTTCATTTTCTTCTTTCCTCTATCTCGAAGATTCTCTATAGTTCCTCAGGAAAAGGAGAAAAGGGTTTGGCATAGAGTATATGTGAACAAATTCTAGAAAACTGTAGAGTTCTGAGGCAACTCAAGGGCCCATCTGAGGGACCCTCTGTGTGTCTCTCAACCATCCTTTTCTCTTTGCTACTGAGCCCATAATATGTGCCTGGCTCTTTCCTGAGCTCTTACACTTGTATCATCAGTGTGCCCGGCCTCCCTAGCTAGGGAGTATAAAATATGGTCTCATTTCCTTTGTTACCCAAATTACAATGACTTGGCACCAGACCCCTGACACATACATTTGAACGTGGGTCCCTCAGTGGGT
This sequence comes from Homo sapiens, assembly GCF_000001405.40. NCBI lineage: Eukaryota > Metazoa > Chordata > Mammalia > Primates > Hominidae > Homo > Homo sapiens. The sequence continues at coordinate 96,250,003 of NC_000010.11, read as the reverse complement.
ACCTCACTTACGTAGATAATTCTCCAAAATGCAGCCATACGGCTGTCCCAAAAGAAGTTTCTCCTATCCTTCTACTTCACACTCCAGCCTGTCCTCCCTCCACCCTTCCATGCCAGTGGAACACTCTCTTCCCCAAGGCCCAGCTGAGGCCGGGCTGCAGCTACTACAAGATCTTACTGAAGATTCAGGGACAGCAGAGAGGGATTATGTGGTTGAAAATAGCTAGCGATGGCTCTGGCTATGGCTTTTCTCAGAGCAGAGGCCCAGACCCAGCCTCAGATTCAGGGCTACCACCCCCTGCCATCGCCCAAACCCCCACCACTGAAAATCCCTCAGGTTTGTCTGCGCTCTTCAGCACTCTAGCGCCTAACAGCCATTAGCCCTAGAAGGAGAGAGATCTCCCCAAAATCTGCAGCCTAAGTTCCCATTTTACGTTTGAGCAATCTCCCTTTTCCCAATTCCCTATCCTGTAAATTTCACTCCACTCCCTAAGGGCTAGAGGGCCTGCCCTCAATAGAGCAGACCCAGCAGAGCACCAGCATGGCTGCATTGTTTAGCTTTAAATTAACACTTGGTAGAGGACACCCACAGGCCTGCCCAGGCAGAGTTCTTCTGAGAAGCTGTCCTCTTACCCTCTAAACTGCTCCACTGCTGCACCAAAAAGTAACCCTTCCACCGCACGGGCATTCTAAATTCACAAAGGGCCAAGGAGTATTTCTCCCAGATGTCCTCAACCAACAGTTTCCTAGACCTATGCTAAACTATTTCTATTACCTAACCCAAGGCCTAGCTCCCAGAGTCAGAGAAATCTGCTTTCAGGATTGTGGGGAAATCACCATTTCCTACAAGAACAATAGCTGTGTACAGTTCATTATCTAAAGGGTCCAGTCAAATAGTTTTCTCAGAACAAAGGAAGCATTTACCTGAAAGGTGAATTAAAACGTCCTACTCTTTCAGGGAAGAACCACGTGAAATTTTATTATACATTTTTTAAGTCAGAAAATTATTATGAGGAAAACATAACATGGCCCTATCCTCCCATTATAATATTTTTCTCCATATTTGTGTATAACACAGATAATACAAATGATATCTACACATGCTATAAAAATTCAAATATTTTAAAACATCATAAAGTAATAATCCCCTTTTTAGAAAGTAGAAGTTTCAGGCAACAATATAGATGTATATTCCTCTTTTTTTTAGGGGTCTGTGGCATTCCATTGCATGGATCTATCATAATTTATTTAACTAGTTCCCTTTTAATGATTAATGAGCATTGGGTTGTTTTCAGAGTTATGGTTGTGGGGAGGGCAGAAGAAGCAGGGAGAAGATTAGAGAGTTCTTACACATCACGCTGCAATAAACATGCTTATATGTATATACTGATATCATTTTGTGACCATTTTCATAAGACAAATTCTTAGCAGTCCAATTGCTGGGTCAAAAGTCATGGACGTTTTAAATCTTGACAGATTTGATTGTAACAATTTACTTTCTCAACACTGGATATTATCACACTTGTTATGTTTTGCCAGTCTGATAGGCGAAAAGACATCTCACTGTTGTTTAGATTTAGATTTGTTTAAATATAAGTGATGTTCAATATCTTTTCATTGGTCTATTGACCACTTGTATTTGTTTTCTGTTAGCTGTGTGTTCATATCTTTTGCTCATTTTTCTATTGAACTATTTCTCTTTTTCTTACTGAGTTGTAAGATTTCTTTGTAAATCGAGAAAGGCTGGTGCAAAAATAATCGTAGTTTTTGCCATTACTTCCAGTGGCAAAAACCGTGATTACTTTTGCAGCAAACTAATATGTAGTTCTTATTATTATTACTATATGTTGCAAATATTTCTTTCAGCATGTCATTTATCTTTTGATTTTGTACATATTCTTACCAGTGGAGGGTCTTGATACATATTGTTACCAGTGGAGGGTCTTGACTATGAGTCTTCCAGGTTCTTGGCCTTTTGAACACAGAATTGGACAAAATGCACAAAGTAACAGAAGAATGAAACAATGAAAGCATAGATTTACTGAAATGAAAGTACACTCCACAGAGTAGGAATGGGCTTGACCAAGTGGCTCAAGAGCACTGGTTACAGAATTTTCCTTCTAGGGGTTTCCCATTGGTTACTTGGTTACATCCTATGTAAATGAAGGAGTGGCCCACGACCAGTCTGATTGGTTGCAGAAGGTGATCAATCAGACGCTGAAGTTAAGGTACAAAGTTACACAGGAAGACTTGGCCTGGGACCAGTCTGATTGGTTACAGGAGGGGATCAATCAGAGGCACTTTCCATTTCTCATCTATAACGCAGTGCAAAGGTAGTAGCCTCTGATCCTTTTGTTACTTGTGCATGGAGAGGTGGGGTTTTCCATTTGATTCAGTTCTAGGAAGTCAGTGCAAATTGGCCTTAGGTTCCCTGACTCCAGACCCTATTCTCCTGCCTCAATATTACTTTTTGTTCTACAGAAGTTTCAAATATCAGCCAGATTTAATAGTCATTTTCTTTATGACTCCTAGGTAGGAGTAACTTTTAAATGGAAGTTTTAATAGATGCTACCTACTACCATTTAATAAAAAAGAACCTTGGGCCTGATTGAAGCCTCTGCTATGTCCACAGAGTAGCATCTATCTTCGTAACGTAGATGCTCTAAGACAATGAGCAAGGAATCAGAATATCTTTCTTCACAGCCTGAGACTGGTCCAGACATCCCAACGGAAGGGGACACAGCCCAGTGACCATATTCCTTATAGAATCAGTCATGCTTCTCCTTCGCTAAAGTAGCAGATGGTCAATTTAATTAAATACAATATAATTCATCCTATTTGGAGGTTGTTTTGGTAGAGTTTTTTCCCCTTTTTTGTATTCGAGAAGAGTAGGAGACTTTTTTTAAAAAGTCAGACTGGTTATTAATATCTTATGTTTAATTTTGTTTTTTACAGGCAGCTTCAAAAGATGGTCCATGATATTAAAAACAATGAAGGTGGAATAATGAATAAAATCAAAAAGTAAGTTCGCCTCTATTTAAATACTTAATTATATAAAATAAGTCAACATGTGCTACATGGAAGAAAACAAATTTCTCTGTTACCTGGATGAGAAGTTTCTACCTCTTTAGCACGTAACCCTTCTTTACTATTGGCTGGAATCCATGGTGGCCAGGTCTACATTCTGGAACAGGACAAGTGAGTGCAGTTGTACTCAGTGGACTTTGATTTTCCTTCTCACTGCAGGGAAGGTGAGCTATGCCCATTCAAGGTGCCTAACAAATGTCAAAGCAGGAAAATCATTTCTATAACCATTTAGCTAAGGGCTATGAAAACATGTATGGAGAAATCCAAATGAAAAGTTACAAAACACAGCCCTAGCTTCTTCAAGATGCCATGTGAGTTTTCCTTTTTTTGGGGTTTTGTTTTTGATTTTGTTTTTTTGTTTTTTTGAGATGGAGTTTCGCTCTTGTTGCCCAGGCTGGAGTGCAATGGCACAATATCAGCTCACCGCAACCTCTGCCTCCTGGGTTCAAGCGATTCTCCTGCCTCGGCCCAGCGAATAGCTGGGATTACAGGCACGTGCCAGCATACCTGGCTAATTTTGTATTTTTAGTAGAGACAGGGTTTCTTCATGTTGGTCAGGCTGGTCTTGAACTCCTGACCTCAGGTGATCCGCCCGCCTCAGCCTCCCAAAGTGCTGGGATTACAGACAAGAGCCACTGCGCTCAGCCAGTTTTCCATATTTTGATTTCTGCTTTTCGAATTATTACCTGAAAATGAACTTTTCAATTGGCACTTGGAGAGGGAAAGCCTAGCATCTCAAAACTCCTTGTACATCAAAAACTCTTAAGCTTTTTTTTTTAAAGAGAATAAAAATTGTACATATCTGCATTTGCCACTCAAAATCTAAGGTAGACGTACCTTAGTAGGTCTTATATACCTTAGTAGGTAAGTCTCTTTCAAGAGAAAATGGGAAATGGTATTCTGTTAAGTCTTTAAATTTTTTAAATAAAACTAATACAGATTCACCAGGGAAAAAAAATCAAAGAGGCCAGAATTGTATGATGTCAAAATCTCCCATTTCCTTATATCTCCATCTTAACCCACTCCCCAGAAAGGGACATTGTCATGGTAAGTTCAATGTGTGTATATATATGTATGTATGTGTGTATAAGTATGTATATATGTATGTATGTGTGTGCTTAAACACATACATACATACACTGACATTGTACATACTATACACATACATTTTCGTCATAAATGGTATCATAGTGCATGCGCCATTCTACCAACTTGCTTTGTTGGTTTTACTTAAGCTATTTCATGGACATCTTTATTTGTTAGTAAGTAAAAATTAACCATATTCTTTTCTGAACAGATGATTTAATAGTCTACCTTAAATATATTATAATTCAATTAACTAGCTATATATTGGTGGCCATCTTTAAGGGGGGATTTGAATTTAAACCGGTACAACATTTTTGGATAGCAATTTGATAATAGCAATCAAAATTCTCTGGTTGTTTCTTCCAATTTAAATGTCATGAATAATACTTTAATAAATGTTCATTGCAGACCTTGAATATACCAGTAGGCTAAATTCCTAAAATGAAATTTCCAAATGGAAGAAGTTGTGCCCTTAAAGTTTTAATTGCTATTACCAAATTTTTCTCCCCAAATTTTGGACCAAAAAATAGTTTATAGAAGTTCATTTCTCTATGCATTCAAAAGAGCATCCTTATTCGTTTTAATCTATGCTAAAATTAAAAATAAGAAATCACTTTTGGTGGTATTTCCAGACTATGAAATGTAAATGAGTCTCTATGCATAAGTGATCATCATCAAACATAAATGGCCTTCTGCTTGTGAGGTGGTGGTCATCTTACAGAGGAGGAGAATTTGGCTTCATGTTCTGTCTGATGAGTGGGAGAGGTGTGTGATGATTTTTGCTTATTATTTCTGCTACAGATAGAATCTCATTCTTTATGAGACAGTCCTTGTTACAATCACTAGCAATTCTAATTGCCAGTTTTACAGTTCACCAGTTCTCAATAACATGAAGCCTCTGCATAAAATGTTTCTCTATTCCATGGCCCCCAGTTGCCAGTTTTACAATACACCAGTTCTCAATAACATGAAGCCTCTGCATAAAATGTCTCTCTATTCCATAGCCAGTCATATTTACAGCAGCTGTGGAGCTCAAGTTTTTTATAACAGCCTCTGTTTCATACATTCTGCCCATTGGATGACCAAAGCACTTTTACATGACAAACCATGTTTCTTCTCAGCCTGGAAATTATGGCCACCATAGTCATTACCCCGGGTGACGTCAGGGGCCCTTTAGCTCAAAGTGACTTGCAGTTACACTTTTACTTGAAGCCAGGCCACAGGTGCTACCCTGAACGGAGGAAGCACGCTTGAACACGCTGGTTCCCTAACACAAGACTGTGACAGAGTTTTCACTGGTCTATGGCCGCATGAGAAAATAAGGAGCATGAAGTGTTGGGGGTTGTGCACAGCAGCCAGCTACAGAGCAAAGTTCAACTACGCCTTTTATTCCTAGTGTTGAGTGGCCAACAGTCCTTTAGTGAGTTTTTCCTTTATTCTGAGATTATTTGGGGGTAGTAAAATACCCTTCCTTTTCTTTTATGAAATGATAGTAATAATGGATAACAGGTGGTTTGTGCTTTTGGAAATTTTACTATTCCTTGAACCAACCTGGGCACCAGACCCAGTTTTGTTTTTGTTTTTCTTCCTTGCAACACCTTGGATGATCTCTGTCTCTATACCTCATCATGGGACTAATGATAGTATCTTCCCAGCCCACCCTGCTGGCTTGTGAGGAGAATTGAATGAAATAATAGATATTGAGAGCCTATGAGAAAAAGAAAACCAGAATTTCTATGTAAATATACATATTGTTATTTTTGCAAATTACAATTTTGGTTTGTAAATTGTTTTTGTGTGCATTTTTTAATCAAACACAAATTTCTATGCTTTTTTTTTCAAAACATGAAAGTTTGTATATAATAGCAGTTATACTGCTTCTATAGAAGGATATGATATTTTAGTAAATAAAGGCTACTGGATATAAGTTTTATTTATGTATATTTTAAATTTCATTAAGCAAATAATTCTTAGTTAAAATGGGTAATAATTATTAAAAATAATTGACTATAAACCTTACTCATTTCAAGTAGTGGAAAGGGAGGTATCAGAACTTACAAAACTTGGAATAGTTTTCTAAAATGTAATTTCAATTTTCTTCTTTTATTGAATGAAGAAGGATTGTGACTAGCACATTTCATATGTGCATAAAGGTACTAAAGCACCTTTACTTTAGTAAAGTTTTGAGAGTGCTTAAAACAAGTTGAATACTAAATATGCTAAGTCTCATAATCTCCAATCCTGAGACACTCACTGTTCACTTGTTCGGCTTTTTTTCCTTTTTAAAGACAGTGTCTCGCTCTGTCGCCCAAGCTGGAGTACAGGGGCGTGATCATGGCTCACTGCAGCTTTGACCTCTGGGGCCCAAGTGATCCTCCCACCTTAGCCCCTCAAGTAGCTGGGACCACAGGTGCATGCCACCATGGCTGGCTCATTTTGTTTATTTTTTTGTAGAGATGGAGTCTCACTATGTTACCCAGGCTGGTTTTGAACTCCTAGGCACAAGTGATCCTCCTGCCTTGGCCTCCCAAAGTGCTGGGATTACAGAAATGAGCCAGTGTGTCTGGCTTATTTGCGTTTTTAAAATGGTGCAAACATAATTTTAGCCCAACCTACAACCAAAACGCTTATTGTAGCTGATTTTTTCCTGTTAAACATTTGTAAGTCATTAAAATATAGTCCATCTTATCTTACCTTCTTATCAACACTTACCTTACCAACCAATCAACATTTATCTTCCTTGAACCTCTGAACTCAGTGCTTATTACTATCATATTCTGACCTCTCTGAGCCCTTCTCCACCTGACTTCACCTTTGCCAAGTCATAGCCACATTGTGCATGCACTGGGGAGATGGGGAGAGGTGGAAAACCCCTGACTAATGGCTTCACTACATTTACAATACATCAAATCTGTCCATTGATTGGTCCAAGAGAAGCCATTATGCTATTAGTTGTCTATCTATTCTGTCTATATCAGCTTCTAGCATCGGCTTTGACCATCATTGTTCTGCTCACTGACCTTTTGTCTCATGGTTGTTATTTCCAGGCTAAAAGTCAAAGCACCTCCAAGTGTTCCTCGAAGGGACTACGCTTCAGGTAAGGTATTTCTCAGATACTTTAACTGACTCTTGACTAATTTAATGTTCATATTTACATTTAGGCTTATGGAAAGGGAAATACGCTATCCTCATTTGAAAACAAAAGGTATCTTTTCTAATTTCAAGAATGACTAAATCTATTAGGCATTTTGACTACAGTGGAGATGTAGTTTTTTTATCCATCCATCCACCCACCTATTTATTGGTCACTTATTAAACATCTTCCATGTGCCAGGCACACACAGATCTGAGGCAGGAATACAGTGCTAAAAGTTAAAGATAGACTATACATTTGAGGAATTTATAGTCCAGAAGGGAAGATAGATTATTGTATTAGTCTGTTTTCACACTGCTGATAAAGATATACCTGAGACTGGGTAATTTATAAAGAAAAAGAGGTTTAATGGACTCACAGTTCCACATGGCTGGGGGGACCTCACAATCATAGTGGAAGGCAAAAGGCATGTCTTACATGGCGGCAGGCAAGGTAGAATGCGAGCCAAGAGAAAGGGGAAACCCTGGATAAAATCATCAGATTTTGTGAGACTTATTCACTGCCACCAGAACGGTACGGGGGAAACTGCACTCATGATTCAATTATCTCCTACAAGGTCCCTCCCACAGCATGTGGGAATTATGGGAGCTACAATGCAAGATGAGATTTGGGGGGGTACACAGAAAAACCATATCAATTATGTTAAAAGTAATTATAGGCCCAGGTGCAGTGGCTCACACCTGCAATCCTAGCATTTTGGGAGGCTGAGGAAGGCAGATTGCTTGAGCCCAGGAGTTTGAGATCAGCCTGGGCAACATGGCAAAACCCTGTCTCTACAAAAAATGCAAATTATCCAGGTGTGGTGGCATGCACCTGTAGTCCCAGCTACTCAGGAGGCTGAGGTGGGAGGATCACTGAGGTCAAGGCTGCAGTGAGATGTGATCATGCTACTGCAATCCAGCCAGGGCAACAGAGTGAGACCCTGTCTCAAAAAAAAAAAAAAGAAAGAAAAGAAAAGTAATTACAATTCAGTGATAGGGGAAGCACAAAGTTGGGTGGAATTCCACAGCAGCACTAATGAATCTAATCTGTGGCTGGGAGTGTGGGGTAAGTGGGGAAGAGACTACTTCCTCCATCAAAAGCTGTTTAAATTGATATTTGAGGATTGTTGAAGGGGTGGGGGTAATAAATTATTGCTGGCACATTGCTGACTCTCAGTCCTCTCCAAGTTTAGCCTGCAACCTCATTCCAACTAGGATCAACTTTGGCAGGAAAGAAGGGTTAGTTTTGAGATTTGTAGTGTTTCTGGCAGTGGTGAGCCAAGTGAAATATTCAATACACATTTCTTTATTAGAACAAATACGTTGGAAGATAGTTTTAAAATCTCTTTCTATAGCATTAATTATAAAGATTTCCTGAATATCCCTCAGTGAAAACCACAGAGCTACAGACATCATTGATGATTCTCAACAGGGCAACAGCCTAAAACCAAACCATAACCTTAAATGATGCTTACTATTTTATTTTATTTTTTCGGCCACTGATCAAGATAGCAATAAGTCAGATAGTGCAGTTCCTCCTAAGGGAATCTTATCACACTGAGAAATGCTGACCAACCTGCCCAAGTCTGGTTACAGGCCTGTTGGACCACTCACTAATTCACAGAGTAGTTATTGGCATCACCCTGCCAATCAGTCAGCAAGTTTAGACAGTTGGTCAGGGGATGCCAGTACAGTCTGGCACTAAAAGAGGGACCCTGTTCTGGGCTTTAATATCTACCTAATCAATAAGTCAAGGAAGCTTCCTAGTTATATGAGAACAAACACATTCTTCCTTCCAAGTTCTAAATAAAGAAAAGAAACCAAAGCAGACTCAACCTGTTAAAGAACTAAATAAGTTTGATGGACAAATTATAAAATCATGGAGTCTTGGGTTTAAAAGGAACCCCAGAGGTCGTGTAGACCAATATCTGATCCAGGGCTTAACCCCTATCCCACCACCATTCACCTCCACACACAAGGCCCAGCTTCTGCTTGGACACTTTCTGTGATGGTTTCCCATGGTCTAGCAAGGGACAGGCAGCCCTGGCTGGATATAGATACAATCAATTTCCTTGTGACTTCCTATGTCTATCCTGATGGCCACACAGTTCAAGCCTTTAAATATGAAGAAAAGTAGAGCCAGGCACAGGGGCTCACACCTGTTATCCCAGCACTTTGGGAGGCCAAGATGGGAGGATTGCTTGAGGCCAGGAGTTTAAGACCAGCTTGGTCAATATAGCGAGATCCCATCTCTTAAAATATAAGAAAAAAATATTAAGAAAAATAAAAATAGAGTTGTCCTGTGCAACTTCAAAGGAGAGAATTAAGAAGTTAGGCCATCTGAGTGGTTTCTTCTCTGGGATAAACATCTCCAGGTGCTTCAGCTGTTTCGCACATTTTCTGATTCATTCAACACGTGTTTCATGAGTGTGTCCTGTGTGACTGTCACTGTGCTAGATCTGGAGTGGGGAACAACATACAACCCCTGACCTTACAGTGCTGAATGACTAGTGGGGAGTCAGATAAGAAACAAGAAAGCAAACAGGTAAATATAAATTAGCAAACATGGTACCTGCTGTGAGGGAAGATGGAAGAGTGCAATGGTGGGGAATCAGTGTGGGGTAGGAGAAGAGCTTAGGTGGTGTGGGAAGATCTGTCTGAGAAGGTGACATTTAATTTGAGGATTCGGGGACAAATGTGCAGGAATATTTGCCACTTTTAGATGAACCAACAGCATCAGAGATGCTGGACACAGATTCCAGGAGTTCAGAGTCAATTGTTGGAAACCTAAGTGGACTGACATATCTGATTTCAGGGTGGACCTCCCTCCTGATTGTCCCCTCACACTCACCTGTCTGCCTGCTGATCCACCCACCCAGGCCCTCTCCTTTCCCTCTATTTCTGCGTGGGGAAAAGGGAGGTAGCATCCATCTATTATTCATCCTTTTGCCTAACCCACACACTTGGGATCAACCTTGATGCCTCCTTTTCCCTCACCTTCTACAAAAATTAATCTCCAAATCTCATTGATTTGCTCTTAAATGCCTCTTAAATATTTTTTCCCTCTCTATTCCCATTGCTACAGCTAAGGCCTTCATCATCTCTTGCTTGTCCTAGGGTAGAAGGCTCTAAGTAATCTGCTTAATTCCTGATTGCATGTGGTCCTCTCAACTTCCACCAGAAAATTGTTCTGAAATAAAATTCTCTTTAAATCTTTTCATGGCTCTACATTGCTAACAAGAGGAACTGCAAACCACTGAGCCCACATACAAGGTCTTTCAGCTTAGCCACTAACTGGCTGTGTAATCTTGGGCATCTCATGCTCCTTTCCTCATCTATATTATGCAGGCCTGAACTAGAAGATCTGTCAGGTCCCCTCTAATACTAATTATTCTGCACTCCTGCAGAAACACAGATCTCTGGGGCTCAGGGCCCAGTGATAAAGTGAGCCTCTCCTAACATTCCCTGGCTTTAGGCATTCACATCTTCCAATATCCCTGATGCTCTGAAGTGTTCTCTTTTTTGTCCTCAGACACCTGCTCCCTTTCCTGGAACCCTTCCAAATAGTCTTGATGTCAGAACATTTAATCTCTCCTGGAATGCAGAAGTGTGGCCCAACAGGATCTTCTAAGCCTTTGCAACACAAAGTTTGATTCCCAGCAAGATAGCATCAACCTCATCTGGAGCTTGTTAGAAATGCAGAATCTTGGCCCCACCCTAGAACTACTGGATCAGAATTTACATTTTAGCAAGATCTCCAGGGGATCTGAATGTAAATCATATTTAAGAAACCCTGCTATAAACCACCATCTCTGTCCCTATTGCCTTTCCTGAACTGAAAGACACGTAGATTTTATTCCCTCAATCCCTGACCCCTGCAAATCCATTGATGTTCCAGGGTCTCGGAAATGCATCTTATTGCTTTGCCAGATGACTGGGGCCTTGCCCAGTTTCCCCTGCTCTTACACTCAATCCCCGGAAATGGTCCAAAACCACCATCACCACCTGCAGTTAGCATCCTCCCTTGCCGTTCTCTCCCCCACCCCAGTTCACATCCCAGGAGCATTTCCAGCTGCTTCCCCTGAGCCTTGAGGTTTCTGCACAGCTGCACGTCCAGGGCCTCAGAAATCAGCCCTGAGAGCTCCTCCTGAACCTGGGGAGTCTTTAGGATCTTGGAAACTGTAGTGTGTGGAGGCCAGAGCCCACCAGACCTCCTGAGCCTGGGAGGCCAATCACGTGCCCTGTGGAGCACTTGATCCACCAAAGGCTCCTGAAATGCTCCAGCCATTTTCCCCCCACACATTGGATTTATGTCCTCTTTCCAGTTCTGGAAACAAATGGCTTCCCAAAACCCTCTAAGCCAAGAGTGTGTTGACCTTGGTGATGCTGACCTTCAGAGAGCAGAGGATAGAAAGGACCAGCAACTGCCCCACAGGAGGTCAGTAAAAGAGTCACCATACCCTCTTCCCTAGTTAGAGTACAGAAGGACAAAGCTTGAATTACACAAAGAATGGAGAGCTGGGTCTCCTCCAGGGATGCAGGTCAGGCCAGTGTGGAGCCTGCTGCCTTCAGTTCAGACCCAGCAATCCCAGTTCAGTCTTTCCCTGAGGAGGAAACATCGCCCCTAAGGAACTGCTGGCCCACTGGGCAGAATGCATTGCCCCAAGCAGCTGGCATTGCTGTGGGAAGGGAAGATATCCAAAATCTGTTGAGTATTGACTCTGTTCTGGGCATTAAGCTAAGCTCTTCACAGACATATCTCATTTAATCTTCTCATTAGCACCGTTATATAGAAATTACGATCTCGGTTTTGCAGATGAGGAAAATGTGTCTCAAGGACATTAAGTATCCTGTCCAAGGTGACTGCAGCCACTAAGAGGAAAACCCATCCCAGACTCCCATTTTGCAGCTCCTTGCTTTGACCCAAGCTCAAGTGTTCATGCTTTTGGGGGAACTTTTTTCTTATTCTGAAGGCACTAGAGCTCCTGACATTAATGCAAGAACTCGCTTCCCAGTTCCTGAGCTTTCACAGTTGAACAGCCTTCGGTATCTTTGAAGTCTGAGGTCTGGCTGGGGATGGAGGTCAGGGAGAGACCAGTCATGGTGCCCGAGAGTCTGCTGGGATCACTGCAGATGCCCCATTGGTTACCCCACAAGTCCTTGAGGAGTCAGAACTGAACAGAGCCCCTCTCTTGCACTCTTGGGCTCTGATGTCCAGGGCTCTGATGGGGTGGCATCCCTGGGAGGTCCACGTGTGACTCCTCTGGCTCTGCTATCATGCAGGGAGGAGATCAGAGCAAATATAGGGTGGAGGGGTGGCAAACTCACTTACATGGAAAAAAATAAAAATCCAGAGCAAAGAAGGCACTTGGACAGGGATTCTTGGGTAAATGCCCACACAGAAGTATGGGGTATGCATAACAATCCTTTGTCCACTAAAGAAGTGAGATTTAACATTGCTTTTGTCATGGGCCTGGTGCTCCTAGTGGAGCCAGCATTTACCTGGTTTTCTGTCTCCCTGTCCATATTCCCCTGGAGGTACTGGTCTTACGCTGACATGGGAGAGCTATATCCAACATCAGTCCTGCCATAGGGAACTAAGAATAGAGGAATGACACTTGGGCTCAAAGGTATTTTAAAGCTTAGAAATTCCTGAAGGATTGCCCAACCCAAGCTTCTCATTTTAGGAATAACTGGAGACCAGAGAGGCAAAGTGACTCCTGAGGTCATGCAGTGAGGTGATGGCTGAGCCAGGACTATGTCCCCCATTGCTGTACCCCCACCCCTCTGTTAATGATCCTGTGAAGGGATGAGTAGACATACAGACAAAGGGAGTTTCTACGATGATAAGTATTTCTTTTTTCTTTTTTTGAGACGGGGTCTCGCCCTGTCACCCAGGCTGGGGTCCAGGGGTACAATCATGGCTCACTGCAGCCTCAACCTCCTGGGCTCAAGTGATCCTCCTGCTTCAGCCTCCTGAGTAGCTGGGACCACAGGCATGTGCCACCATGCCTGGCTAATTTTCTAAAATCTTTTTTGTAGAGACAATGTCTCACTATGTTGTCCAGGGTGTTCTCAAATTCCCGGCCTCCAGTGATCCTCCTGCCCTGGCCTCCCAAAGTGCTGGGATTACAGGTGTGAGCCCACCATGCCTGGCCTAAGATGTTAAGTATTTAGACTCAGAACACCTCTCTCAGCCAGCCTGAATCTGGGTCTTGTCCTCAGTTCCCCACATTAAATCATGTCCCTTTCTCCTCTTAGGGCGGCACTGGTGGGACTGGCCACCCACCGCCTCCCCTGCAGCCTCTGTAGTTCTGCTTTCTGTTCCTTTTCGGTGTCTGTCCCCACCACCACAACTGGCCCACCCTCCCTCTTTCCTTCCTTCTGTGTCCTGCTGCGGTCTTCCCACTGGCTCCCTGCATGCCACCACCTGCTCTGTTGGGGGAGAGATGGGCAGGGTCTGGCGGCCGGGTAGCCTCCAGAGCAGGATCAGGGCTGCAGCTGAGGCAGAATGTCAGACATGCTGTGATGCCACCAGCATCTGCCCCAGGGGCTCTGGTGCTCCTATTGACTCAGAACTGAGAGGCTGGATTCATACTCCCTTTGCCCCAGCCACCACCACAGAGTCCTGTACTGTCCTTCCAGCCATCCCTTCCCATTCCCAGACCCCCTGGTCTGGATCAGCTTTCGTCTTTCCATGCCTGAGTTCCTAAACACCAACCTCATCAGCTCCCCATCTCAGCTTGTCACTGGAGCCTGCGGTGTCCACTATGGCTGGAGCCCCCACTGGCCGGCAGCACATCAGATTTGTGTGAGCGCTCAGCAGAATCTCCTGTCCCTCTCCAGCCCAGCGCATTCATTCTGCACACATCTGCCTCTAAGCCCTGCTTCTGGGGCTGACACATAAGCCCCTCTCTCAGATGATGGAGGAAGACACACTCCTTCATCCTTATTCTCTCACCCAAATCCTGCTCATCCTTCAAGGCCCCATTCGGCCCCACCTCGGGCACATGGCCTCATGCAAGTTTTTGGCTGTCACTGGGCACACCTTTCTCTGAACTTTCCCCGCTCCTGGCAATGATTCCAGGTGTGGGGACATTTCTCAGAAAACTACATGGCCCTGAGTTTTCCCAGTCTCATGTGGTCATTCTTCTGGCCCTTAGTCTTTATTTGTATTATGAAGTGTGGCTTGGTGAGAAGACCTTGGACTCTGAGGTCCTTTAGGCCTGGGTTGGAATCCTGGCTTTGCTCCCTAAGCACTGTGTGAACTTGGAACAGTTTTGTAATTTGAGTGAGCCTCCAATTTCTGACCTGGGGATAAGAATACCTATCCTTTAGATTGTTCTGAGAATTGCAGAGACTGTAAATTCATTGTAATAGCTAACATTCATTGAGCCCTTTACTCTATGTCAGATACTCTTCTAAGCACGATTAATAATGTCCATTTTAGCAAAGGGGAAGCTGAGGCCCAGAGGTGAAGCAATTCAGCTAAGATCTCACTCCTAGAAAATGGCAGAATAAGGATTCTAAGTTAGGCAGTCTGACCCCAGAGCTTAAGCCCAAATGTGGGCCGCTGTGGCCATTCTCACATCTCCTTGTGTCTGGTGCTGTGCCCACAGGCTGGGGAGGGCTACATGAATCTTAAAACCTGGGTCAGGCAAAGGGAGGAGTCCCTCTATTGTGTGGCATGGGATTATGACATGGTAAATGGAGCATAAGCCCCAAACCAGGTAAACCACACCATAGGAAAGGCTTTAACTGACAAGAGGGCCCGCCCAGGATCTCAGCTTCCTGGCAGAGACCATGGAATCACACAAACAAAATCAATCCACCTGGCCCACATGAAGCTTGAACTTCTCCCCCAAATTTTACTCACTACAATAGAGGCTTTCTTGGATCCATGCCTTTGTGGTAGCCATAGTGTGTGATTGACGTGGGAGTAAATTAGAATCAGTGGTGTTTTGAGTGTTAATTGAGGCATTCTTTGCAATGCTCAAGATGACGGTAACATTACTAAAGCATTACTGTGTGCCAGGCTTTGCTAAGAGCTTCAGATGTATTTTATTATTTGATTCTCACAAAAATATGATACAGGCACTGTTCTTATCCTTGCTTTACGGGTGAGGAAATGAAGCTTTAAACAATATTAAATTATTGGTCCAAGACCAAGCAGCTTGTAAAGGTCAGAGCCAGGATTTGAACCTAGAAAGCCTGGCTCTAAACTACCACCTGTGCACTTTGGGAAGCTCCCTGAGATACTGGAAAACTGACTACTGTTTTGGACCTAATACCTCGGACTCCCATGCTTTTTAGTCTTGGCAATTGCCTGCAAGACTGTAACTTTATGAATATGATGCTGTGAGTTGCACTTGGGACCTGAAGTAGATAGTCTAGCTAGGAATCGATGGGGCACCAACAAACAACCTCTATCCCATACTGTATGATGCTTTTCTCTCTTTTCTGTCTCCATGTGCCAAGATGTCTGGATTGGGTCATTCTCGTTTCACCAAGGTTTTATCTAAGTGCTCAGCAGAGGGCTAAGTGGCTCAGATGAGATTTCAGCTGCAGGAGCCAACACAGCCTGGCTTCCAACCCAGCTCCCAAACTCACTAGCCAAGTAGCCTCAGGCAGGTTTTACAACCTCTTTCAAAACCAAGTTTCTCCACTGTAAAATAGAGATAAAAATAACACCTACCACATAGTGCTGTTATAAGAATACACTTTTATAACACTTAGCCTGGCACCCAGCACATAGGAAGTGTTCAGTAAATGGAATCTATTGTTGCTATCCTAATGTTCCTTTGTTTGAGTCATTTATTAGTTCACACATTTATTAATACATTAATTACAAATGCAAAATTCTGTCCAGATGCAAAGATAAATTAGATAGGCCTTATTTTCAGTACAGAGAGACATGAACAACTTAATCACAGCACAGGACAGAACGAAGTACATGTGACATCACGGTGCCACCAGCTTCCAAGAGGGCCCAGAAAAAGAAGTGATTGATTATGACAAGAGACTGTGGTAGACTTTGTGGAGGAGGAGTGATAGGGATTTCCATGGAAGAAAGAAGATGGGCTGCAGGAACGGCACGAGCAGAGCAGAGAATCAGCAAAGTGCACAACGGGAGGAGGAAGCTGTCTGGTGTTACTGTTAGTGAGCGTGGGAGCCTGCCGCAAGAAGTCGGTGGTGGGACAGAAGGCAGAGGCATTGGAATGTGTTGCCACAGAACCTCTACTTGATTCCATAGGGAGTCACTGATGACTCTTAAGGAAAGGAACAGCATAATCCAAACTTTATTTTAATAAAATAACTACAAACGGTAGGATGGATGGATTGGAGAAGAAAGATAATGGAGACAGGGACACTAGTTAGATGGCTAATGCACTACTTTCACCAGTGACTGATCATAAAATAGGCCCCCACTCACTGAGAAAGGGTGGAGCAAATGCAGTTATCCAGGCAGGGAAGTGGGTTTCATAAAGGCATTTTATAAGGGTTTCTATTTAAATGGTTGTTACAAAAACTCTTGCCATCTTAAGTGTTGATCTTCAGTGATCCCCAGACTTAAGGTATTAGAAACACATTGACCAGATGCAGTGGCTTATGCCTGTAATCCCAGCACTTTTGAAGGCAGAGGCAGGTGAGTCATTTGAACCCAGGAGTTCAAGACCAGCCTGGGCAACATGGCAAAACCCCATCTCTACAAAAAATACAAAAGTTAGCTGGGCATGGTGGCACGTGCCAGTTACTCAGGAGGCTGAGGTAGCAGGATCGCTTGCACCAAGGAGGTTGAGGCTGCAGTAAGCCATGATTGTGCCACTGCACTCCCACCTGGGCAACACAGTGAGACTCTGTCTCAAAAAAAAAAAAAAAGACTAGAAAAGAAAAAGAAACATACTCCCCCATTGTGCCAGGTAATCATATTGGGAAGAGGATTTATTCACCCAATCTTCTAGAGTTTCTTGGCCAACCCCAGTGATTGCAGTACACTCTAATTCAGCATTAGTCAACCCAAAGAATAATGTAAGAATTCTTTTCTGTTCACGTCAAAGTGTGACCCATGTTTGGCTTGTAGAGTGAGGCTCTTTCTTAGCACCTATCATGTTTTTCCCAAAAGAGGGTGCTGCTGCCGCCATTGCTTAAAATGTGGCCACTCCGATCCCACAGTATCCTTCCTGACCCCATTTCACCTCTGCAATTCCTTGCTGGTGCCTCTGGAGACCCCAAATGTTTGACTCTCTGGAGTCCGGTGGTCTGCTGTGGCAGGGGTAGAAATAGCAAAAACATAAAAATAAAACTAGAAAATGTTCTGTTGAGGTTCTGGGAAATTTAGGAACATCCACTGGGTCCTCTGTGGCAGTGGCTACTCAGCGGGGAATAGCAAAAACATAAAAATAAAACTAGAAAAGGTTCTGTTGAGGTTCTGGGAAATTTAGGAACATCCACTGGATCCTCTGTGGCAGTGGCTGCTCAGCGGGGCAGGAGGGAGCTGGGACCCTCTGTGGTGCTGTCATGGAGCCACTCTGCCACATGGGCCTGTGTCTGCTTGATTCCTACACAGCAGAGTGAATCCCATTTAACCTCTAAGGTCAGTTTATGTGATAGGCTAGATGCTAAGTTTCTCATACTCTAAATGTGTTTTGGAGGGAAAGGGGTCAAATATTCGCCTGGGCTGTCATAATTCAGACTTATTTTATTCTACAAGCTCATAAACTACTTAAGGGCCACAACCTGTCATATCCATTTTTCTATGCCCATGCAGAGCCCAGGACGGCACCTCCTGCCCCTGGAGCGAGGCAGCACCATGTGGGGGCTCAGCGCATGCCCGTGGAAGGCAACCTGTAGGGTTCAACTCCTGGCTCTGCCATTTATTACACTATCTGACCTTGGGCATGTGACTTATCTGCTCTAGGCCTCAGTTTCCTCACAAGGTTTAGGTGATTTTTTTTTTTTTTTTTTTTTTTGAGACAGGGTCTTACTCTGTCATCCCAGCTAGAGTGCAATGGCACAATCACAGCTCACTGCAGCCTCGACCCCCTGGGCTCAAGCAATCCTCCCATCTCAGCCTGCTAAGTAGCTGGAACTACAGATATGGACCACCACACCCAGCTAATTATTTTATTTTTTGTAGAGATGGGGCCTTGCCATGTTGTCCAGACTGGTCTTGAACTCCTGGGCTCAAGCAACCCTCCTGCCTTGGCCTCTCAAAGTGCTGGGACTACAGTGCTGGGATTACAGGCATAAGCCCCAACGCCCAGCCCCTCACAGCGTCTTTGAGAGGGCTAAAAGACGGCAAAGCTCTGATAATATTGCCTGGCACATACTAAGACATTGGATAATTTTTTTTTAACAAGAAAAGTCAAAGTTAGAGCCAGAGATGATCACAGAAATGATCCCCTCATTGTATAGATCTGGAAACCGAGGCTCAGAGATGTTAGAGGTCTTGCCCACACTCCAACGCATTCGGAACAGAGCCTGGATAAGAACTTAGGTCTGTCTGATTCCCTGTCCTGTGCTGTTCCTACTACGCCATCCTCTGAAGTCCTTAGAAGCCACATAGTATGAATTGTAGGTCTCTACTGGGGGACCCAGAAATGTCCCTTAACAAAGCCCACACATGGATCAGACGCACATTGCTCTGCCCAGTGGGACTTCTCTCTATGCTTTGAGAATTAATATTTTTTAAAAAGTCAAAAGCAAGTGAACATATGATTGTAGTAACTAACCCAAGGTCAAGTATATGGCACCAGAAAGCCCAAAGGGAAGGGAAGGCAGGTGCGAAATGTGTGTGGATGGGCTGGGGCTGGCCAGCTGAGGCTCACACTTGTGCCTTCTGCTTCTCCCCTGCTGTTGCAGAGAGCCCTGCTGACGAAGAGGAGCAGTGGTCCGATGACTTTGTAAGTATTTGCTCCTGGGACCAGGAGGGCATCAGGGTCCCATGGGAGGCCTTTTGAAGATCTTATTTCTGAATTACATGCTGGTGGTCAGCCGCACGTCCCAAGAGGGAAGACTTGGAAAGGTCACCTACAGGCAAGGCATACTGCATACCAGCTGACTTGACTGGCACTCAGTGTGCGCCTGGCTAAGAGCTTTCCACACATAACCTCATTTAAACCTTTGAGGTAGGTGTTCTTATGCCCAACTTCAGTGCTGGTGTTCAGAGTACTCACCAGCACATCCAAAACAGGTGTAAAAATGTTTAAATGTTTCCATATCAGTTAGCAAATGCCTCTGCCCTAAACTCCCCAGTGCCCATCACTGCCTGACCCCTGCCCAGGAGCCCTAAACGAACCAACAACTAAAGAATAAGTGTCTGGCACATCAGGGGGCCTCCAGGACCAAGGTCTAGAAAGTTTCAGTCACTTGCAGTTCCACAATTCAGACCCAGGCCCTCAGATCTCAGGACCAGGCTCTTTGCCACCAAGGTGCTTGCTGTGATCAAGAGAACATTAGCAGAGCTCCGGAGCCACAGAGAGAGGGACCTGGCCATGATGACACTGGGGATGTTGTATCAGAATTATCTCTTTGAGGTAGCTCTGAAATGTGCAAGGCCTGACATCCTAAAAACTTTTCTTCACAATAATTATTCCTCACTTATATCAAATTCATCCAGAATGTTAGCCTGCTCCAACCTGTGAGTTTTAGATCTGGAAGGGATCCAAGAAGCCTTCCATACAACCACATACCCATTTCACAGATAAGAAAACTGAGGCCAAGAGAATGAAAATCACCCAGTTCAGTGGAATGAGAACCCAGGACTCAGACCTCCAGTCCTGTGCCCAGCCCTGGGCTGTGCACACTACCTGGAGTTTATACAGAGTCTCAGAAGACAGGAGTTCCTCCTTCTTCAACTGCAGAAAAAGAAAAGAAAAATGAGGGGAAGGGGTGACTTTTCTGCCCATCTCTTGGTCATGGAGCTCCTCCTGGGGCCCAGCAGCCGCAGCTCCCTGAGATGCACTGCAGCTGCGCCCCCTGCTGGCTGCGCACGCGCGTGCACACACGAACACACACACACACACACACACACACACACACAGCCACATGTAAAGCAAAGAAATTGCTTGGTCCACATGCAGAGGTAAGAGAAGAAAACTGAGCAAGCTGGCTGGATGAAAAAGAGCACACAAGGGAACTTAGAAAGCACAAAATAAAATCAGCCTGGAGAGGAAGGAATTACTTGCCCCAAAATCAGACAACCAAAATGAAGATACCAGCTGTACTAAAGACTGAGTAAGCATTCACTCACAGCTCTTTTGACTTCAGTAGATGGATCCCCACTGCACGCAGAATGAAATCCAGGCTTGTTAATAAAGCCTCCAGAATTTCTTGATTTTAAACAAAAATCCTGCTATATGTTCTCATTCATTTGTAGGAGCTAAAAATTAAAACACTTGAACTCATAAAGACGGACAGTAGAATGATGTTTACCAGAGGCTGGGAAGGGTGGTCGAGGGGGCAGCAGGTGGGGGGAGGGAAACAGGGACAGTTAATGGGTGCAAAAATATAGTTAGGATGAATAAGACCTAGTGTTTGACAACAGGGTAACTACAGTCAACAATAATTTATTGTGCATTTAAAAATAACTAAAAGAATATAATTGGAATGTTTATAACACACACAAAAAATGAATGCTTGAGTGATGGATACCCCATTTACCCAGATGTTATTACTACACGTTGTATGCCTGTTTCAAAATATCTCATATACCCCATATATATATATACCTACTATGTACCCCTACAATTCTTTTTTTTTAAAGACCAACAGGAAAAAAAATCCTGCTATATAAAATTGCTTATGAAAGGCGACAGGCCAAAGAGCAAGTGGAAAGTCATGTACAGATCATGCAATGTGATAGGCAGAGTGTGAGGGCGGTGGACACAGAGGCCAGAGGACCTCTTATGTCCTGAGTCAAATATTTCCTCCACATGAATATATGTACAAACGGTATATACATAAACTACCTCTGAAAAACATGCACAAGAAACCTAGTGACTCTTTCTGCCTCTGCGGTGAGAAGCAGAGAGGCTGAGAAGGAGACTGCACTTTATATCCTTCTAAGCCATTTGGACTTCAGACCGTGACAATGTATTTTCAGTGTGGACTTAAATGAAATGTGGATTTTAAAAAAACAGGCCAGGCGCAGTGGCTCATGCCTGTAATCTCAGCGCTTTGGGAGGCCGAGGCTGGCAGATCACCTGAGGTCAGGAGTTTGAGACCAGCCTGGCCAACATGGTGAAACCCCAGCTTTACTAAAAATACAAAAATTAGCTGGGCGTGGTGGTGCAATTTGTAATCCCAGCTACTCCAGAGACTGAGACAGGAGAATAACTTGAACCCAGGAAGTAGAGGTTGCAGTGAGCTGAGATCCTGCCACTGCACTCTAGCCTGGGCGACAAAGCAAGACTCGGTTTCAAAAAAAAATTAGCCAGGCACGGTGGTGCATGCCTGTAATCCCAGCTACTTGGGAGACTAGGGCAGGAGAATCGCTGGAACCCAGGAGGCAGAGGCTGCAGTGAGCTGAGATTGCGCCACTGCACTCCAGTCTGGGCAACAGAGTGAGACTCCATCTCAAAAACAGGAAAAAAAAAAAAAGAAAAAAAAGAGAGCAAACCCTGAGTCCATTTGAAGCCTTGACCCTGCAGCTTACCAATTCTGCTTGAAATTTTTAAAAAATCTCATCTGAAAGATATCTAGCTGGCCCTGTGTGTCTCCTCACCCTCTTCGTATTAAACCTATTTTCTCTTCAGTGATCAGCATTCATAATAGATAAAACCCATTGGTTATTCTATTTTATTGGGCCATTTTCCTATCTTTTAAAAATATGTTTTATTATCTCCTCTTGTTATTTGTTGTGGATCTACAGAGTGTCAGCTCCCATTAGCGTTAAGTAGTTCCTGTGTCCCCCAAGGACAGTGCAGTGGTGGAGACGATAAACTTTGGAGGCAGAAAGGCCTGCTTCAAACCCCAGCTTTGCCTCTTATCGGCTGCCTAGCCTTTTGAAGTCAACCTCTCCAAGCCTTGTCTCCTGTCACTGCTCTGGCCTCCCAAGGCAGGAATGGTCCTGACGGCCAGGCAGCACAGACGGGGATGCTGAGCACAGTGTCTGCATCTGCACTTGCAGGACAGCGACTATGAAAATCCAGATGAGCACTCGGACTCAGAGATGTACGTGATGCCCGCCGAGGAGAACGCTGATGACAGCTACGAGCCGCCTCCAGTAGAGCAGGAAACCAGGCCGGTTCACCCAGCCCTGCCCTTCGCCAGAGGCGAGTATATAGGTGAGGTCCCCCGCAGACCTGGGCACTCGGCCTTCCAGGCCCATGGGGAGGTGGGGGTGTCCAAGATTGCGGGGTGGGGACAAACCTGGCTGCTGCTTGAGGGCCTCTGCCAGCCGCCCGCTCCCGCCACCTCCAAGCAGGGGATCTGGGCTCCGAGGTAAAGGATCCCAAGCTGTAGGGCTTTCCCATTCCAGGGGAAGAGGCGTCTTTCCTAGATTGGGAACATTGAAAGCAGGCATAAACAAACAAACAAACAAACAAACAAACAACAAACCCAGCATACCCTGATGGTTGTGCTCCCTCCCAACACTCCAAGGGAAAGCAACCCTGAGATTAGTCCCACTTTTAGGGCTTCGTGTGCTCAAGGTTCTGGGATTTCTCTTAAGAAGTCTGTACAAAACAATGACCTTCGAGGATCCCAGTGTCTGCCTCACCTTCCTCCCATGCCTAGTCCAGACTATGCGGTTTTACCAGGGGATACAGGTGCTCAGGAGCCCCAAGCCTGGAATAAGCCTCATGGGTTAAATGGACACAGCTTGGGTCTGTTTTTTTTTTTGTTTTGTTTTGTTTTTTTGCGACAGAGTCTCACTCTGTCACCCAGGCTGGAGTGCAGTGGCATGAACTCGCTTCACTGCAACCTCTGCCTCCTGGGTCCAGCCTCCTGCCTCAGCCTCCCGAGTAGCTGGGTCCACAGGCACCCACCACCACGCCTGGCTAACTTTTGTATTTTTAGTAGAGACAGGATTTCCTCATGTTGGCCAGGCTGGTCTCAAACTCCTGACCTCAAGTGATACAACCGCCTCGGCCTCCCAAAGTGCTGGGATTACAGGCATAAGCCACTGCGCCTGGCCCCAAGTATGCATTTTAATGCCCATCTTTGTTCCAGTCTTGGCAGGTGACTAAGTTCCCCAAAGGTTCAGAGAGCAAGTATGTCTGTGATGGTCATGGCGATGCCAGCATTTGTATGGACCGGCTCTACATGTAATATCTCACTGCCATTAACCCCCTCCTTACAGTGTACCAGGCACTGCTCCTTGCTTCACTGAATGAAAGTAAAGTGAAGGCCAGCTGGGCTTACTGGGTTGCCACAGTTGATCTTTTGAGCACCTGCCATGCACCAGAACTATGCTAAGCACTGAGCATTCAGCTGCACTCAAGATGCACATACTCCCAGAGATCTTCTAATTTACAGTTTAGTGCTTTCCCCTGGGGGTCTACTTAACCTCCTCGATAATCCTGAAAGAGGTCAGAGGAGTGAACTGACTGGGCCAAGATCCTCTAAGTGATGGAGCTGGGATACAAGCCAGGGCTCTCAGCTTCCGAAGCCCAGCTCATCACAACTCGGCTCTGTGCACCACCCACCATACTTGGTGAATGATCTTTTTCAATCATCACAGCAACCCTGGGGAGGAAAGGGCTACTGCAATTCAGGGTGGTTAAGTGGCTCACTCAAGAACACACTCTTGGCCAAGCGCGGTGGCTCACACCTGTAATCCCAGCACTTTGGGAGGCCACAGTGGATGGATCACCTGACGTCAGGAGTTCAAGACCAGCCTGGCCAACATGGCAGAACCCCGTCTCTATTAAAAATACAAAAAAATTAGCCGGGCATGGTGGTGCATGCCAGTAATCCCAGCTACTAGGGAGGCTGAGGCAGTAGAATCACTTGAACCCGGGAGGCGGAGGTTGCAGTGAGCCAAGATCGCACCACTGCACTCCAGCCTGGGCAACAAGAGTGAAACTCTGTCTCAAAAAAAAAAAAAAAAATCACACTCTTCAAAGCCTGTCTCCTGTGTTTTGCTACTTCTGATGGGCTTAAATATTACATTAAATATTTGTTTACTCAGAAATCTGAGTAAACTCCAGGAGCTGCAAATAAAACTGACAAGAGTTATAGGCACAGAAGGAAGGATGCCCTCATGCCTGAGTACAGCCACACCACCAGAAAGAGGCTTCTGAGGAGGCAGCGGAGGTGAAGTTAACCACATACCTTCAACAAGGAGTGAGGGCTGAGGGCAGGGGCAGGCACCAGGAGCATAGAGGCGAGGGCCTAACAGGCAAGGACAGCTGCACCGGGCGAGGTGGGGCTGTCACAGGAAGCAGCAGCAAGAGGCCAGTGATGCAATCCAGAGGCCAGTGCTAGCACCTGTGCTGTTCCCAGTATGAAGAACATGCCAGGTTATTCCTATGCCAAGATTTTCCTAAAACACATCAGTCTGAATCTATGCTCAGCTCACTGAATCACTGGGTAGACTTGAGGCCGCCTAACGCCTCTCTCACATGGCACAGGTGATATAAGTTCTACTTATTAGGCAGACACACTGTACCTACTGCCTTCACTGCAATCTTCCTAATCCCCTCAAGATCTCTAAGGTCGATATTACGATCCTCATTTTAAAAATGAAGAATGTTGGCCAGGCGTGGTGGCTCATGCCTGTAATCCTAACACTTCAGGAGGCTGAGGTGGGTGAATCACTTGGGGTCAGGAGTTCAAAACCAGCCTGGCCAACATGGTAAAACCCCATCTCTACTAAAAATACAAAAATTAGCCAGGCATGGTGGTGGGTGCCTGTAATCCCAGCTACTTCAGAGGCTGAGGCAGGAGAATCACTTGAACCTGGGAGGCGGAGGTTGCAGTAACCAGAGATCATGCCACTGCACTCCAGCCTGGGCAACAGAGCAAGACTTTGTCTCAAAAAAATAAAAAATTAAAAAATTAAAAATAACAATGAAGAATGTGAGTCCCAGAGAGGTTGAATAACCAGCCCCAAAGAGCACAGCTAGTGAGTGGCAGAGCAAGGGACAGAACTCAGATCCAGTTGGCCTTAGAGCCTGACTCCTTTTCTGATACCTGATGAGAAGGACAGTCCTGGACCAAAGGGATCCCACAGATTCCCTGTGAATGGAGCGAAATCACTGAGGGAAGGAGCATGGAAGTTGATCCACGTGAGTAATCACCACCTGGATACACTTTAGCATAACCTGGGGAACTTTTCCAACCTGTAATGCCAGGCTCCTCCCGAGGAGTTCAAACGTTGCCAGGCTGGGGTGGAGCCTAGGCCTTGGCATTTTTAAAAGCCAGGAGCACCTCACCCCCACCCTGTGCCCTCCAGTGCTGCTTCCATCCCCTCTGTGTGGCCAAGTGTTGGGTTGTTGGTTCTCCTGAACCTCTGGGTGTCCATCACTGCCCCGGAAGGATGTTTTTAATGAGGACGTTCTTCCAGTTTTTGTCGTTTAAGTCAATAAGCAGTTGAAATTTTGGGCCTAACATTTCACTTTACTCTTTCAAGGAATGCCCCGTGGATCATTTGTGGCTACATAGACACCCGTGGTTTTATACTTTCTGGATCTCAATGGCTTCCACCCAGGAAATGATCCAGAGCCTCTTTTATGTTATGTTTTTTGTTTGTTCCTTTCAAGACAATCGATCAAGCCAGAGGCATTCCCCACCCTTCAGCAAGACACTTCCCAGTAAGCCCAGCTGGCCTTCAGAGAAAGCAAGGCTCACCTCCACCCTGCCGGCCCTGACTGCTTTGCAGAAACCTCAAGTCCCACCCAAACCCAAAGGCCTCCTTGAGGATGAGGTAAAGTAAATCTGTGCCAAAGGCTTCCCAGGACACAGAGGGGGGTGGGGCAAGCGACCAGGACAGCCTGCCCGCTGGCTGTCCTCCTTCTTTACAACCTGCTATTGACTGCCCCCTCTAACTCTCCACTATTATACCAAAGGGACTTGGTTTTCTCCAAAATGGCTTATTGTAAATATGTCAGTTTACTAGAGGTGTATGGTAAAATATCAATACTGAGTCTGTGCCCCTCATATTATCCCCTCCTTCTTCCCTGGGGTTTCCTGTGAATCTCTTCTTTCCTTCCTAAGATGTTCTTCCTCTCTCTTTATTCTCCTTTGCTTCTCTGTCCTGTTGTTACTGACAGCAAATCCATATGGGTCTGCAGCAACCTCAATTCTTGCCTCCTGGGCGTAAGGCAGAAGGAGAGACCAAGGCAAGTTTCAGAGCAGGAATGAAAAGAAGTCAAGTACACTTAGAAGAGGGCCAAGCGGACGACTTGAGAGATCCAGTGCGCTGTTTGACCTTTGAGTTGGGGTTTTATACACTAGCACACTTCCGGGGTCTTTTGTCCCTTCTCCCCTGATTCTTCCTTTGTGTGGGCTGTCCGCTTGTGCAGTGCCCTGCTAGCATTTGGGAGGTGAGCATGCGCAGTGTGCTTACCGGAGTTGTACGCACGATCCCTTGAAGCATTCTTGCCTTACCAGCTGAATGTTTCTAGAAGGTCAAGTACCAGTTAAACGCTGCCATTTTGCCTCTTAATGCGCATGCTTGAGCCCACTTGCCCAACTCCTGAGATCTTATCGGAAACTGCTCATCACCAGTTTCAGGTTTTTTCTATCTATTGGGAGACTGCTTTTCCCTGGCGCTGGCTGTAACCAATTATTATTTTAGAGAGACAATTAACAGCCACCTGACAATCACCTGATGGTCTCCTGACATTCCTGGGGCAGGGGAGCCCTCTCCTGCCCTGCTCATGCCTGACTAGCTATTATACCCACTGTAACACTGTCGCCACCTTGCTTTCTTTCCTCCACCTTCTTTTCTCTCTGCTCCTCCACTTCCCTCTTCTCAGATGCAGAGGGTGACATGGGCCAGGATGTACAATGGAGATAGCTAGTCTGTAAGGTACCCCGCACAACCTGTGGAGGAGCTAATCCCTCACTTCCCTTTGACAGCTCTTGCTTCTCACTTCCTCCCTCCCCACAGCTGCCCTGCCCCAGCAGGTGTCCAGAGACCCACCTTTTCAGATGGCCCAGCATCCAACTCTGGGTTTACCTCCTCAATCTTCCCTGTCTCAGCACCTAGCCCTTTGTGTTGTTTTCCCTATGAAATAGCTCCTATTTGAAAATGAATAGGTAAACTCATCCAAGCTGTCGTAGTAACTGATAAAGCCTAATGTGTTATGGCTCCCAGAGGTCCCTGCATTTTAAATAAGGACAGAGACCAGCCTGCAGCTTCTCTAAGAAATAACTTGCCTGTAGAGGATAAAACTTATGGCTTACACACATGTTGTGAAATGACCTTCATTCCGCCTTTATAAAATTTGCAGCCCAGCAGGAGATGGAAAAGATGGACTTTTAAATAAAAATAGATGCAGCATCTAGGCCCAAATTCCTGCTTTGGCCCTTCTAGGTGTATGATTTGGGGCAAGCTAGACAACTTCTATGAGTCTGTTTTTCATCTCTGTTATTTTGAGAATTTAATAAAAGAACATATGTACAGCACTAAATACAGTGCCTCACACACAGAGGGGTTTAATATATGTCGGATTCCTTTCTACCATATTCTAGAGCCTTGACAAAATCCAGTTTTCTAGTTTCTTCTGAAAACTGAAGATCTAGCAACACCAGGCCAGCCATGGCCTCAAAGCAACTGGGCCCCAGGGCATCCCCCTCTCTCTCAGCTGTGAATCCTGGTCTCTTTTTTGATTTGTCATAGCTCCCACAATGCATACAGTGCATGTACACACCCTCACCCTGCACACACTCCTTCTTACTATTACCTACCCATCTGAGAGGCGATGTTGTCCTTTCAAGGGTGGGAATAGGGTGGCAAAGAGAAGCTGAGCAGGGGAGGGGACAGGATGGGGAGACCAGCTGTTAGGATCTCACTGTAAATTATTTCAGCATTTGGCAATTCCACATGAAGACACAAATTCAGATATAGAATGCAGATGAATACTGTGGGTTATGTAAGGCTCTTCATTTCTGTAAATAACTGAGAATGGACCCCAGGGAGTCAGGGCAGAGGTTTGCTAATAGCAGCCTTGTGGAGGTGGCTCAGGCAAGTCTGCACCAGTGGGAAAAAGAGAAGTATGAAGGCGGGGGCGTTCTGGAATGGGCAGATAGAGAGCCAATATAAGAAAGAGGTGTAAAAACAAATAAACAAACAAACAGAAGCCAACATTAAGATATGGCTGAACCATTAGTTGGGAAAAGAAGAAGTCAAGTACAAGCATAAATAAAAGTGTTTAACCCTGCTCTGCAGGTTATAGGCAAAATACAGAGATACAGGCTAAACAGAGAGCTGGAGGTGGGGCAAAGACATTTAGGAGGAAGGAGCATCTGTGCTATAATGAGAGAGGCTAACACTTGGAGAATGTTGTGTATCCACTGGTGTTCTGAGCACTTTGTATGCATTATCTCATTAAATCCTCACACTAACCCTATGAAGTCTATCATCAGCCCCACTTTACAGATGAGGAAACAAAGGTGTAAAGGGGCTAAGAAACTTACCCAAGGTCACAGAGGGAATATATTTAGAGGGTATTTTTATAAGAATTCAATAAAATAATGTATGGAAAGCTTTTAAATGCTTATATGAGTGGTAATGAGGATGCAGCCCATGTGGGCATTTAATAGCTAATCAAAATGACTCCGGCTAAGTAATAGGGTATGAGCCGATGGGAAAGTGAAAATAAGATAAATTCACGCTACTCCTATTTTTCAAATCTGTAGTCCTAGGGGGAGGCAAACATGTAAACAATTATGACAAGTGTCTTATTAATACTGAAACATCTAAACATTGGAGTTGATCTAAGATGATTTTTAATCTATTTTTAATTTTGAATCATGTCATTGTAATAATTGAAGAAGGATTTCTAATACCTGTAGGTCATGGTAGTATAATAATCTACCTGGCTTCAAAAGACCAATCACTGATTCACTGAAGTCAAGTTTTTGTGTTTTGTTCATGAAAGAAGGGGGTTGGTATTAAAACACTGCAGCAATGTCAAAGTGGTCAATAAGACCACATTATGTCCTAATAAAGGACATAAAATGTGATGGTTCTTGGTCATTTACTTATTTCAGCAATAACAACGTTAAAGCATTGAATTGCAATGCTGGGAATATACATTTTACATTCCTTCTCCTAAAACCCTATAAAGATGAGAAAGTTGGGCAGACACTACAAACAGAATTTGTTGAGACTGGATCGAGTCTTTTTTCCTATCAGTCTTCTTTGGGAATACAAATGTCTCCATTCCAGAAATATCATTGAAGTGGCATCGTTGTCTGGGGTAAATACCTGGGGTTCGTCGTCTCGCACTGACAAGATTAATGACATGGACACGTGTGGGTGGGTTAAGGAGCAGAAAGTTTAATAGACAGAAGAAAGGAGAGAGGAGAGCATCTCTCTCTCTCTTGCAAGACAGTGGAATCTGAAGGGAAAACCAAGCCTGAGGTGGACCACAGCAGATTTTAGAGGCAGGCTTCAGGAGGTGATATCTGATTTATACAGGGTCCACAGATTGGTTTGATCAGGAGTGACATTTACATGGTGCAGAAGAGGCTGGTCGCCCCACCCTAATCTTATTATACAAATGGGTTTTCTACTTGGCCAGTGCCATCTTGTCTGCTCCTTACTGTACAGGTGGCTGGCAAAGAGAGGGGAAGACAGAGCCACCATTTTGATCATGCCTAGTCACAGGTAGCGTTTTCCTATTGGCACAACTGCCAGCATTCACCCATGCAAGCTTCCAGCTTGCTTGTCTATATCAGCAGCTTGATTTTACAGGCTACTCTTTGTTAGAAAAGAAAATGATTTTGGGGCTGCTTTTTATTAAAAGGAAAACCTTACCAAGGACATCTTACCCTCACTATCTGCCTAAGTAATTTTTTCTTAACTCCTATATCATCATGACTCTAAACAGCTCAGATTCTAAACACTGCAGATAAAAACATTTTCTGTAATCAAGCACTGCAGAACAAAACAAGTACAAAATTAAGAATACAGAGGAAAGAATACATTTTGAAGTGGTCAAGTAGGACTGGGTTAGGGCCTGGAGCTTCCAACTTCCCTATATCCATTCAGGCATCATTGCCAAGTGTCAATACCAATATTCTGTGTTCAGACATAAGATATTGAAGGATTTTGTTGACTACAGGGTTTAAGAGGGTGGCATGCCTCCTGGGGGCTCAGCCTCTCCTTTTATAGGAACTAACGCCTAGAAGAGAAGTTGGGTTCTTATAAAGCATGTCACTCTGGCTACTAATGAATCCGAAAAGGTGAACCCATAGAACCAAAAAGGTCCTGCAGGGATCCGCAGCCACTCAACATCCCATTATTCAAAGCTGCTAAGTCAGCCCATCCCAGCCTTGGCTATTGGGTTAGGCAATTTCAATTCAATTCAGTGAGGCATTCGACTGGCCAGGTACTGGAAACACAAACACAGAGAAGGAGAAGGCCCTGCCCTTCGGGAGTTCATAGTTTGACACTGTGGGGCCAGAGACGAAGCAGAGATGAGGACCAGGTTCCCTGTGCCACAGAGGAGCAAGTGCCCACCTCTGAATGGCAGAATCCAGGAGAACTTCCGATGATTCAGCAATTAACTCCCCCACAGGTCATACATCTAGAAAAGACCCAAGCACAGATTTCCTCCCAGGTCTGTATGATTCCAAAGCCTCATCTCCCTCAGCCAGATCATCTCTAAATATAACTGCAGATTGAGATGTGTGAGTAGAACTCTCTGGTGCCTCTCGGCCAGCTTCAGAGGTGAAGAAAGAGATAAGAAATAGCAATTAAATAAAGAGAGGATAGATAAGACAGAAAGAGGAGGGGGAGGATGGAAGGTACTAGAATGTGGTGGATAAAAGTATGGGTGCTAAATTATTGAACTGCTTGAGTTCAAATCCTGGATCTACCACTTTTTTTTTTTTTTTTTGGAGACAAGGTCTCATTCTGTTGCCAAGCGCAATCACAACTCACTGCAGCCTCAGCTTCCTGGGCTCAAGCAACCTTCCCACCTCAGCCTCTGGAGTAGCTGGGACTACAGGTGCATACCAATATGTTTGGCTAATTTTTCTATATTTTTTGTAGAGACAGGGTTTCACCATGTTGCCCAGGCTGGTTTTGAACTCCTGGACTCTTATCTATCCACCTGCCTCAGCCTCCCAAAGTTCTGGGATTACAGGCACGAGCCACTGTGCCCTTCTGGGTCTACCACTTTTAAACTTGACAACTTGAGCAAACTACTTAATTTTTCTGTGCCTCAGTTTCTTCATCTGGAAATGGAGCCAATGGTGATATCTCTCTTATTGTGTTGTTAGAGGATTAAATGAGAAAAAAAACATGTAAAGTACTTAGAAGAACACCTGGCAATAAATTTTTGTTTTTGTTTCTCCTAGTACCCTTCTTGGCTGCCCACCAGGGCAGGTGGTAAAAACCAGTTTTGAGATCTGGTTACCTCATTTGTGTCTTGTCAATATAAAATCTCTCCCTCCCTGCATTTATCGTCATTTAATTATTGACAAAAGTGCTAAGACGATTCAATAGAGAAATACTTTTTTAAAACAAATAGTGCTAGGTAAATGGTGCTAGATGTATCCACAGGCAAAAGAATGAAACTGGACTTCTAATCTCGCACCATACACAAAAATTAACTGAAAATGTAGCATAGACCTAACTGTAAGAGCTAAAACTGTAAAACTCTTAGAGGAAAACACAGATATGAGTCTTTATGGCTTTGGGTTAGGCAATGGTTTCTTGGATATGACATCAAAAGTACAAGCAATAAAAGAATAAATAAAACAGACTTCAAAATTTAAACGTTTTGTGCCACCAATGATACCAATAAGAAAGTAAAAAAGTAACCTACAGAATGGAAGAAAAGTTTTGTAAATTGTATATCTGATGAAGAACTTATAACTAGAATATATAGATAACTCTTATAACTCAATAAAAAGATAAACAACCCAATTAAAAATGGGCAAAGATTTGAATAGACATGTCTCCAAAGAATATACAAAAATTGACAATAAGTATATAAAAAGATACTCAACATCATTAGTCTTCAGGGAAATGCAAATCAAAACTATAATGAGATATCATTTTGCACACACAAGGATGGCTGTAATAAAAAGGATGATAACAAGTGTTGGTGAGGATATGAAAAAACTGGAGCCCTCATACATTGCTGGCAGGAATGAAAAATGGTGCAGCCTCTTTGGAAAACAGTTTGGCAGTTTCTCCGACTGTTAAACTTAGAGCTACCATATGACTCAACAATTTCACTTCTAGGATATTCCCAAGAGAAATGCATGTCTACACAAAAACTTGTACATGAATAGTCATGACACCATTATTCATTACAGCCAAAAAGTGGAAAAAAACTCAAATGTCCATCAGCTGATGAATGGATAAACAAATGTGGCATACTCATAAAATAGACTATTATTTGGCCATAAAAAGACGGGAGTTGTGATACATACTATACCACAGGAAAACCTTGAAAACATTATACTAAGTGAAAGAAGTCTCAAAAGACTACAGATTGTGTGATTCCGTGCATATTCAATGTCCAGAATGGGCAAAATCTATAGAGAAAGAAAGTAGATTTGTGGTCGACTAGGTCAAGGAAGCGGTGGATGGGGAGTGACTAATGGGTGCAAGGTTTCTTTTTGCATAAAAATGTCCTAAAATTAGATTGTGGTGATGGTTGTATATGTCTGTGAATATACTAAAAGTCACCAAATTGTACAATTTACATAGTAGAATTTTATGATATGTGAATTGCGTCTCAATAATGCTTTTTAAAAAAATCACTCCCTCCCATACAGTCAACTATGAATGTACAGCATTCTTCTCATTCAGTTTTGTATTTCTGTTAGGCTGATTATGTGGTCCCCGTGGAAGATAATGATGAAAACTATATTCATCCCACAGAAAGCAGTTCACCTCCACCTGAAAAAGGTAAGAGTTTGTCGCCTTAAGCACCTGAAAATTTTTAGCAGTTGATCAGGATGTATAAGAGTATTTGGTAGTAAGCACTAAGAGGCTCAGAAATGACAGTGCCCAGGACTTTCTCCCCTGGGCCACAGTGTGTGCTTCTTTGGCTGGTTGGGCAGACAGCATCAGTGACAACCCATCTCTGTGTATCATAGCCCTTCCCTGCCTTCCCCTTC
Organism: Homo sapiens; assembly: GCF_000001405.40. Taxonomy (NCBI): domain Eukaryota; kingdom Metazoa; phylum Chordata; class Mammalia; order Primates; family Hominidae; genus Homo; species Homo sapiens. The sequence goes on along the minus strand of NC_000010.11, from coordinate 96,216,440 downwards.
CTCTTCCATGCTTTAATCTTCCCATCTCACATTATGAAAGCACCTGGGTAGTTCTCTTCAGCTGCCCTCGCTTCAAATGGATTTCTCATAAAACCTAATACAATGTCACAAGCCACCATGTTGGCCTTGTAAACATTGCACCAAGAACAGTTTCTGCAGAGGAGTGAAAAAATGAAAGAGTGAAATATGCCCTGAGTCCTGGTTCTTTAAATTTAGTAGTATGATAAGCCTATGAAACATTTCATCCGTAAACCCTTCACAGAACAACAAATGCTATGACCAATGAATTACCTTAAAAAGCCAGTGCTACATAAGATTAGGCATGGAAACAGGGTATGTTTACTCTGAATATAGTCACTATGGAGAATATGATCCAGTACAAGTGATACCTCTTCAGGTAACATTACTCATCTACTACTCTCAACTCCATGGTAGCCATATTCAGGTTTCAGTCCGCCATCATGTAGCAACCCTCTCCCGTACTCCGTACCTATCACCAACAGCTTCAAGACCCACCTGAATTCCCAAGCCACCCATTACCACAAAAGAACAAATACACATTCCCTCCTTACCAACCCCTCTTTAAAAAAACAAAAAAGAACAGAAAAAAACCCATGAAATCCCAGAGCAATGGTGTGTATTGCATCTGGTAGGGGAGGTGGAGCTATTAATTGGGCCCCTCCAGTAAGGGGTTCAATACACTCTTGATGAAAAACAAAAACAATAAAACTCCTTTATCTCTTAGACCTCCCACTTGGCAAATGAAATTCAAAGCCATTATTCACTTTAACAAGATCTCTATCATCAAATAATCAAATAATAATATATCAAATTATGAATCTGTCATTGATATTCCCATTCTAAAGATGTTTCTTCTAAGAAGACTTCTTTTATTGGTTTGTGTGTCTAATAAGGGTGTCTCCCATTCTTTGCAAATTCTCTGGTCTGGTCATCATTTTTCCCTGAGTGTGAATTTTCCTCAATGGCATGTATCTGTAATGGTTTTATGTATATATATATATATATATACACACACATTTCTGTGTTTAAGCTCCCATGGTGAATAGATCAACCAAGCCAAATTCCTCAACGCCCGCCTCTCCTCCAGGAACAGCTTCAGGTAAAGTGTATGTGTGATTTGGTTTGGTTTTACGTCTATTTCAAATAAGAAAAACAGATCAACTATGAAGAGTAATCACTTGTATTTCCAAATGTCTTAATATTGGGAACAGAAGGCCAGTCCTCATCCTCATGCACTGTCTGGTGGCACGTGTGTGGAAGTGGCCATTTCCCCAGGCCTTTTGGCATCTGCTAGACAAGTTCTGGTTTTCACCCTACCTTCCTGGGCACCTTGCTGGCTTCTCTGTGTCCCCTTCCTTGACTGAGGGGGTCCCGGAATTTAGCCCTCAGCCCTCAACCCACAGTTCTTTCAGAACATCATGATGGTTACAAGCTTGGTTTTGAGCCAGACAGACCTCGGTTGGAACCCCAGTGTGCCCCGTTACCAGCTATGCCACCTTGGGCTTGTACTTCACCTCTCCAAGCATCAGATTTTCTTTTCTGTAAATGGTGCTCATAGCCCCTACTCTGTGACAGGAGAATTCTGCAAATGTGAATGCGAAACTCTTAATGAGTGCCTGGTACACACTAAGTGCTGAGGAGAGAGAATGATTTTTCACTTCTGTAGCGTTCATCGATTAATCTGGATTCATGTCTCAAGTCTACACTGGTAACTCCCTGGCATCCAACCCCAACCTGACTTCCCTTCTGAACACCTTGATGCTCCCACACAGGACTCTAAACTCACTCCTCCCTCCCCTGCGGGCACCCCTGTTTCTCAATGCGTAGAGCCTCCAGGCCACATGCTCCAAATCCTGCTTTTTTTTCTCCTGAATTTGCTGTTCCATTTTAGCTGTGACCACCCTAGTCTGGGCTTTCTTTACTCAGCCACCTTGCACCTTCTTGTCCAGCAGCCATACCCCTGCCTCTTGGCTCTCTCCTCAGCGACAAGGACTGAGCCGCTGAACTCCTCCAGATGTTACCAGTTTCATCTCACCACAAAGCTAGTCTTTGCCATGTCACCCCTACCCCCAAACCATGAATGTTCCTGGTTGCTCCTATAGGTTTTGGCAACCCCCAAGGCTGAGCCCAAGACACTGAGGGGTGCCCATGACCCCCATTAACAGCACAGAGAGGTGTAGGAGCCTGCTCTCCAGCATTCTCACAGGCATTTCCTCTCCCTCTCTCCCCTTGTCCCTCTCCCCTAGGCACACATATGCGCGTGTGCACACACACACACACATTCATACACACACACTCTCTTCTCTCACAGAGCTGAACACAAGTCATTGAGAGGCTGAGCTCTGCTTCCAGAGACAGGCTCCTTCACAGAAAATGAAAGAACAGTCGAGTATTTTAAAAATCTTTTCCTGGACTCATTTCTTGTGAAATTATTCACTTTCTTCACAAGTTCTGGTTTTACTTAACCTCTCCTCAGAACCCACAAGCGCTTTATAAGTGGGGAGTGGAGCTCAGAGCCATCTTAGCCAGCTCATCTTACCCTCTGGAGAGACAAAGGTCAAACATGCCAATCTAAAACATCGTGACCAGGTTGCTTAGGCCCCAGCAGAAATGGAGACTCCTAACTCCCGATAACTCAGGATGAGGGCTGTTGTTACTGGAATAGAAAACCTTTAACAAATAAATAAATGAAGACCTCAACCCTCCTTTAGAGAAATAGATTACTAATATCTGGTGTTTACCTCTTACAAAGCTCTACTTGCCTTACAAGGACCTCCTCTTCCTAAAACACACTGCCTTACAAGCACCTCCTCTTCCTAAAACACACCCAGTACTCCAATCAGCCTGTATGTCACGGGTCTTGCTTCTTGGTCTTTGTGTTCTCACTTTTAGGACACCTAATCCTACTCATCCTTCAAGGCCCAGCTTGAGGCCTCCACCTCCAGGAAGACTCCTCTGGTTTCTGTAGCCCTCAGAGAGCTCTCCTTTGCAGGAAGTCTCTTCCCCCTTACACTTAGCCCGTACTTATTCCCTAATTACTTTGTGTCTCAGTCTAATCGCTTCCTAAGTACATTGCAAGCTCCTTGGAGACCTTGCCTTCAATGTCATTGCTCAGGAGGCTTTACCTGGCCCCAAGCTGGGACAGATCCCTCTAGTGCCCTGCACATGCCCTGAGATTTCTGTCTTTATTTGCTCACAGCTGTTTCCAGGGCCTACCCCAGGATCTGGCTCAGGGGAGGTGCCGAGACTGTGGAGGGGTCAGTTGGTTGAGAGGGTGAATGAGTCCTCAAACACTGGTTGTATTAAATATTTAAAGAATCACCAACAGGGCTTTAGCCAGCTGGATTTATTACTCATAAGTTTGCTATTAACCTGGTATAGCTGTATTTTAATACTAGGGTCATCAGATGAAGAAAGCAAATCTAAACAAGAAAATAATGTCCTGGTTATGTGATTATCACATACAGGTGGGAGTACCTACAGGAAGGGGGAAGAAGTGAAATAATTTTGAAGGGACAAGCCTAAACAGTCCGAGTGGGTTTCCGAGTGTGCAAACAGTGGAACCTTCAGAGATTATTTTTACAAAAGAAATGATCAGACTACTAGCCTGTGTCTTTGAATAACCATCCATTCCCCTTTAAAGGCTTCAGATAGTCCCCCAGTGGGCATCACAAAAGTGTCCATCAGGTGCCTAGTTGGTGTTTCTGTCAAAGCACCACACCACATCAGTTTCCTCTGGTCAATATTGCTCTTGGTCCTTTGATAGCCAATAAGGTGCCTGCCGAGGGTGATATAGTAAATCTGGTGCAGTGACAGCCCCTGCCGTCCCCGCTGTGCTTGAGAAGCCAGTAGAATGGATTTAGCCGACTCCAAAGCCAGAGGTTTAGGTCCTGGCTCTGACATTTGCTAGGTGCCGGACTTTGAACAAGTGAAGTCATCTCTGTTTCTTAGTTTCTTCCTCTGAAAAAATGGCACCTATGCCTAGGGGTATCATGAGTAGATACCATGAGAATTAAGTGACTCAATATAGATGACTTGCACTCATAAAATGCTAGTGCTTTGTTATTATTATTGTTATTATTCAGAATCCCTTGTTCAACCTGCCTTGATCCATGACCATTCTGGCAGATATTATCAGGGAACAATATTGTTTCATGGGCCAGTGACCCATGAAGAGTCATGCTCCATCCTTCCCTAGAACTCTGTCTTCCTGAGGCAAGACCATAGGCTTTCCACCAGTGTCCTCCGTGACAGTGTTCCACCATGACAATCATGCTGTCCTCTGATTGTCAGAAGTTATTTATAGGGAAGGAAAGGAAAAGGAAGGTTTTGGCAGACTATTCTGAGATATGCAAGAAAAGGAAGCATAGTAGAAAAGCCAGGAGGAAGGTCTGACAAAGATAATATAGTGGCCAAAGGAGCCCTTAACATTTCAGAAGAGGGAAAACCCCTGGGATGAAATTCAGACTTAGACCTTCTTTCTACTTCCTTATTTTTCATACAAGATTTTGTTCCACTTCCCTGAGATCTTCCATCAAATTCTATTGCAGTCAAGGGTACTTTAACAGTGTCAGTCTTAAGTATTCAATTTGATACACCAGTTACTTAAACACAGGGAGACTCCTACTACACATTCAGGTGACATTTCAGTTTATTGTTTTCATGTTGTCACATGAAATGTAAACATTCCAAACGCAATCTCTTTTCCAAAATGTTTCAAAAAATCAGACCCAGTTCAGGTACCGTGGAAGACAGCTGTCATGGAGGGGGCATTGCTTCCCAGGGTGCTGGGGAAGGCTTCCAGGTACAATCCACACCACCCACTCTTTGCTGTTGCTCCCATCCTTGAGGGTTTAGGAAAAGAGTCAGTGGGCTCTGAGTAGAAGCCTGGGAGCCTCTCTCCAGTGACATACATGGGAAGGAACTTCCTGAACTCTATTTCAATACTTTTTGAGGCCTTTTCTTTTTCTTGTCTGTGTTTGGATGAGATGATATGGAGGGTGCATGTATCTTCCCTGTTATAAATTCTGAGAGGGCAGAGGCCTATGTCTGCTTCTTCACCTCTTCCTCGGCCCCTAACACAGTGCCTTCATGTGCTTTACATGTACCAAGTCCTCAATAATCCTTGGTAATGGATTATTATTTCAATGTGTGCTTATCTGTGCTCTATCTCATAAACTAAGAAAGTACAGACTGAGGGCAGCAGGTCCAGCCTGTACTTACAGAGTATGCCCTATAAATCCATTAGGAATTATAGGCCAGGCACCGTGGCTCATTCCTGTAATCCCAGCACTTTGGGAGACCAAGGCAGGTGGATGGATTGAGTCCAGGAGTTCAAGGCCAGCCTGGGCAACATGGCAAAATCTCATCTGGACAAAAAATTAGCCAGGTGTGGTGGTGCATGCCTGTAGTCCCAGCTACTCAGGAGCTACTTAGTGGGGAGGATCACTTGAGTCCAGGAGTTTGAAGCCTCCAGTAAGCTGTGATCTCCCCACTGCACTCCAGCCTGGGTGACAGAACAAGACCCTGTCTCAAAAAAAAAAAAAAAAAAAAAAACGGAATTGTGGACTTGTATGTGTAGTAAGTTCTTAAGAAAACATTTATTCAGTTCAGTTAAGTTAATGAAGAGCCTCATGAAGAGACCCCTTGGTCTCACTGAGCAATGGTGTCCAAGCAGGTGAGCATCATGTCTGAGGCAGCTAGGGGATGCTGAGGGGGCTGGCTCAGCTCTGGCCTCTCCCCTCCTGGCCTGCCCTCTGTCCCACAGTGAAGATCCATCCTGCTTCTCTTTCACTTCCTCCCTCATAACGATTGTCTGGCATCTATCTTCAGGTACAGGAAGGGAGGTTGGGTGCAGGGGACAAGACCCTTCGGGTCCCTTCTATGACTTGAGAAGATGAGATTTGGGCAGCAGCCTGCACTTGTCTCAATTTGTCCATTAAGGAAAACCTGTCGGCGAAAGCCCTTGAAAACTCAGAGATGAGTGAGTAAATATCCTCTGAATGTGAAGTTAGAGGCATTTACCGTATTTAAGTGTGCTTATAAAGGAGCACTGTCTGAGGTCTGTGTCAGGAGTGGTGGGTTGGAGCCTCTGTCTCTGGGCACCTCTGCCGTGCACATTTGTGCAGTGTGCACAGATGTAGGTGTGAGCTGTTGGCTCCCTTCCTGAAGGACCTCTGTGGGGGTCCTCACTGAGTCCTCAGAATCAGTGGGCTCAGGACTTGCCCCATGGGGCAGGGGGCGGGTAAGGAGAAGGTCCTTTAGAAATGTTAAGGTGGAGTCCCTAACCCCCATCCCAGCTCTGAGCTTATACACTGACACTTTTAAAATGTGTCATCACCTTTGCCCACAAGTTTTCCTTAATAGCTTCAATATAACTACCTATATGTGCTTAACTGAAAGCAACACAGTATGTGCAAATATTTCTGAGCCTGCCAGAGAGGCCAGCCTCAGTGTGAGCATCAGCCCCCGGCTCAGGACTTGGGGACTGAGTAGTGTATATGTTTGTGCAGGTCGAAACAGTGGGGCCTGGGAAACCAAGTCACCTCCACCAGCTGCACCATCCCCGTTGCCACGGGCCGGGTAAGTACCTGTTGCAGGAAGCAGCTTTTGAGATCTGGGGAGTGAGGATGGTGATACCCCACTGCCCTGTTGACTTCATTAGAAGTTCTCCCCATGGCAGGCTGCAACTTGGACCAAGAGTAAGGAGCCCTGCTAACATCAAATGAGCCAGGCATGGTGGCTCAGGCCTGTCATCCCAGCACTTTGGGAGGCCAAGGCGGGCAGCTCACTTGAAGCCAGGAGTTCAAGACCAGCCTGGCCAACATGGCGAAACCCCGTCTCTACTAAAAATACAAAAATTAGCCAGGCGTGGTGGCACACACCTGTAATCCCAGCTACTTGGGAGGCTGAGGCAGGAGGATCACTTGAACCTCTGCAGGTTGCAGTGAGCTGAGATCACAGCACTGCACTCCAGCCTGGGCAACAGAGCAAGACTCCATCTCAAATAAATAAATAAATGAATAAATAAATAAATAAATAAATAAATCTAGAAGTATTTCCTCCTGTGAAGTTTTAGTTAAGTCTTGAGTTCACTAACTTACAGTGTTCCACAAGACACCCTGACTTTCAGAAGCTCCAGCACCTGAATCATTTTCAGAGCCTCTAGCAGGTTTTGTCTTTACTTACTGCTGCTCAGTTTTATGGTCTGTAAATAAGTGTGTAGATATATACTATGTGCTGGTCATACCAGGGCACTCCCTCAAAGCCATACGACTGAAGTTCCTCTCGAAAGTGACAGTCATTCTTTCTTATTGAATTTAGAAGGGCTTTGTAAACAGTCAGGTGACGATTGTAATGTGTTAATATTACAAACGTCACCCCGTAAAATTATGTTGGCTCAACAGGTTATTTGGAAAGCAAATTTAAATATGTCTAAAGCTGGCCTGAATGGCTCTAATCTTATTTCTGTCTCTGTGTAAACCAAAGAAAGCCTCCATGTTGAAGGTTTATTAACCAAAACTCTGCATACGTCTCTCTTAGTTCAGCTGTATCACTTTGGGCAAACTACTTCGTCTCTCTGAGCCTCAGTTTCCTCACCTTAAAATGTCACTGTAAGGTTTAAATAGCACCTGAGGAGCCTAACCCAGTGCCAGGCATCTTACAGGTGCTCAGGAATTCTTAGTGTTCTTCCCCCACACTTCAGCTCTCAGCCGAAAACAAAGCGAGAGAGAGATATGGTGAGGGTTTTTAAATTAAGAAATTTAACACACAGAAAAGGAGCATACAACCTTACCAATATTAGACTCCAGTCTCTATTGGAATCTTGAGTTCATTGACTTACAGTGTTCCACAAGACACCCCGACTTTCAGAAGCTCCAGCACCTGAATCATTTTGCAAACTAGAATGTTAGTGCAGGCAAGTACCTTCAGGACCACACATCAGTGGTTTTCAAACTTGTTTTGGTTTCGGATCTCTCTGAAAGAAAGCCTGCACAGAAGACAGTGGAGAATAGTCCCTAGAGACAGGGAGGAAGCTGGAGTGGGCAAGTGCAGCTGCAACCTCACCTGCTGGACCACCCTCTTACCTCTACCCTCTGTCCTGGACAGTAACCCCCACAGGGAGCTGTTGGGGAAGAGGGGGCTCCACAGAAACACTGAAAATACTGATCCTGGTCCTCAATTGACAGGTGAGGAATCTAACCTCACACTCAAGACAAAGAGGCCCAAGGTCACCCGCCAAGTAATTAGTGCAACTGGTGCAAGAGTCCAGTTCTGCCGGACTGGTGCCCTACTTTATCCCCAGTTGACCCCTTCCCCATCTGTCAGCAGACTCCATCTGAGCCTAGGAGGATCATAACTAAATCCCACTTCCATCCCTCTCCACCCTGCAAGGATAGTCTTCTACACACTTGTATCGCTTTCATAATTCTAGCTTAAATTTGAGACTAAAATAATGGTAAATAGCTCCATTTTGTCTTCGTTGTGTTTTAACAAAGCTCATCTCTTTTTATTCCCCAGGAAAAAACCAACGACACCACTGAAGACAGTAAGTTAATTTTGCATTTAAAAGTGCTTCATATTTCCTGCAGTGTTTATTCTTATCCATTTATTTAAAGTTGAAAATGCTTCCAGCTATGGTGAACACAGCAATCTTAGCAACTGAAGTTGCTGCCCAAGCAGTCCAAGAGAAGCTTCAAATCCTCAGGTAGCCAGGGAGGATGCTCCTCCCTGGAGCATAGAAGGAGCTCATCCTCACTTGATCCCAGCAGCTTCACTGAGTGTGCGCAGCAGATCAGAGGGGCAGCCAGGTTCCCTGCCCTCTCCACAGGAAGCGTCTGTGTCCACTCCCCACCACAGCTAATGGTAGACCATTGTGTATCAGGCACACATAGGCCTCACTAAACTCAGATTCTGGCCAGAACATGGTGAACCTGGGCCACAACACTACATAAGGGAGCCCACCTGGACCTAGTCCCTACTGTGAAGCCTGACATTTACAATCATTTAGCAAACACACAGAAGGGGGGGGTCATGAGACCAAAGCAGATGCCAGATGCCTGCTGTACATGGGTTACTATGTGGCAGCTGCTGGGGGGGTCATGATTTCCATCAACCCTGTTGACAAGGCAGGGAGGTTTCTCCACCACAGTGACATTGCTCCTTCATAGGACACTTCTGGCTGTTTGTTGCTTAATGCAAAGGTTGGGCTAGGGACTGTGGGTTTGTAATTGTTGTTGTGATTGAAAGAATAGCAATGCATCAAAGAAAAGTGCTGCCAAAATATTTATTTTAATAATATTGCTCTGACATTTATTTCCACATTCTGCTATATTGAATAACCTTGCCTTTTTTTCTTTTACATAGACTCCAGTTGCCTCTCAACAGAATGCTTCAAGTGTTTGTGAAGGTAAAATCTATTATTTTGAAGGATGAGCATGTCCTCTAAAAGTTATTTTATTAAGGATTTGTATGTACACATTTATTACATTATTTTTGGGGCAATTGTAAACATGAAACTCAATTTTCTAAACAAAATAGTTTTTGCAATGAGCAATGAACAGCAAAACTAGCTCAGAACCTCAGCATGTTTAGAGTAGGCTACAGAATGCATGCAAAAACCTGCCTTTTGGCAGACAGATATGACTTGCCAGGCAATAGTGCTAGGACCTTACATAAATGTGAAAACTAACGTAGAGCCATTCACATGTTTTAGAACTAATAGCTTACTTAAAGTAATGAAAACTTTAAAAATCTGTTTATTTGAACAAGTTCTTTTGCTAAGTTTTCAAGATAATGTTTTCAAAGTTCAATTGTCTGTCTTCTTAGTACATCTTCAATTGCTTTTCTTCCTTTTTTTTTTTTTTTTTGAGTTAGGGTCTCACTTTGTAGCCCAGACTGGAGTGCAGTGGTGCATAATTATAGCTCACTGCAGCTTCAAATTCCTGGGCTCAAGTTGTCTTTCTGCCTCAGCCTCCTGAGTAATTTAGAATTTCTTCCTTTATCATCACTCAAAAATCTTATATATATTTTTAGAAACTGCTCATGTTAAAAAAAATTGTGTTTGGAAATTACCGGAAAAAAATAGAAGAATCATCTATAATATCAGCACTTAAAACATTATATAGAAGTTCATGCCCTGTACCCATTTAATTCCATACTTGAAGATACCCAGGGTTAAAAATGTAGTGAGTATTCTCCCTCTTCCCTGAGTTGATGTGCGTATATCTACATAAAGCACTCTCCTTTCTCTGATGATGGACAGTGGATCTTTTCTGAGCATGCACTACAACTCACCTCTCTGCTTTAATGACGCCATTAGGTTTTTTCATCCTGTCTCCCATATCTTGCTTCCCTAGGCTATTTCTGAGGCATCACCCCTTTTCTGCTGTATTGCTTTCTTCTGCCTTCCCTTTGAGGCTTTTGTCTTTTCTGTACTTCCATTCCTTGCAGCCTCTCAGACCTGCTGAGTCCAGGTTGTGGAGTGATAGTGACTTCAGGAGCTCTGAGCATCTGTAGGAAGTAAGTACAACCTGTGCAGACTTCATGGCTACAAGAGCCTCCAAAATCCAGGAAAGAAGCAGGGCCCAAGGCATGTCCACTGCTGCTTAGGTGTCCTCATTCTCAAAGGGTTCCCAGTACAGGAGCCTGCCAGGCATGCCCCCTCCTTTGTTATTTATTTCAAGAGCATAGGCAATTACCATCCAAATGCAAAGTGAGTGAGTGGCCTCTACTAGCCTAGGAAGGAATCAGGATGGCGGAGGCAGAGCAGGTGTAGTCAAAGCTTATAGGCTGGCAAGACCTAAGGTGTTCATTGTTTCTCCTTCTGAAATTACCAAGTTTTAATGTCATGAGCAAAACATCTAACATAGAGGTTTGAAGTAGCTTGCCACAAATTCAAAATACAATCTTCAGAGGTTCAAGGTTTCCAAGCTTTAGTGCACCACTGAATGGTAAGAAACCCTGACGTCTATCTTACCATTTATTTGAATCTTTGAGTTCTTACTACTTTTATTTCTTTGGGGTTTCTGTAGTTCTCAGCCTTTCTTCCATGCAGACTCACACATGAACATACCAAGATTTTAACACACCCCACCCCCCAACGACAAATTTGAGGGAGAGTAAAGTATTAAAATAATGTGTGATCACATTTATTAATGGTTCAGCAGTAGAGTTCACTATGGGCTTCAACATAAATTTCTTACACTTCAGGTTTATGCTCATTTCCCACCCTTTCCTCTTCTGCTCAGGAAAACACTGAAATGCAAGTGAGATTTACATTATTATAGGGATAACCTTGAATTTGATCCAATTAATTTTGCAAAAAGAGATCATTTATGAACTCAGTAGTGTGCCTCTTATCAGTAACACACTGCTTATACCACGTCTTATGACTAATCAAGACCCACCAGGGTGTTGTCTCCACCTGTGTGGAGGCCACATGGCAAGTAGAGGGTGAGTTGTTTAGAGGGTGGCTAAAATGTTCTCATCTTCTGGCTTCCACCTATACTCACACACTTAAAGTTTCAGGGCCCGTGGGTTCAGTCTCTATGTACATTGCCAGTGGATGAATGCAGAGGTGGTAGGATGTACCTGTAACACTGCTGGGAGGGAGTCCTGGTCCTCATAGCACAACCACATCAACAGACTGGCAAGTGCACAGATCCATGACATCTCAGTAACTAAGACATGTTCCCGGGAAGACTTCTGATCAAATTTGGTTCTTCTCAGCTGATGTTGCTGGGTTTTGGGATGAGGACAGACATTTCACTCTAATCCTAATATGATAATTTTCCTGATCCAGAAAAACCTATACCTGCTGAACGCCACCGAGGGTCAAGTCACAGACAAGAAGCTGTGCAGTCACCAGTGTTTCCTCCTGCCCAGAAGTAAGAATCCTTTCCTTTAAAGATCAGTTTCCTCTTGTTGCTGCAGGAATTAACATGTGCATTGTTTCACTGCACAGTGACACTGACTTGCAGTGCTAGGTAAAAATCCAACATTTCATTGTTTTGCAGTTACGTGTTAAAAGGTGTTGAGCAACTTTAAAATAACTGTGTAGAGTTGCAGAGACCTACTAATTGGGTTAATTATTGAACTTGACTAAAATACAATACTTTAGTCAAGATTTCCTCCTTTTTCAAAACTAAAAGGAAGAGTCTTACTTATCTTTAAGGTTTTGGTGGCTCTTTTATCTTTAGATACATTTTATTGGCCATTTGTATTGATTTATTTGTGATGTGCCTGTTCACAGCATCATCAGTGTAAACAAAAAGTCAAACTTACTCATATTGTGCTTTGTCCTTTAATTATCTGAAATTCTTTCTTGCAGACAAATCCACCAAAAACCCATACCTCTGCCAAGTAAGTACAACGAAGCCATGTAGTGTATCAGGGAGTGGTCGAGGCTGGATCCTAGAGTCTGATAGGCCTGGGTTCTAACACAGCACTGTCGCTTCCAGCTGCGTTATCCTGGCATCTTCTCCCACTTGTTTCCTTACCTGTAAAATGGGGCCAAGAATGTTTATTTCACAGAGTTGTTTTGAAAAGTAAATATATTTGAGGCAATTTTTACTTTTTTTAGTAGCGATTTAATATTTTACTGATCATGCATCCTTTTTTAACTTTTTTTTTTTTTACAAAAACAATACAGCTGTTTTCAAAATAATAAGATCAAGTAAAACAACATATGGGAAGCACCAGCTATAGTGTTTGGTTCTAAACAAATAATACCGATTTAAATTAAGTCAAAATATATTTTAAAGATCACAAAATATGTCTACAAAAGGTACCTTAAAAAGAAGATACGGCAAATATCTGGATAATTTTTCCAAGGCAAACATCACCCTAAAAATATATGAATCGGATAAGTCAGGCTCACAGAACGTAACTGCCCAAACCTTAATTTGCCTGCAACTCAATGTGGGAAAAAAAGGAAGAAAAAAACTCTGCTTTACATAGATAATTTGGGATATATTCCAAAATAATAAAGCTTAAATCCATTTAAATAAACAGTAATTGTCCACATGCAAAATTTTTATGCATTTTTTTTACTAAACATAAATTGGCTTTTTAAATTTTTAATAATATTCATCTTAAATAAATGAAACTTTTACTAGTTTTTAAAAAAAATTCTGACAACACAAAGTGAAAATGATTTGGCTACAGAAATTTATTTTTCATTATTTAAAAAGGTTTATTATACCTTTTACCGTTTTTCAAACCAAGTCATTCATTCAGTTGTTAGTGACCATATGCCGTGTGCCAGGCATTGTTCTAGGCACAGGAGATACAAGGATGAACGAAACAAATAAAGACCCTGTCCTCATGAAACTTATATTCTACTGAAGGAGACAGAGAGTAAAAATAAACGCACAAATAATATCATATCAGGTAAATGCTGAAGTGCTATAAAGAAAAATACAGCGCAGCAGCAGGGGTGGGTGGCAGAGAGTAACGGAGGCAGGGAGGGCTGCTGCTGTAGACAGGATGGTCTGAGAAGGCCTGTTCTATAAAATGGGCATAATAGCTCATTCCACAAAGAGCTGGTGAAAGGACGAGATGCACGCATGTTGAAAACAGAATAGGCCTAGCACATTCGGGTGTCAGAAAATATTAGCCATGGGTACTCTTCCAACTGCCAGAACTGCAGAAACCACAAACTGCCCTGCACTGTGCACCTAGGGAAAGTCTGTTCACTCACTCACCTTTGCTGCTCTCACCTGGGAGTGCTGTTCCCCTCCTATTAGAATACATCCTTCCTTTTGGCCCATCTTTGTTGGGCCTGCCAAGCCCTCACTGCCCCCTCCTCTTACAATGGTGGCTGCCTTCTCTAAACATCCAGGGCACTATTATCTGAAGCACTTAGTTTATCCAGAATTCTTTCTCCTGCAGATTTCCCCATCTTAATAAAGGACAACTCTGGTTGCTGTTGTCAAAAACCTTAGAGTCACCCTTGACTTCTCACTTGCTTTCTTCACACACCTTCCAGCTATTCCTTCAAAATAGATCCAGAATCCAACCACTCTCACTGCTTCCACTGCTGTGATCTGTCCAAGTCACTGTCATCTCCTGCAAGAACACCGAACTGGCCTCCCCCACTCTGCTGTTGCCACCCTCTGTTTCCAGCCCAGCAGCTGGAATGACCCTGTTAAAACATAGGCAGATCATGTTACCCCCCTGTTCAAAACCCTCCAAAAGCTTCCCTTATCATGTTCATTACAGCTCTTGAGTCATGTTAAGGGTCCACCAAGTCCTATAAATCTGGTCCCTTCATTGCCTCCTGTCTGACTGTATCTCTTACTCTTCTCCCCTTTTCTTACTGTACTCCAGGCACAGTGGCACCCTTGCTATTCCTTAGATATGCCAGGCCTTGCCTTCACAGCTCCCTCTACCCGGGACATTCTTTCCTGGGATGTCCAGTGCCTCCTCCCTCTCCACCTGCAGATCTCACCCACATATTCTTCCTTTCCTGATTTATTTTTCTTCATAGCATTTATGACCCTCTAACATTATATATATATTTTTTACTTATGTCTTTATTGCCCATCTCAATCCATTAAAATTTAAGTTCCAGGAGAGCAGGGCATTTTGCTGTTTTGTTAACTGCTGTATATCCCCAATGCCTTTGATCCATGGCAGAGAAACAAGAATGAATGAATGAATGAATGAATGAATGAATGCAGATAAGTCTTTTTCGTATTTCACATGTTTCCACATTTAGACTGTAAACTCTTTGAGGGAGTTGATGCCTGAAGTCAGCAATTCTCAGACATTTTGGTCTCAGAACCACTTTAACACTCTTAAAATAATTGTAGACCCAAAGAGCTTTGGTTTACATGTTTCTATTGATACCTAGTATTTTAAGAATTAAAACTGAGACATTTAAAACATTTATTAATCCATTTAAAAATAATATTAAACTCATTACATGTTAACATAAATAATATTTTTATGAAAAATAACTATATTTTCCAAACAAAAACAATTTAGGGAAAAGAGTGGCATTAGTTTACATTTTGTAAATCTCTTTAATGTATGTTACTGCAACATAACAGAGACTGCTGGATTCTCATCTCTGTTTCTACATTTCATCTGTTGCAATGTTTTTCTGGTGGAACTACATGAGGAAAATTGGGTTTCATAGTGATAGGTAATTCAAAAAGAAAAGACCTCTTGAACCACCTGAAAGGATTTTCGAGATTTCCAGGGGTCCTTGGACCACACTTTTGGAACCATTGCCTTAAGGATTTTTTTTGGTGGATGTGTCCCTGGCAGCACCTAGTACAGTGTTAGGGGATAGGCATAGAAAGAGTTCAAGAAATATGAAGATTAATTGAAGGACTTTTCTGATCCCTTTCAGGATTTACAGAAGGGGGAAACCCAACTGTGGATGGGCCCCTACCCAGCTTTTCATCTAATTCCACTATTTCAGAACAGGTATGAAATGAACTCTTGATGTCACTAAATTGTTACCAGGAAACTGCAGGAAAGAGCATGTCTTCTGAGAAGAAGACATTTGGAGTGAACCTTGAGAACAGAGACTGTATTTTACATCATTATGTGAACTGTCATTTGGTAATAGGGACAGAATACCCAGTTGTTGTTTTTTTTCAATGACTAAGACATTGCTCCAGTTAATGTTTCCTCAAAACTAGCAAGGAAATGTGTTTTCATTATTCTTCCTCTCACATAGATTTTATTTAAACTTTGTAATTTCCTCCAAATAGATCTGTAGAGGCTGATGATATTAAATCACATATAAGACAGCACAGTTTATAAAGGGACAGAGAAAGGACTCTGTGTGCCCTTGGGCAAGTCTTTCTAAGTTTCCATACAAATATATGTAAAAATGTAAAATACGGATAATAGCATGTGTCCTTCTTGCCTTCAAAGAAGGCATATATCCTTTCTTGCAAGAATCAAATAAAATAATATTTGTAAAAATGCTTTGGAAATTGTAAAGCACTCCACAAAGTAAGAGCAATAAGAGCACAATGGAAAGGGGGATTATTACTTATTTAGGAGAAAGAAAGAAATAATTCAGGAACCTAGCTAAGGCCAAATGAAAAAAAAATACAAAAAACAAGTTAACGGTATAATCCTTGTGTTTGATCAAAGGAAAAATAAAACTCATCTTAAAATTATTGGTGTAAATGTAGAGGCCTGTCTTGATAATGCAAATGGGTCTTTGTTTCTAGTACACAGAAATTAGAGTTAAGTAGGGACCATCCCATGCTGACCAGTGCCCTCCATTTCACAGGAAGCTGGCGTTCTCTGCAAGCCATGGTATGCTGGAGCCTGTGATCGAAAGTCTGCTGAAGAGGCATTGCACAGATCAAACAAGGTCTGATCATTTTTATTATTTATTATTTTTATTTTATTTTATTTTATTTATTTGTTTTGAGATGATGCAGTTTCACTGGAGTGCAGTGGCTCGATCTCAGCTCACTGCAACCTCTGCCTGCCTCCCAAGTTCAAGTGATTCTCATGCCTCAGCCTCCCAAGCAGCTGGGATTACATGTGTGTGCCCCCAAGCCCGGCTAATTTTTGTATTTTTAGTAGAGACGGGGTTTTACCATGTTGGCCAGGCTGCTCTCGAACTCCTGACCTCAGTTGATCTGCCTGGCGGCCTTGGCCTCCCAAAGTGCTGGGATTACAGACGTGAGCCACCGCGCCCGGCCAAGGTCTGATCATTTTTAAATCACACGTTTTGCCCTCAGCCTGTAATAGACACAGTTGTCGTCCTTATGATATGCTAATTAAATAATTGCAACAAGTGTAGATACAAGGATCTTTTTCCTTTACTTACTCAAGAGAAACTGCTATCCCCTCCTCTCTTTCAAGTTCCTCCATCTCATTTCTACTTGTCCTTTCATCTCCTCAAGGACCCACAGCCTCCACTGCCCTCCAAACAGTGGGAGACGAGAAAGCTCCAGGGGAGGTCTATGGAAGGCTTGGTGCTGCATGAGCTCCACTGAGGAGTGAACAGTGACAGGCTATTTTGGATCAATGTGCAGGATTAAAAATTTGAGTCAAGATGGCAAACAAACAAACAAACAAAAAATACCTGGAAGTAAATGTTTGGAGAGCCCAACTTCAATCATGTAGGAACACCAGGGACAGCTTGGACAATTCAAGATTAAAGTGACACTTTTTCTTTCTCTCTTCTCCTCCCATTTTCTTTTTCTTTGTTTTCTTGCACTCCACTTTGTCAGAATATATAGCATTTACATACTGTTCTTCCTCACCCTTGTTTTAGTCCTAGCTCTACAAGTAAATATATTAGTGTGTTCCGTCAGTCCTTTGGTGGACTTCCACCATTGTCTCTTTCCTTTGATGAAGTGTACCTGTAGTAGATTCTGAGGAAAAATCGTGTTTACATTATTCCCTGAGTTCCTTTATATTCAAAACTATTTTCTCAGCCAGGCGCAGTGGCTTATGCCTGTAATCCTAGCACTTTGGGGGGCCGAGGTGAGTGGATCACTTGAGGTCAGGAGTTTGAGACCAGCCTGGCCAAGATGGCAAAACCTCATCTCTACTGAAAATAAAAAAATTAGCCAGGCGTGATGGCGGGCGCCTATAATCCCAGCTCCTCCGGAGGCTGAAGCAGGAGAATCGGTTGGGCCTAGGAGGCGGAAGTTGCAGTGAGCCGAGATCATGCCACTGCTCTCCAGCCTGGGCAACAAGAGTGAGACTGCTGTGGGGGAATAAAAAGAGAAAGAGAGTTAAAAAACTGTTTTTTCATATCCTAGTAGTTGGAAGAAATCTTGGCTGGCTATAAAATCCTTAATTTGAGTTTGAAAAGTGTTGCTCCACTAGATTGTGTTGTTCTGTATGAAGCTCTTGAGAAGTCTGATACCAATGTGACTTTCTTGCCCTTCTATGTAATTTGATACTTTAGTCTGGTGGCTCTGCAGACTTTTTGTTTTTAAAGTCTAATCATTTTACCAGAATATATCTCTGAGTTGATAATTCCAAATCAATTTTCTCAAGTAGACAGAAGCCCTTTCAATACGTAGATTTAAGTTTTCTCTTATATCCAATAAGTTTTCTTAGATCATAGTCTTAAAGGGTTGTTCTGTTCCCTTATTTGTTTTTCTTCTGCAAGCACTCAATTTACATGCGTTTTGGATCTTTTTTGTCATTTTTTCTCCCATCACTGTCTTTGATTCTATGGTACTTATTTTATTAAATCCCATTTTCTCTCCTGGTTGTTTCCACACCTTCCTTCAAGTGTCATTTCTTAAATCTTCATTTGAAGCTCTCGTCCCTTGGACATCTTATAATTTGTTCTTTGTTGAGATAGGCTTGTCTTTTTCTTCAGTTTGTTTCCTGAGTTTGATCAACTCTTGTTGCATTTCATTCTGCTTTTTGTCCATCTTTTGTTCGTAATTTTTTATTTTATGATTCTAAATATTTTTATTAAAAAATTTAATAAAATTTGAATTACTGTCTTACAGTTTGGGGATTTTTTTTTCTTTTTCTTTTTCTTTCTTTTTTTTTTTGATGTTGTCTCGCTCTGTCACCCAGGCTGGAGTGCAGTGGCACGATCTTGGCTCACTGCAAACTCCGTCTCCTGGGTTCACGCCATTCTTCTGCCTCAGCCTCCCGAGTAGCTGGGACTACAGGTGCCCGCCACTATGCCCGGCTAGGGATTTTTTTTCTTATAAAAGTTCTTTGAGGAGAGAATTTTCATAATGAGGTCAGTCTGACCCAAGATTTTAGTCCAGGGGCAAATATAAAATGAAAGTTTTGATTCCCAACCTCTGTTTTCTTCTTATAGTACTTATGAATGGAATTTGTTTGATACATTTTTTTTCATAGACAACTGGTGGCTATGGTTCCCAGTTCAAGAGAGTCCTCTAGATTTGATCTTAATGTGTCCCTTCACATATTTCTAAATTTTATAAACATAAAACCTTATTTAGCACATTAAAAAGCTAGCATTTAGCTGGGCATGGTGGTGCATGCCAGTAGTCCCAGGTACTCAGGAGGCTGAGGTGGGAGGATCGCTTGAACTCAGGAGTTCCAGGCTGTAGTGGACTGTGATTGCACCACTGCACACCAGCCTGGGCAACAAAGTGAGACTGTTTCTAAAAATAATTAATTAATTATTACCTTTTTTTCAAAAAAGGCAAGCATTGATCTCACTCAGGATTTTCTATGAGTATATATTTTCCTGGACTATTTTCTTAGAAAATAAGAAGACAAGCGCTAATCAATAATAAAAATAATGTAGCTAAATAATTTACCTTTGGAATGTAATATAGGTGTTCTTCACAAAATGATTTTTTGAACCTGTAGAAATATAAGTAATACTAACCATAATTATGTTTTTTAAAAAAAATTAAACAGGATGGATCATTTCTTATTCGGAAAAGCTCTGGCCATGATTCCAAACAACCATATACACTAGTTGTATTCTTTAATAAGCGAGTATATAATATTCCTGTGCGATTTATTGAAGCAACAAAACAATATGCCTTGGGCAGAAAGAAAAATGGTGAAGAGGTCAGTGATTTCTTTTTAAATTCAATTCTATAACTATGCATTGAGTATAATGACATCAAATACTGTATTAGATGCTAGAGATGAGGAGAAAGGATACAAAAGTACTTGTTCTAATGCTTGCATAAATGTCATAGAGAACAAGATAAAATACTATATTTAGGCAGTATATCCTATAAGAACACAGAAAAGGAAAAAGTCATGTGATGTACATGCTAGTCCTTTCATTCAGTTATTTAATGAGGTCAGTCTGACCCAAGATTTTAGTCCAGGGGCAAATATAAATCAAGGTTGAAATGTCAAGTTGAATTAAGGTTGTAAGAATTAGGGTCAAGTTCCAGACCTCCAAAGTCAAGACCTAAAATCTCAACTCAAGTACCAAGGTAGGTTACCAGGGAAGGATCCAGAAGAGATGCAGAAACTTGAGTTAAAACATTAGACTATAGCCCTTGTACCAGAATGAGCTTATGGGCCTGGAGCAAGAAAAAAAAATCACATGGGTCTTAAATATTAATCAAACATTAACTTTAATGCCTCTTTAATCTGGACCAAACTCAGTGCTTACCATATCTCAGTTTAGCCAGCCTGCTCCTATAAATGAACCCTGAAATATGAGCTGGAGTAACCCATGAATGGTCTAGAAATGCAGTGATACTTATTCTGGTTTTGAATTACGGGTTGAATTTAAATGGGTAGAATGTAAGTTGGAGGGATGGAGAAGGAGAAAAATGGGAAGAACAATCTATGCAGAGAAAATAGCATAAACAAAATTCAAGGTAAGAAATATTTACTTTCAAGATTCCTTCAGAAAAAGGTACACCATTCCAAACCCAGCACCTGCTAGAAAATATTTGAATTGTTGGAAAATGTCATGATTGCTGAAGTGTCTGTCTTCCCCACTACATGAAGCCAAGGACAATGTCTTTTCATCTCTGTATTTCCAGAATCAGAGCACAGTAACTGGCTTCAGTGTACACTTGATAAATAATTATTAAGCAACTGAATTGATTTGGTTGAGTGATTACAGGCAGGAGAATAGCATTTGCAAAACAAACTGAAAAAGTCATGTGTATTCTTTATTTTGCCTTTTAGACAACTGTGGTTAAAAAACCACATATAAAATTTACCATCTTAATCATTTTAAGTGTACAGCTCAGTAATAAGTATATTTACATTGTTGTGAAACAGATCTCCAGAACTTGTTCATCTTATAGAACTAAAACCCTATACCCACTGAACAACAGTTTCCCTTTTCCCCCTCCCTTCAGCCCCTAGCAACCACGTTCTATTTTTATGAATTTGAATATTTTAGATACCTCATACAAGTGGAATCACACAGTATTTGTCCTTTAGGACCAGCTTATTTAACTTAGCATGATGTCCTTGAGACTCATCCATGTTGTAGCATGTGTTAGGATTTCCTTCCTTTTTAAGGCTGCATAGTATCTCATTGTATCTATATACCACATTTTGTGTGTCTAACATCCATCAGTGGACATTTGTGTTGCTTCTACCTCTTGGCTATTGTGAATAGTGCTGCTATAAACACGGGTGTGCAAATCTCTCCAGGACACTGCTTTCAATTATTTGGGGGTATATACCCAGAAGTGGGATTGCTGGATGATATGGGTATTCTATTTTTAATTTTTTGAGAACCTCCCATACTTTTTTCCATAGCAGTTGCACCATTTTACAGTTCCACCAACAGCACACGAGGGTTTAACTTCTTCACATCCCCACCAGCACTTGTTATATTCTGAATTGTGTTGTTGTTTTATAGTAGCCGTCCAAATGGGTGTAAGGTGATAGACAGCTCATTGTGGTTTTAATTTGCATTTCTCTGGCCGGGCGCGGTGGCTCACGCCTGTAATCCCAGCACTTTGGGAGGCCGAGACGGGCGGATCACGAGGTCAGGAGATCGAGACCATCCTGGCTAACACGGTGAAACCCCGTCTCTACTAAAAATACAAAAATTAGCCGGGCATGGTGGCGCGTGCCTGTAGTCCCAGCTACACAGGAGGCTGAGGCAGGAGAATGGCGTGAACCCGGGAGGCGGAGCTTGCAGTGAGTCGAGATCGCGCCACTGCACTCCAGCCTGGGCGACAGAGCGAGACTCCGTCTCAAAAAAAAAAAAAAAAAAAATTTGCATTTCTCTGATGATTAGTGATGTTGAACATTTTTCATATGCTTTTTTGGCTACTTGTAAGTCATTTTCAGAGAAATGTCTATTCCATTTTATAATCAGGTTATTTGATTTTTGTTGTTGCTGAGTTTTAGGAGTTCTTTATGTTTCTGGATATTAACCCCTTATCAGATAAATGATTTGCAAATATTTTTCCCACTCCATAGGTTACCTTTCCACTCTGTTGATTGTGTTATTTGCTGAGCAAAAGCTTTTAAGCTTGATATTGTCTTCTCTATTTTTGCTTTTTTTGCCTATGCTTTTAATGTCATATCCAAAAAATCATTGCCAAATCCAGTGTCATGGTGTTTCCCCCCTACATTTTCTTCTAGAATTTTTATATTGGGGAATTTTATTTTGCTTTTAACAAAGTCTCAGATAATTTTAAAATGCAAAACTCTTGAATCTAAGGGCACTAATCAAGACCAATCTTTGGTTTTAAAATGTAGACCGCATTATCATTTAACATCCTAAAGCTTCTCCAGCAGTCTAGCTTTTCTATAAGAGGCTTAAGGGTGGGTGAAGAAGCTGTCCTATTTCGAGGTCCTGAAATTCTCTCACAAATTTTGAACTCCCTGAGGGGCTCTGGATTTCGTTGTCCTGCTAGGAAACTCTGGTAAACAGGAATTCCTCTTGGCCTGATGAATCTTCATCTCCACTTTAGAATGAATAGACTAGAGCTTCACCTCACTTCCAACATATTCAGCCTATGGATTCCAAAATAAGTAATATATTACTATAATAGCATCTGGAGGTACTGACAGTCAATTAAAACTCTTACTTAAAGTATCTATAATAAAAAGATTATGTCCCCTATACACTGAACATCTGAATGGAAAATTAAAGTGTTGGTTACATGATGTCAATCATGTGGAGTTTTTCTGAAAGTCTGTGTGTATTTGTGTGTACATGGCTAGAAAAAGTAACCAATTCATTAACTATTTAACTGTTTATGCAGCTATTTTGGCACTGTGTGATACAACATTGAGTAATTTTACAGTTTTGACAACTGTCTGCTTTATCTTAGTGGCCAATACGTTGTTTTTCTGTCCACAAATACACTGAATGTATCTGTCTCAAATACACTGAATTAATAAAAACAGAAAAAAAGGAGAGTGAGGGGAAGCTGTAACTATGTTATGCCCAATTCTTTTTTAAATTAAATCACAAATATTCTTCAACTTCATTCCCTACTTCAAATGTTTCAACTCAGCTCAACTCCCTACTGCACACACTTCAATCCCCGAACACCACAACAAGGCAATACTCACAAATATTCAGGGACTAGAGGGACGGAATGAGATATTTGTTTGTATAAGTACAGCAATCCTCTCCTATGCTTCCTAGGTTCAGGACACACTTTTTCCCTTGTAATCCACTTCAAAGAGATTGTGCTATTTCGTTTTCTGGCCCTTGAGTCCATAACTTTAACTTTCAACTGCATTTGGTTTAGCAACATATTATGCCAAACAAGCAGAATGAATGTTTAATGGGATTTATAATGAAAGAATTTCTTTGGCAATTGCAAGATGGCTGAATGATTGAATAGGAAGTAAAGAATAAAGACTAAAGGTATTTGAAAGTCCCTGTCTCTTACCTCTCTCCCTGACTGAATATTCAGCTAGCCAATTATCTAAAAGACAACTGGTATTTCATTTGGAAATGTTGGCCAATATTCTGAATATTTTACTTTATTCAATATGTAGCTACTTGGAAGTCATCCAAACAATTAATAAACACTTAAAAATTTTACTGTGGATGTTTGTCTTTATCTAAAAAATCGAGAAAATAAAATCAATTGATAGTAACTGCTAAACTCATGGCACTGTTGTAAAACAATCACCACTTTTAAAAAGTGATTCTAAATACATTTAATGAGTGTGAACTTGTAGCACTTTTGTATACTCAATGAATTTAATTTCATGATCTGTGTTACATTTGTTTTTATCTTTCCTTCAAAACTTTAATTATTTTTCAGAACAAAATTTGTGATAATTTTAAATTAAAACCCATAGACAACAAGGATCAAAATTTGGAAAAATAAGTATGTATGGAGAGAGCCTAGCATGAAATTTCATTATTAATTAGGCACTAAGTTAACTCTAAGCTTACCAGGAACCAAGTAAAAATGGAAATATGAAGGTTTATAAAGCTTTCTTTATTTGTTTAAAAAAGAAAACAAAACATAATTTTGTTTAGGAGATGACTATTTCCTTGTACTAAATTTCTAAGGTTAATTTATTACATCAATTCTTGTATCTGAGACTTGTGCAAAGTAAGAGATGATCTATGTTTTGTAAAGAATGTAGAAAAATGCGTTGTATGATAGTTTTACATTTAACGGTAAATAAAAAGCAATATACTATAATATTTTATCATAACTCAGTGAAGTAATCTCTCTAAGTAGCTATGCTAATTGAGGCTGTCAGTGTGTTTTTCTTCGTACTTAATACAGCAAAGTCCAAGGTCTGCCACCTTGAAGGTTACAGCCTTTGTTAAACTAGATTTTTTTGTGCAGAATGTCAGCTGGGGTGTAATAACTTTTACT
Source organism: Homo sapiens (assembly GCF_000001405.40). Taxonomy (NCBI): domain Eukaryota; kingdom Metazoa; phylum Chordata; class Mammalia; order Primates; family Hominidae; genus Homo; species Homo sapiens. Next base: position 96,192,180 of record NC_000010.11, on the reverse strand, counting down.
AACTTGAGAATGAGAGAAGATGGGAGGAGTGGAGCTCAAATTTAACACAAATGCCAAAGTATAATTCATCTATGTTTTCTTCCTCTAGTACTTTGGAAGTGTTGCTGAAATCATCAGGAATCATCAACATAGTCCTTTGGTTCTTATTGACAGTCAGAATAACACAAAAGATTCCACCAGACTGAAGTATGCAGTTAAAGTTTCATAAAGGGGGAAAAAAAAGATCAATACCATTGCTTCAGACACTTTCCCAAAGTTTCTCCTTTTGAGAAAAAGTCCCAAAACTTCATATTTTGGATTATGAATCATCCAGTAATAAAATGGAAGATGGAGTCAGCTATTGAAGTGGTCATCCATTTCTTTTTAAGAAGCTCATGTGGACTTGTTCTATTGCCTGACCTGATGAACTGTTAATATCTGGTGAGGTTGAGTTATCATGCTACTAATATTTTCCAAATAAATATTTTTATTTTTAAAAATAAGTGTAAAGTATATTATCAAAATAAGAAAATAATGCTCTTGCATAAAACAAAGTGGCTGGAAATTTAAACCTCCACAATGATCATTGGTACACTAATGTAGCTGGGCTCTCCACTGCCAATGCTTGACAATTAAGTCTTGGTTAAAATTTTAATTTGTAGAAAATAAGGTATTAAAGGTAATGTATGATATCTGTAAGTATAGGCAAGAAGGATGTAATGGTTCCTTTTTGTGAGCACTCTCAACCATGGGATATATATATATATGGATATGAACTTTCTATAAGTTCTTGTCTAGGATTATGCTGTTAGTTTTGCTTACTAAAGATAATTATACCCTCTTTGATCTACATGTCTATCAAATAGAACCTAAACTTGATATGAGGTTTGTATTAGTCCATTATCACGCTGCTAATAAAGACATACTCAAGACTGGGTGATTTACATAAAAAAAAAAAAAAAAAAAGAGGTTTAATGGACTCACAGTTCCACATGGTTGGGGAGGCCTCACAATCATGGCAGAAGGCAAAGAAGAAGCAAAGGCATGTTTTACATGGTGGCAGGCAAGAGAGCATGTGCAGGGGAACTGCCCTTTATAAAACCATCAGATCTCATGAGACTTACTCACTATCACAACAACATGGGAAAACCTGCCCGCGTGATTCAGTTACCTCCCACCAGGTCCCTCCCATGGCACGTGGGGATTATGGGAGCTACAATTCAAGATGAGATTTGGGTGAGGACACAGCCAAACCATATCAAGTTTCAAAGTGGAATGACAGCAAAGCTAGACTAAAAGCCAGTTCCTAGAGAAATATCCCACAAAACAAGAGCAGAAAAGCAGACATTGGTGAACACCAAGGAATAAAAGAGATACCATCGTGGAGAATCAGGTCCAAGGTCTTAGATCATCCCAGAAATGTATCATACTTTGTCATATATTTCTACTGTGTACTTCAGACAGCAGTGAAGTGATAAAGCAGCTAATTAAGTCTAATAATTAAATGGGGAACACACTTGGCCACTGCATAAGATAGCAATCTATGAAAGTATGTTGAAAGGCCAGAAGGTAATAATTTCAGGGTAACTCATGACTCACTTCTAAAGATAATTGTATATTTAAATGTCATAAACTTTCATAATTGCCACCTATGTTACAGATTGAACTGTGGTCCCCTCAAAAAGATATGTTGAAGTCCTAATCCATAAGGCCACATATCTCAGAATGTGACCTTATTTGGGAATGAGGTCTTTACAGATATAGTCAAGGTAAGATGAGGTCAGTAGGGTGGGCCTTAATACAATGGCTGGTGTCCTTATAAAATTAGGAAATTTGGATGCAGGCACAGAGAGAAGACTATATGAAGAGACACACAGGAACAATACTACTGGCGTGATTCCATCCTGTATGGCTGTTCTCTTGAGCAGTGGTCGTTTATCTCCGTCTGCTTTCTCTCCCACCTAAGTGTGTGCCGCCACCTGATGGAAGATTCGATGGACATGGACGTGAGCCCCCTGAGGCCCAGAACTATCTTTTCAGTTGTGAACTAAAGGCCGACAAAGATGATCACTTTAAGGTGGATAATGATGAAAATGAGCACCAGTTATCCTTAAGAACGGTCAGTTTAGGGGCTGGTGCAAAGGATGAACTGCACATTGTTGAAGCAGAGGCAATGAATTATGAAGGCAGTCCAATTAAATAACACTGGCACCTTTGAAAATGTCTGTACAGCCAACAGTTTCCCTTGGGGTCTTTGAAATAACACCACCAGTGCTTTTATGGTTGAAGTGTGGTTCAGGGCCAGTGCATATTAGTGGACAGCATTTAGTAGCTGTGGAGGAAGATGCAGAGTCAGAAGATGAAGAGGAGGAGGATGTGAAACTCTTAAGGATATCTGGAAAGTGATCTGTCCCTGGAGGTGGTAGCAAGATTCCAGAGAATAAAAGTAAAACTTGCTGCTGATGAAGATGATGATGATGATGATGATGATGATGATGATGATTTTGATGATGAGGAAACTGAAGAAAAAGCACCATTGAAGAAATCTACATACTCCAGCCAAAAATGCACAAAAGTCAAATCAGAATAGAAAACACTCAAACCCATCATCAACACCAAGATTAAAAGGACAAGAATCCTTCAAAAAACAGGAAAAAACTCGTAAAACACCAAAAGGGCCTAGTTCTGTAGAAGACATTAAATCAAAAATGCAAGCAAGTATAGAAAAAGGTGGTTCTCTTCCCAAAGTGGAAGCCAAGTTCATCAATTATGTGAAGAATTGCTTCCGGACAACTGACCAGGAGACTATTCAAGATCCTGGCAGTGGAGGAAGTCTCTTTAGAAAATAGTTTAAACAATTTGTTAACATTTTTCCATCTTATTTCATTTCTCTAACAGTCAATATCTGGCTGTCCTTTCTATAATGCAGAGTGAGAACTTTCCCTACTGTGTTTAATAAATGTTGTCCAGGTTCCATTGCCAAGAATGTGTTGTCCAAAATGCCTGTTTCATTATTAAAGATGGAACTTCACCCTTTGCTTGGTTTTAAATATGTATGGAATGTTATGATAGGACATAGTAGTAGCAGTGGTCAGAACATGGAAATGGTGGGGAGACAAAAATATACATGTGAACTAAAACTTGGCATTTTAATAAAGTAGCATGGTTTCTATTGAAAAAAAAGATTACGACATGAAGATGAGGGACTGGAGTGATGCATCTGTAGGCCTGGGAGCACCAAAGATTGCCTGCAAACCATCAGAAGCTAGGAAGAGGCAAGAACAGACTTCCCTCCGGGTTTTAGAGGGAGCATGGCCCTGGTGGCACCTTGATTTTGGACTTTGAGTGTCCAGTACTTGAAGACAATAAATTTCTGGCTTTTTAAGCCACCCAGTTTATTATGGCGGCCATAGAAACCTAATAAAATTTATATGCATTTTTTACATTCAGGTATATAGGGGTTTGGGAAATTTTGTATGGAAAGGTTTTTTTTCTCCTTTTAGGAAAACCATTGAATCATTTTGAATGTACTAGAAAGGATGACTCACAATTTAAACTGGGAAACTGGGGTAATTTTTTGGTAAAGCAAAGCATCTGTTTGTAGTATGTGGCATCAGCTCTCTAGCTTCAGTTTTCCTCAGTGTTACACGGAATTATTTTCTATTTAAGTAAATCCTCATTAATTCCCACTGCTACCACAGCAACCCTGGCTCTATAACAACCTCTTATGCCTCATTCTTCCTCTCCTCCTCCAAGTGTCCTACTCCAGCTAGGTAATAGCATAGCTGTTAAGATTATACTAATCCTCAGTTGGTTGACATACAGTACTGCGTGGTGGATTTCTTGGAGCAGAGGCTGGGAGAATTTCTGAGAGATAGGCCATTCTCTGCTAAGGGCTCTACTCCTCCCCAAAGCTGGGAGAACTACCCAATCCAACATGCCAGTCTTTTCCCTCATCTTGCAGAAGAGTCCACTGAGGGTGATCCCACCTGCTTCTCTAAAGCCCACCTCTGCAAGTGGTATTCTTGATGAGATTAGAAAAGTCTTTAAGAGGCTGGGCATGGTGGCTTACACCTATAATCACAGTAGTTTGGCAGGCCGAAGCAGGTGGATCACTTGAGGCCAGGAGTTCAAGACCAACCTGGTCAACACAGGGAAACCCCATCTCTACTAAAACTAGAAAAAATTAACTGGGCATGGTGGCACTCGCCTGTAATTTCAGCTACTACTCAGGAGGCTGAGGCATGAGAATCACTTGAACCTGGGAGGCGGAGGTTGTAGTGAGCCAAGATCATGCCACTGCACTCTGGCCTGGGCCACAGAGTGAGACTCTGTCTCAAAATAAACAAATAAGAAATTTCAAACACCTGTCTGTGATCTCAATGTCTCAATGGCTGACAAACAAATGGTTTTGCATAAAGAAATTTTCAGGCAAGCTAGGTGGTGGAATAGGAGACACTAGTCAAGAAGTACATGTGTAGCAGCTGAAGAAGGAAAAAAACCACACCCCAGTTCTTGTCTTCTGTTGAAAAGTAGATTGCAGCTATGGTAGTAGGAAAGATTTTCAAGTTTGTTCAAAAGGACAATAGACATGAAAAAGCTACGCCTGTGTCCAGCACAAGCCTGATTGTGTGTTATCATAAGTTAGCCAGGGCAATGGTTTGGAGACCTTGCACTCTGGGAGCTAAACTACTCTTACTGTAGTAGCTGGGATAGTCTTGCCTAAAAGAAAGTCCCAGAGAACAGAATTCAGCGATGTGAGGCAAAACCAGCACTACCTGAGACATGTTCTTAAAAAAGGACTGAATTCCTCTCCTTCAAAATGGTCTTAAGACACCATATAACTCAGCCTCTATTTCTAGGTAAGGGTAAACAATATTTTTCCAGTAATGATTCAAGAGCTAAAGTAAGCTAGTGGTGCCTGATAAACATTACCTCCTAGTCCCCTAACCAAAATCTTCTTTGCAGACATAAAAAGTGATCTGTGGATAACTCTTTAAATGAACCCATCTATAAATATTTTAGAACACTTAGTAATTATAATTGTGTATTAGGAAAATCTCAAATATTTTCTCTACATCTGTGGTTCTTAATCTTTTAGTAGTTACAAAATTCTTTGAGAATCTGATGAGAACTGTGGGTCTTTGGCCTGAGGAAAAATTCATTTATGTATATACACAGAAACTCACATCAAATATCATGAGATTCCTGGGCCTCTGTGGCCTATCCATGGACAAAATAGCCAAACATCCAAGACTAAGGACTCAACATTTTTCTTAACCTTTGATGCATCAAGATGGACATATTATTCTACTAAATATGTGAATGACCCTAAAAGTAACTCCTCCATTAGACGAGAAGGATATTGCTATGGTTTAGCGCAAGTTATTTGGTGTAAGTTGCAATAATTCTAATCCCAGCTTTACCAATAACAGATTGTGTGAACTTGGGAAAGTTATTTGTTTTGGTTTCTCTATTTGTAAAATGAAGATAATAATGCAACCTAGGCCAGGCGCAGTGGCTCACACCTGTAATCCCAGCACTTTGGGAGGCCAAGGCAGGCGAATCATGAGGTCAAGAGATCAAGACCATCTTGGCCAACATGGTGAAACCCCGTCTCTACTACAAATACAAAAATTAGCTGGGCATGGTGGTACATACCTGTAGTCCCAGCTACTCAGGAGGCTGAGGCAGAAGAATCAGTTGAACCCAGGAGGCGAAGGTTGCAGTGAGCCAAGATCGTGCCACTGCACTCCAGTCTGATGACAGAGAGAGACTCCGTCAAAAAAAAAAGCAACCTACTTTATGTTATTGTTCCATGAGCATATTAAAAATTGTAAAAGCTGGTTCATTCCAAGATGGCTGAATAGTAACAGCTCCGGTCTGCAGCTCCCAGTGTGATCGATGCAGAAGACAGGTGATTTCTGCATTTCCAATTGAGGTACCTGGTTCATCTCACTGCGACTGGTTGGAGTGCAGCCCATGGAGGGCGAGCCAAAGCAGGGTGGGGCATTGCCTCACCCAGGAAGTACAAGGGGTCAGGGGATTTCCCTTTCCTAGCCAAGGGAAGCTGTGACAGACTGTACCAGGAAAATCGGGACACTGCCATCCAAATAGTGCACTTTTCCAATGGTCTTAGCAAATGGAACACCAGGAGATTATATCCGGCGCCTGGCTCAGCAGGTCCCACGCCCACGAAGCCTTGCTCACTGCTAGTGCAGCAGTCTGAGATTGAACTGCAAGGCAGCAGCCTGGCTGGGGGAGAGGCGTCTGCCATTGCTGAGGCTTGAATAGGTAAATGAAGCAGCCTGGAAGCTCGAACTGGGTGGAGCCCACTGCAGCTCAAGGAGGCCTGCCTGCCTCTGTAGACTCCACCCCTGGGGGCAGGGCATAGCTGAACAAAAGGCAGCAGAAACTTCTGCAGACTTAAATGTCCTCCCCTGTGTAGCCTAACTGGGAGACACCTCCCAGTAGGGGCCGACTGACACCTCATACAGCCGGGTGCCCATCTGAGACGAAGCTTCCAGAGGAAGGATCAGGCAGCAATATTTGCTGTTCTGCAGCCTCTGCTGGTGATACCCAGGCAAAGAGGGTCTGGAGTGGACCTCCAGCAAACTCCAGCAGACCAGCAGCTGAGGGGACTGACTGTTCAAGGAAAATAACAAACAGAAAGGAATAGCATCAGCATCAACAAAAAGAACATCCACACCAAAACCCCATCTGTAGGTCACCATCATCAAAGAGCAAAGGTAGGTAAAACCACAAAGATGGGGAGAAACCAGAGCAGAAAAGCTGAAAATTTTGAAAGCCAGAGTGCCTCTTCTCCTCCAAAGGATTGCAGCTCCTCTCCTCGCCAGCAACGGAACAAAGCTGGACGGAGAATGACTTTGATGAACTGACAGAAGTAGGCTTCAGAAGGTCAGTAATAAAAACTTCTCCGAGCTAAAGGAGGATGTTCAAACCCATCACAAGGAAGCTAAAAACCTTGAAAAAAGATTAGACGAATGGCTAACTAGAATAAACAGTGTAGAGAAGACCTTAAATGACCTGATGGAGCTGAAAACCATGGCACGAGAACTACGTGATGCATGAACAGCCTTCAGCAGCTGATTCGATCAAGGGAAGAAAGGGTATCAGTGATTGAAGATGAAATTAATGAAACGAAGTGTGAAGAGAAGTTTAGAGAAAAAAGAGTAAAAAGAAATGAACAAAGCCTCTAAGAAATATGGGACTATGTGAAAAGACCAAATCTACGTTTGATTGGTGTACCTGAAAGTGACAGGGAGAATGGAACCTAGCTGGAAGACACTCTTCAGGATATTATCCAGGAGAACTTCCCCAACCTAGCAAGGCAGGCCAACATTCAAATTCAGGAAATACACAGAATGCCACAAAGATACTCCTCAAGAAGAGCAACCCCAAGACACATAATTGTCAGATTCACCAAGGTTGAAATGAAGGAAAAAATGTTAAGGGCAGCCAGAGAGAAAGGTCGGGTTACCCACAAAGGGATGCCCATCAGACTAACAGCAGATCTCTCAGCAGAAACTCTACAAGCCAGAAGAGAGTGGGGGTCGATATTCAACATTCTTAAAGAAAAGAATTTTCAACCCAGAATTTCATATCCAGCCAAACTAAGCTTCATAAGTGAAGGAGAAATAAAATCCTTTACAGACAAGCAAATGCTGAGAGATTTTGTCACCACCAGCCCTGCCTTACAAGAGCTCCTGAAGGAAGCACTAAACATGGAAAGGAACAACCAATACCAGCCACTGCAAAAACATGCTAAATTGTAAAGACCATAGATGCTAGGAAGAAACTGCATCAATTAACGGGCAAAATAACCAGCTAACATCATAATGACAGGATCAAATTCACATGTAACAATATTAACCTTAAATGTAAATGGGCTAAATGCCCCAATTAAAAGACACAGACTGGCAAATTGGATAAAGAGTCAAGACCCATGAGTGTGCTGTATTCAGGAGACCCATCTCACGTGCAGAGACACACATAGGCTCAAAATAAAGGGATGGAGGAAGACCTACCAAGCAAATGGAAAGCAAAAAATGCAATCCTAGTCTGATAAAACAGACTTTAAACCAACAAAGATCAAAAGAGACAAAAAAGGCCATTAAATAATGGTAAAGGGACGAATTCAACAAGAAGAGCTAACTATCCTAAATCTATATGCACCCAATACGGGAGCACCCAGATTCATAAAGCAAGTCCTTAAAGACCTACAAAGAGATTTAGATACCCAACAATAATAATGGGAGAATTTAACACCCCATTGTCAATATTAGACAGATCAACGAGACAGAAGGTTAACAATGATATCCAGGACTTGAACTCAGCTCTGCACCAAGCAGACCTAATAGACATCTACAGAACTCTCCACCCCAAATCAACAGAATATACATTATTCTCATCACCACATTGCACTTATTCCAAAATTGACCACATAGTTGGAAGTAAAGCACTCCTCAGCAAATGCAGAAGAACAGAAATCACAACAAACTGTCTCTCAGACCACAGTGCAATCAAATTAGAACTCAGGATTAAGAAACTCACTCAAAACCGCTCAACTACATGGAAACTGAACAACCTGCTCCTGAATGACCACTGGGTAAATAACAAAATGAAGGCAGAAATAAAGATGTTCTTTGAAATGAATGAGAACAAAGACACAAAGTACCAGAATCTCTGTGACACATTTAAAGCAGTGCGTAGAGGGAAATTTATAGCACTAAATGCCCACAAGAGAAAGCAGGAAAGATCTAAAATTGACACCCTAACATCACAATTAAAAGAGCTAGAGAAGCAAGGGCAAACACATTCAAAAGCTAGCAGAAGGCAAGAAATAACTAAGATCAGAGCAGAACTGAAGGAGTTAAAGACACAAAAAAACCTTCAAAGAATCAATGAATCCAGCTGTTTTTTTGAAAAGATCAACAAAATTGATAGAACACTAGCAAGACTAATAAAGAACAGAGAAGAATCAAACAGATGCAATAAAAAATGATAAAGGGGATATCACCACCGATCCCACAGAAACACAAAGTACCATCAGAGAATACTATAAACACCTCTACACAAATAAACTAGAAAATCTAGAAGAAATGGATAAATTCCTGGACACATATACCCTCCCAAGACTAAACCAGGAAGAAGTGAATCCCTGAATAGACAAATAACAGGCTCTGAAATTGAGGCAATAATTAATAGCCTACCAACCAAAAGAAGTCCAGGACCAGACAGATTCACAGCCAAATTCTACTAGAGGTACAAAGAGGAGGTGGTACCATTCCTTCTGAAACTATTACAATCAATAGAAAAAGAGGGAATCCTCCCTAACACTTTTTATAAGGCCAGCATCATCCTGATACCAAAGCCTGGCAGAGACACAACAAAAACAATTTTAGAGCAATAGCCTTGATGAATATCGATGCAAAAATCCTCAATAAAATACTGGCAAACCGAATCCAGCAGCACATCAAAAAGCTTATCCACCATGATCAAGTTGGCTTCATACGTGGGATGCAAGGCTGGTTCAACATATGCAAATCAGCAAACATAATCCATCACATAAACAGAAGACAAAAATCACACGATTACCTCAATAGATGCAGAAAAGGCCTGCAACAAAATTCAACAGCCTTCATGCTAAAAACTCTCAATAAACTAGGTATTGATGGAACATATCTCAAAATAATAAGAGCTATTTATGACAAACCCACAGCCACCATCATACTGAATGGGCAAAAACTGGAAGCATTCCCTTTGAAAACTGGCACAAGACAGGGATGCCCTCTTTCTCACCACTCCTATTCAACATAGTGTTGGAAGTTCTGGCCAGGGCAATCAGGCAAGGCAAAGAAATAAAGGGTATTCAATTAGGAAATGAGGAAGTCTAACTGTCCCTGTTTGCAGATGACATTATTGTATATCTAGAAAACCCCGTTGTATCAGCCCCAAATCTCCTTAAGCTGAGAAGCAACTTCAGCAATGTCTCAGGATACAAAATCAATGTGCAAAAATCACAAGCATTCCTATACACCAATAACAGACAGGCAAATCATGAGTGAACTCCCATTCACAATTGCTTCAAAGAGAAGAAAATACCTAGGAATCCAACTTACAAGGGATGTGAAGGACCTCTTCAAGGAGAACTACAAACCACTGCTCAATGAAATAAAAGAGGACACAAACAAATGGAAGAACATTCCATGCTCACAGAGAGGAAGAATCAATATCATGAAAATGGCCATACTACCCAAGGTAATTTATAGATTCAATGCCATCCCCATCAAGCTACCAATGACTTTCTTCACAGAACTGGAAAAATTATTTTAGAGTTCATATGGAACCAAAAAAGAGCCCGCATTGCCAAGACAATCCTAATCAAAAAGAACAAAGCTGGAGGCATCACGCTACCTGACTTCAAACTATACTACAAGGCTACAGTAACCAAAACAGAATGGTACTGGTACCAAAACAGATAGACCAATGGAACAGAACAGAGGCCTCAGAAATAACACCACACATCTACAACCATGTGATCTTTGACACACCTGACAAAAACAAGAAATGGGGAAAGGATTCCCTAATTAATGGTGCTGGGAAAACTGGCGAGCCATATATAGAAAGCTGAAACTGGATCCCTTCCTTACACCTTAGACAAAAATTAATTCAAGATGGATTAAAGACTTACATGTTAGACCTAAAACCATAAAAACCCTAGAAGAAAACCTAGGCAATACCATTCAGGACATAGGCATGGGCAAGGACTTCATGACTAAAACACCAAAAGCAATGGCAACAAAAGCCAAAATTGACAAATGGGATCTAATTAAACTAAAGAGCTTCTGCACAGCAAAAGAAACTACCATCAGAGTGAACAGGCAACCTACAGAATGGGAGAAAACTTTTGCAATCTATCCATCTGACAAAGGGCTAATATCCAGAGTCTACAAAGAACTTAAACAAATTTACAAGAAAAAATCAAACAACCCCATCAAAAAGTGGGTGAAGGACATGAATAGACACTTTTCAAAAGAAGACTTTTATGCAGCCAACAGACACATGAAAAAGTGCTCATCATCACTGGCCATCAGAGAAATGCAAATCAAAACCACAATGAGATACCATCTTACACCAGTTAGAATGGCAATCATTAAAAAGTCAGGAAACAACAGGTGCTGGAGAGGATGTGGAGAAATAGGAACACTTTTACACTGTTGGTGGGAGTGTAAACTAGTTCAACCATTGTGGAAGACAGTGTGGCAATTCCTCAAGGATCTAGAACTAGAAATACCATTTGTCCCAGCCATCACATTACTGGGTATATACCCAAAGAATTATAAATCATGCTGCTATAAAGACACATGCACATGTACGTTTATTGCGGCACTATTCACAATAGCAAAGACATGGAACCAACCCAAATGTCCATCAGTGATAGACTGGATTAAGAAAATGTGGCACATATACACCATGGAATACTATGCAGCCATAAAAAAGGATGAGTTCATGTCCTTTGTAGGGACATGGATGAAGATGGAAACCATCATTCTGAGCAAACTATCGCAAGGACAGAAAACCTAACACCGCATGTTCTCACTCATAGGTGGGAAGTGAACAATGAGAACACTTGGACACAGGCAGGGAACATCACACACTGGGGCCTATTGTGGGGTGGGGGGAGGAGGGAGGGATAGCATTAGGAGAAATACCTAATGTAAATTACGAGTTAATGGGTGCAGCAAACCAACATGGCACATGTATACATATGTAACAAACCTGCACGTTGTGCACATGTACCCTAGAACTTAAAGTATATATAAAAAAAAAAGATGAAAAAATTGTGAAAGCTCAAGGCTGGGTACAGTGGCTCACACCTGTAATTATAGCACTTTGGGAGGCTAAGGCAGAGGATCACTTGAATTCAGGAATTTGAGACCAGGCTTAGCAACATAGCAACACTTCATCTCTATTAAAAAAAAAAAAAAAAAAAAAAAAGAGGCTGGAGCTGTGGTTCATGCCTGTAACCCCAGCATTTTGGGAGGCCAAGACAGGCAGATCACCTGAGGTCAGGAGTTTGAGATCAACCTGGCCAACAGGGTGAAACCCTCTCTCTACTAAAAATACCAAAAATCAGCCAGGCGTGATGGCAGTTGCCTGTAATCCCAGGTACTCAGGAGGCCAAATAAGGAGAATCGCTTGAACCCAGGAGGCAGAGGTTGCAGTGAGCCGAGGTTGTGCCACTGCACTCCAGCCTGAGCTAGAGAGCGAGACTCCATGTCAAAAAAAAAAAATGAAAGAAAGAAAGAAGAAGAAAAAAAGAAGAAAAGAAGAAGGATGAGGAGGAGGAGAAGGAGAAAGAGAAGGAGGAGAGGAGGAGGAGGAGGAGGAAGAAGAAAAGGAAGAAGAAGAAGAAGAAGAAGAATTGTAAAAGATTCAAAAGTGTTATTTTTTCATTCAACCAGTGAACATTTATTGAGCCTGCTGTATGTCTGTCAGTATGTATGTTAGGGTTTTGTGTGGAAGTTTCTGTGTTTTCATTCCTCTTAGAAAAAATATCTAGGAGTATAATCCTGGGTCACATAGAAAATACATGTTTATAAGAAACTGCCAAAATGTTTATAAAGTGGGTGTACTTTGGATAAACTCTATGGGGACATCAGCAATGTATGAGAGTTCAGTTGCTTCACACCCTAATCAGTACTTGATACTGTCAGTTTTAATTTTAGCCATTCTACTAGCTGTGTAGTAGTATCTTATTGTGGCTTTAATTAGCAATTTTTTGATGATTAATGATACTGAGTATCTTTTCATGTGCCCATATATCCTCTTTTTTGAGGAATCTGTTCCTTTGTCTATTTTAAAAATTAGGTTTTTTATTAAATGGTAAAAATGTTATATTTTCTAGACATAAGTCCCTTGACAGACATATGTATTGTGAATATTTTATTTTTCTTGCCTGCAGTAAACCCTATTTAACATACAGTATCCATTTTATATATTGCTGGGTTTTTAATGCTAATACATTAAGGATTTTAACATAGACATCCATAGGGAACACTGGTCTGTAGTTTTCTTTACTTACAATGTCTTCATCAAATTTTAGTATCAGGATAGTGCTGGACTCATAAAATGACATAAAAATATTCCCCTATTTTTTGAAAGAATTTGTGCAGCATTGATATTATTTATTCCTAATACATTTGATAGAGTTCACCAATGAAGCCATCTGGGCTGGAGCTTTCTTCGTGTGAAGGTTTTCAATTATGATTTCAATTTTTTAATAGATATAGGCTATTGTGATTTTCTATTTTTGTTTTGTTAATTTGTCTCTCAAGGAATTTGTCCATTTCAACTAGGATACCAAATTTATTTGTATAACATAGTCTAATATATATTCTAATATAATGCTTTTAAGATATGTCAGATCTGTAGTAATGTCCCCTCTTTAACATTTTTCTCGATTCATCTAGCTAAAGGTTTATCAATTTTATTGACCTTTGCAAAGAACCAAGTTTTCATTTCATTAATTTTCCCTATTGTTTGTCTGTTTTCTACTCATTGATTACCATAAATAATGTTATTATTTCCTTTCTTCTGCTCATTTTAGGTTTAATTTGCTCTTCTTTCCATACTTTCTTAAGATGGAAGCTTACATAATTGACTGTAAACCTTTATTGTTTTCTAATACAAGTATCTGAAGTTTAAAATGTCCCTCCAAACACTGGTTTAGTAACATTCAATGAATTGTAATATAGATTTCTCAATTTCATTCGCTTAAAAATATTTCTAAATTTCCCCTGTGACTTCTTCTTTAACTCATGGGTTAATCATAAAAGGGCTGTTTAATTTCCATGTATTCAGGAATTTTCCAAGGATTGTTCTGAGATTGATTTCTAATTGAATTCTGTTAAGGATATAACATACTCTGCATGAATTCAATCCTTTTAAATTTATTGAAACTTGTAAATTTAGTGGATGTTCTACATGGACTTGTGAAGAAGGCATAGTCTGCTAATTTCAGATGGAATGTTCTGTAAAATCATTTAGTTCAAGTTGACTGATAATATGGCTCTAGTCTTCTATGTCATTACTGATTTCTTTTTGCCTAGTTGTTCTATCAATTACTGAGAGAGGAGTATTGGAATAGCTAACTATAATTGTAGATTTGTCAATTTCTCTCTATAGTTCTGTCGCTTTTACTTCATGTATTTAGAAGCTTTGGTACTATATGCATAGACTTTTAGGATAGTTATGTCTTCTTAATGAATGGAACTCTTTATCATTGAGGTATTTCTTTTTATCCCTAGTATCATTTTTTTCTGGTCTACATTTTTTCATCCTGACAAATTTCTGCCTTTTAATTGGAGTGTTTATAACATTGATATAATTGGGTTTAAAGCTGCCATCTCTGTTTTCTATATTTTCCCACCAGTTTTTGTTTTCCATTTTGTGCCTTCTGTTGGCTTGAGGTTTTAAAATCTATTTTATCTTCAATATTCTCTTAGTAATTACATGTTTTTTACAATGGTTCCTCTAGGCTATACAATACACATATGTGACTTATCACAGTCTATCTTCAAATACAACAGTACTCCTCCATTTCCCCTTCCCTGCCTTTGTGCTACTGTTGTCATACATTTTACTCCTACATGTAATAAATCCTATAATATGTTATTATTTTTGCTTTCAATGATTTTCTTTAAAAGAAATTAAACAATGAGGGAAAAGTCCAGTGCTCTTAATTCCTTTGTGTAGATAAGATACCATTTTTCTTCTATCTAAAAAATTTCTCTTAATATTTAAGGTAGCGCAGTTGTGCTGAATTATCTTGGATTTCTCTTATGTTAAACTGTATTTGTTTTGTCTTCATTCTTGAAAGATGATTTCACTAGACATAGAATTCTAGGATGACTTATTTTTCCCTTCAATATTTTAAAAATATCATTCCACTATCTTCTGGATTGCATAGTTTCTGATGTAAGTCTGCAGTAACTCTTATCTTTGTTTCTCAACACATATGTGTACTTTCTTCCTCTGGCTTCTGTTAAATTTTTTATAACTTGCTTTCAGAAATGTGATTTTTTTTTTTTTTTTTTTGAGACAGAGACTCACTCTGTTGCCCTGGCTGGAGTGCAGTGTGGCATGATCATGGCTCACTGCAGCCTCAACCTCATGGGCTCAAGTATCCTCCCACTGCAGCCACTGAAGTAGCTGGGACTACAGGCATGCACAACTACACCTAGCTAAGTTGTTTTTATTGCTTTTTGTTTGTTTGTTTTGAGACAGAGTCTCGCTCTGTCACCCAGGCTGGAATGCAGTGGCACGATCTCAGCTCACTGCAACCTCTGCCTCCTGGGTTCAAGTGATTCTCCTGCGTCAGCCCTCCTGAGTAGCTGGGATGACAGGTGTCTGCCACCACGCCCAGCTAATTTTTGTATTTTTAGTAGAGATGGAGTTTCACCATGTTGGTCAGGCTGGTCTCAAACTCCTGACCTCAGGTGATCTTCCTGCCTTGGCTTCCCAGTGTTGGGATTACAGGCATGAGCCACTGTGCCCACCCTTGTTTTGTTTTTTTGTAGAAACAAGGTCTCACTATGTTTCCCAGGGTAGTCTGAAACTCCTGGCTCAAGTGATCCTCCCATCTCAGCCTCCCAAAATGCTGGGATTATAGGCACTCAGCCAGAAATGTGATTATGATGTGTTTGGGATGGTTTTCTTCATGCTTTTCCCGCTTGGGCTTCATGTAGCTTCTTGGACCTTTAGGTTTATCATTTTCATAAAATTTAAGGAAAATTTTCAGTTATTATTGCTTCAAATATTTTTTTCTCCCTTTTCTCCTCCTTTTCTGGGACTCCAGTTACATAAATGTTTTACTACTCAATATTGCCCTATAGTGTGGCATTCATGGAAGTGTACAGCTTGGATCTCCCTTCAAGAAAAAATTTATAGGCTGAGTGTAGTGGCTCACATCTATAACATTGCTTTGGGAAGCCAAGGCAGGAGGATCACTTGAGGCCAGGAGTCTGAGACCAGCCTGGGCAACATAGACCCTGTCTCTACAAAAACTTAAAAAATAATAATAACCAGGCAGGGTGCCATGCACCTGAAGTCCTAGCTACTCAGGAGGCAGGATTGCTTGAGCCCAGGAATTTGAGGTTACAATGATTGCACTGCACTCCAGCCTGAGAGATAGAGTAAGACCTATCTCTAAAAAACAAAAGAAAGGAAGGAGGAAAGAAAGGAAGGAAGGAAGGAAGGAAGGAAGGAAGGAAGGAAGGAAGGAAGGAAGGAAGGAAGGGAGGGAGGGAGGCAGGGAGGGAATACTTGTAATTCAGCTGCAAGGAGTGCAATTAGGTTGACAGCCACTAGCTATTAGGGCTTTCAGCATCTGTCTCAGGATTCAAGACAAATATATGGTCTTCCTGAGCACCCTTCAGTCTACATTTTTGCCCAACATGGAACTCTTCTAAAAGACAGACTTTGACCTGAAATACCCATTGGGTTGGCTGACTGTATATGAGATGCATGACAATCTGAGACTCTCTATAACCAATGTGGCTTCCACTCACCAACCCCTTTCTTTCTCCAGTTATCAGACCTGCCTTATGGTTTGCTGGCTTTTCTTAAACTCAATCCTCCTTCCTCTCCTTTAAATTTTCCCAAGCATTACTGCCCAATAAACTTCTTGCATTCCAAACTCCACGTCAGCATCTTATCCAGAAGACCCAACTGACAGAGTTAGTACCTAAAGTAGTCCAAGAAAGCAGGAAGTAAAGATGAGGTTTTGGGACCAGATTACTCATCACCCAGCTGGCAATCAGGACCCATCCTGTGGGTATGTAAGGCATGAATTGCCCCAAGTACAAAGTGGTGGCCCAGATACTAATGTCTTGCAGTGACTTATTTTTATATGTCCCCAGGCTTGATTTACTAGTCTTTATTGCATCTATATTCATAAGGAAATTTTCTTTAGATGTCTTTGGCCTCATAGAATGAGCTGGGAAGTGTACATTTCTTAATCAGCTCTGGGTGCTATAACAAAAATATCATAGACTGAGTGGCTCAGACAACAGGCATTTATTTCCCACAGTTATGGAAGCTGGGAAGTTTGAGACCAGGCGGCCAGGATAGATGGGTTCTAGTGAGGCCCCAATTCCTGCCTTACAAATGGGGACTTCCTGTTGTATCCTCATGGCAGAGAAAAAAAATTATGCTGTCCCTTACTCTTAAGGGCAATAATTCCATTGTGAGGGCTCTATCTTCACGACCTCATCTAAACTTAAGTATCTCCCTAAGGCCCCACATCCTAATTGGAGGTTAAAGCACCAACATATGCATTTGGGGGAGTGGGGGACTCAAACATTCAATATATAACACCTATTCCATGTTTTGTAAGCTTGTAAAGAATTGCTATCTATCTATCTATCTATCTATCTGTAATTTTTTTGGTAGACTTTACTAATGTATTCTGAAGCCATCTAAACCTGGGTTTTTCTTACAATTTTTGTGGTATCATTTCAATACCTTACTCGTCATAGGTTTCTTCTGATTTTATATTTCCTCTTAAGCCATTTTTTAAAATAGTTTTTGTATCTTTCTAGGAATTTGTCAATTTCATCTAGGTCATATAACTACTGGGCATTCAGTTGTTCATAGTATTCCCTTACATTCATTTTCATTTTGTAAGAGCAGTAGTATTGTCCACTCTTTCATTCTGTTTTTAGTAATTTGAGTCTTATTTTCTTGGCCAGTCTAGCTAAAGCTTGTCAATTTTGTTGACCTTTGATAAGAACCAAATTTTGGTTTCCTTTATGTTCTCTATTGTCTTTCTATTCTCAATGCAATTTCCTTCCATCTCATTTTTATGATTTTCTTCCTTTGACTTGCTTTGGGTTTACTTTGCTCTTTTTTTTCTTGTTCCTTAAAGTATAAAGTTATGCTATTAATTTGAAATCTTTCTTCTTGTTTATTGTGGTAAGTATACATAAAAGTTACCATTTTAGTCATTTTTAAGTGTACAGTTCTGTTGCAGTAAGTTTTTTTATTTTTTAAATATACTCACAGATATAAATTTCCCTCTAAGCACTGCTTTAGTCACATCTCACAAGATTTGGTGGGTTATGTTTTTTCTTTTATTAACCTCAAGAAAGTTTGTTACTTGATTCATTGATTATTTATGAGTATTGTTCAATTGCCATATATTTATGAATTTTCAAAATTTCCTTTGTTTTTAAGTTCTAATTTAATTCTATTGTGGTTGGAGAACACACTTTGTATCATTCCCATCCTCTCAAATTCACTGAGACTTGTTTTATATGGTATATCCTGGAGAATGTTCCATGT
Source organism: Homo sapiens (assembly GCF_000001405.40). Classification (NCBI taxonomy): domain Eukaryota; kingdom Metazoa; phylum Chordata; class Mammalia; order Primates; family Hominidae; genus Homo; species Homo sapiens. Next base: position 96,173,832 of record NC_000010.11, on the reverse strand, counting down.
TCTTTGGAAAAGCATATCTATTCTCCTGTTTTGGAGTGGATTTCATAGATGTAGTAGATCTAGTTTGTAGTGCTGTTCAAGTTTTCTATTTCCTTGCCAATCTTTTGTTGTTATTTTATTCATTTATGCAAAGTGGAGTATCAAAGTGTCCAACTATCATTCTTTACTTGTCTACTTCTCCCTTCAATTCTGTCAGTTTTTGCTTCATGGATTTTGTGGTTCTGTTATTAGGTGCATATATGTTTAAAATTGTTATAGCTTCCTGATGAGTTGACACTTTTACTGTTATAAAATTTCCCTCTTTATAGTTAATAATGTTTTTTGAAAATAAATTCTTGTTGTTTCATCCCCTCAGTCTATGGTATTTTGTTATGGCAGCCCAAAATGACTGAGACAACATGTTTTTCCATTTTTAAAATTTCAACCTACTAATATCTTTGAGTCTAAAGTGTAGCTCCTGTAGACAGAATGATTTGTTCAGATTCATGGGACAAAAACTAGAACTGTGATCTCCACAGAGGGTGCTGGTGAAATCAGCTCTCTTGGTCAGGGGTTGTAAAAAGCCCTGGTTTGTACCTGTTGCCAATTTCCATAATATAAACAGTTGTCTCTTAGCCTCCATGGGGGACTGGTTCTAGAAGCTCTTGTGGAAACTAAAATTATGGATGTTCAAATCCCTTATGTAAAATGGCATAGTATTCACACATAACCTACAAATATCCTCCTGTATATTTTAATCTCCAGATTACTTATAATACCTAATACAATGCAAATGCTATCTAAATAGTTGTTATACTGTATTGTTTAGGGAATAAGAAAAAAAGTCTGTACATGCTCAGACACAATCATCATAAGCCTAACTACATTTTTGATCCATGATTGATTGAATCTGCAGATGTAGAACGCACAGATATGGAGAGTTTACTGCACATGAATCTTATTTATCCAGTCTGAAAATTTCTGCCTTTTGATTGGACTGTTTAATCCATTCACATTTAATGTTATATTAATATAGTTGGATTTATGTCTACCAGTGTGCTTTTGTTTTTTATAGGTTTCATTCCTTTTTTGTTAATTTGTTTCTCCTTTACTGTTTTCTTTGGCTATTTTAAAATAAATTTTAATCCCTTTAATGATGTTTTATTTTTGAGGAATTTTCTTAGTGGTTGCTCTAGGGCTTACAATATACATCTTTATCAGAATCTATTTCAGATAAATACAAACTTAATTCCAGTGAAATATCAAAACTTTACTACTATATGGCTCTGTTCCCTCCCCCACCTTATTGTTACACACAATAGGTTTACATGTTACAAACCCAAGAATAAACTGTTATACTTATTAATAATTTTGTGTCTTTTAAAGGTAATTTAAAAAGAACAAGTATATATTTATAGAGTTTTTCATATGAGCCTTCTTATTTACTATTATGGTTCTTTTCACTTCTTCCCGTGGATTTGAGATACTCTCTGGTGTCATTTCCTTACTGCAAAATAGCTTTATTCCCATCTACTTTCCTTGTGTTGTTATAACATTTCTGCTATTGGCCCCAAAATACAATTATATGCATAATGTTTTATTTGATTGCCTTTTAAGAGAAAGGAAAATAAAGATGCAATTATATTCTCTTTTATACTTACTTACTTTCATGTAATGTCTTTCTTTTTTCCTGTGAATTCAAATTATTCTCGACATCATTTGCTTTCAGTCTTAAGAACTTTTAGTATTTACTGAAAGGTAGGTTTGCAACAAATGAATTCTCATTTTGCTTATTTGAAATATCCATTTTGCCTTCAATTTTGAAAGACAGTTTTGTTTCTATTTCAAAACTTTGAATATGTTATCCACTTCCCTTTAGCCTTCTTGGTTTTGGGGAGAAGTCAGCTATTAATCTTATTGGGGGTTCCATGCATCATTTTTCTTATGATAATTTCAAGATTTTTTTTTTGTCTTTCAACATTCTGACAATAACATGTCTACTTTTGAATCTCTTTGCATTTATCCTACTTGGAGTATGTTGAGCTTCTGAAAATATGTTTTTCACCAAACTTGGGAAGTTTCTAGTCATTATTTCTTTGACTACTTAAAAAATTTTTCATTACACATATGTTGCCCTTAATGGTGTCCCACATTATACATGTGTCTATGTGTGCTTACTATCATTTGCATACCATATAATTCACACATATAAAATGTACACTTCAATGGTTTCTTAGTGAATTCCCAGAATTACACAACAATCACAATTTTAGAACATTTTTATCACTCCTTGTCCTTTAGCAGTCCCCTCTGTATTTCCTTTAAACACCTTTAGCTTTAAGCAACCACTACTAATCTACTTTCATTCTTTGTAAATGTGCCTATTCTTGACATTTCATATGAATGGACTCATGGTTTTGTTACTGGCTTCTTTCACTTAACCTAATGCTTCCAACATTCATCCAAGTTGTAGCATAAATTACTATCTCATTTATTTTTATGATTGAATAATATTCAATTGTATAGATATACACATTTATTTATGCATTCATCAGTTGATGGACTTTGGGTTGTTTCCACTTTTAAGGCCACTATGAATAATACTGCTATTAACATCCTTGTATAAATTTTTGTGTGAACACCTGTTTTAAATTATTTGGGGTATATACTTAGGAGAAGCAGCTCTGGGCCACAGGGTAACATTACATGTAACCTATTGAGGAAGTCCCATACTGTTTTCCAAGATGGCTGTACCATTTTGCATTCCCACCAACAGTGTATGAGGGTTCCAAACTCTTCCTGGCCTCATCATCTGGGTTTTTTTTTTTTTAGTGGTATCTCACATGGTTTTGGTTTTCATTTCCCTAATGACTAATGATGTTGCGCATCTTTTCATGTGCTTTTTGGCCATTTGTATATCTTCTTTAGAGAAATGCTATTCAGATCTTTTGCCCACTTTAAATTGGGTTACGTCTCCTAAGTTGTAAGGGTTCATTATTCTAAATTAAAATGCATAATCAGATGTATGATATACAACATTTCTTCCCAATCTGTGGGTTGTCTTTTCACTTTCTTGATGATATCCATTGAAGCAATATTTTTCAAATTTCGATGAAGTTAAATTTATCTATAATGTGGTGTCAGTGAAAATAGCAAAGACTTTGAAATTCTGCCCTAACATAAAAGCAATTAAAAGTCTGGCAAACAAACTGTCACAATCAACTTTTTTGGAACTTTTTAAACTAATCAAAAGCTTTTAGCATCCCAGGAAGTGCTTACCCAAGAAAAATGGCTGAATCTCAGAACAACAGCTTTGTGGTATTTTAAGTTACTCTAGTCTCATTCTCCACTCCTCACCTCAGCAACAGCACTGTAAATAACAGCCCTCATTCCCAGTACTAGAGGAAGAACAGTCTTCAATCACAAAATACCTTAACTATTTATACTGACCTGTCTGGTGGCTCCCTGGAAGTCCAGCTCAGAAGGCCTGTCTTTATTTTGCCTAACTTGGAGTTGGTCCAGAGCTAAAGTTGCTAACTAGGGGTAATGTTTAAAATATTAGCAGCCAAATGCTTTATTTGCTGCTGCCTGGGGTGACAGATAACAACTGGGGCAGGCAACAGACTAACCAAAAAGCTTGGAAGAAAAGCCTGGGAAATGAGATGTCCATAGGGACTTTGTAAAGCTTTAACATACTCCTGAGAATCTAGAAGGTCACACTCATGCCCAGGGCTGTACGTGTGCTTAGAAAAGATGTGAGAAGGCACTAAACTCTCACAATGGCCAACCTGGAGGCTGAAGGTGAAGGCAGAGTTGTAAGCCACCTGGCTGAATGTTGATGTGTCACAAAAACACACAAGTCCCTTAGCAAACACTGGAAGATTTATTCATTCCAGGTGTTTATCTCTGTCTACTTATTAGCTGACCATTAAACTCACAGAACAAAGACTTTCATGGCCACAAATGGCAAAGAATACAAGCATTACAAAATCAGTTCAGAAAAGTCACTAGACAACAAGTACAAAACACGGTAAGAATAACAAACCTGAGAGGTTGGAGGGGAGAATCTGATTTTCAGTTGTCACATTACAAAATTCATACTTTTAAATTCTTCAACAACAAAAAAAATGAGACATGCAGAGCAAAGTATGACCCATACATAGAGAAAAAAGCATTCAGTAGAAATTATCCCTAAGGCACTGTACATTTTGAACAAAGACTTCAACTCAGCTATCTTAAATATGTTCAAAGAACTAAAAGAAACCATGTTTAAAGAACTAAAGAGAATTACAGCTTAACCAAATAGAGAACATCAATAAAGGGATAGAAATTATTAAAAGAACCAAATTGAAATTCTACAGTTGAAAAGCACAGTAACTGAAATAAAAATTCAATAAAGGGGCTCAACAGCAGATGTAAGCTAGCAAAACAAAGAATCTGTGAACTCTAAGATTGATCAGTTGACATACAGTCTGAGAAACAGAAAGAAAACCAAAAAACGAACAGAGCCTGAAAGACGTGTATGATACCATGAAGAATATCAGCATATGGCCAAACACAGTGGCTCACACCTGTAATCACAGTGTTTTGGGAGGCCAAGGAAGGAGGATTCCTTGAGGCCAAGAGTTCAAGACCAGACTGGGCAACACAGTAAGATTCTAACTCTACAAAAATTTTTTTAAAAGTTAGCTGGGCTATTTGGGAGGTTGTGGTGGAAGGAATGCTTGAGTCTAGGAGTTCAATGCTGCAGTGAGCTATGACTGCACCACTGCACTCCAGCCTGGGCAACAGAGCAAGAACCAGCCTCTCTAAAATAAATAGATAAGTTAGTAATAATACCAGCATACCCATAGGATGAGTCTCAGAAAGAGAGAAAAAAAGAGAATTCATCAGGGAGAATATTTGAATAACTGAAAACCTCTCAAATTTAATGAAATAAAAATGAGATTTAACAAAAATTAATCTACCATTCTACAAAGCTCCAGAATCTCCAAGTAACATAAACTCAAAAATATGCATACTGGCACATCATAGTCAAACTGTTGAAAGACAAGGACAAAAAGAGAATCTTGAAAGCAGCAAGACAGAAAGAAGTGAGTCATCACATCCAAAGGTCCTCAGGAGAATTAACAGCTGATTTCTCATCAGAAATCACGGAGGCCAGATGGCAATGGGATGACATATTAGAAGTGTTGAATGGAAAATTAAAAAGAAAACAAAACTGTCAACCAAAAATTCTATATCCAGCAAAGCTATTCTTTTAAACAGAAAAATTAAGATATTCATAGATAGACAAAAGCTGAGTTTGTTGCTAGCAGAATTGCTCTACAAGAAAAAAAAAGCTAAAGGGAGTATAAAGCTAAAATGAAAGAACTCTAGACAGTAACTCGAACTCACATGAATGAAAAAAAAAAAACACTGGAAAGGTAAATATATTCACCAGCACAAATAAACATAAGACAATGTATTTTTTTTTTAATTTGGAACACAAATGCTTTATTTAAGGGTGCATCACAATTCCCGTGTGGTGAGCAAAAAATAAAATAAAGGAGCAGATCGTAGCACACCATTCCCACTGGCCAAGTGGTTGAACCCTGCATCCAAGACCCAGTGAGCAGCCAAGTGAGGTGCAACCTCTGGGCCTCTCACTCATGACTCCAACAGAATTAGCACATTGCCCTTGTGCATGGGGCCTTTTACATTGCAGATTTTGGAGCAGCAAGACAATGTATATCTGTTCGTAACTCTTGTTCTTCCCTCCTGATTTTTAAAACTGCGTAATTATAAAACTATGTTGATGGACATATAATTATTATAAAGATGTAGTTTGTGACAATAACAGCATGGGCAGAATGAAGGCATATAGAGCAAATTTTTCATTACTGAAATTAAGTTGAGATTAATCTGAAACAGATAAAACAGACTTGTTTTACAACCTCCTGTAATAAAAACGCTGTCTTTTAAAACAAATTATCTATTGCACTTTTTTGTTTTTGGTGTCACAGCTATGAAAGCTTTGCCTAGAGAATTATCACAAATACTTACATTTTTTGTAAGTTTTACAGTTTTTGCTTGTATTTAGGTCTATGATCCATTTTGAGTTAATTTTTGTGTACATAGTGTGAAGAACACTTTTTCTTCAAACTTTTTGTTTCAGATTGCATATCCTCTATCAATCTGCAGGTTTGCTGATTCTTTCTTCTGCCATCTCAAATCTAGTATTGAGCCTTTCTAGTAACTTTTAAAATTGTAGTTATTGTACTTTTCAACTCCAGAATTTTCATTTAGTTCTTTAAAAAAAATTTCTATCTCTATGTTCTCTACTTGGTGAGACATTAGAATACTTTCCTTAATTCTTCACATCTGGCTTCCTTTAGTTCTTTGGGTTTACTTATTTATTTTGAGGTGGAGTCTCGCTGCCTCCCAGGCTGGACAGCAATGGCGCAATCTCGGCTCACTGCAACCTCTGCCTCCTGAGTTCAAGCGATTCTCCTGCCTCAGCCTCCTGAGTAGCTGGGACTACAGGCGCCCACCACGCTTGGCCAATTTATTTTTAGTAGAGACGGGGTTTCACCATTTTGGCCAGGCTGGTCTCAAACTCCTGGCCTCAAGTGATCCACCCACCTCAGCCTCCCAAACTGCTGGCATTACAGGCATGAACCACTGCACTCAGCCTTTTGAACATACATTTGTAACAGCTGCTTAGCATTTATCCTAAATTTGGTATCCCTCAAAACTTTATATTTCCTACATTTCTCTGTCATATAGGACACATACTTTTCTGTTTCTTTGCATATCTCAATTTTTGTGTTGAAACTGGACATTTTAGGTAACACAGATCTCTGCATACTGATCATCTTCCTTTAGTGACTTGGCTTGACTAATTAATGTATGGCTTGAAGACTGCTTTCACTACTTAAGGAGTTTACAAGTTTGCCCTTCATTTGGCCAGGAACTTGTAGTTTAGAAGTTCTCTCTGGTCAGTCCTCTGAGATGGCAGCCTTCAGCATGCACAGTCTTCCTGATCACAAGGGATGTCTGTAGTTTTATCTAGGTTGTCTCTTTCCCTGATCCTTTCTTTCTTTTTGAGACAGAGTCTCGCTCTGTCGCCTAGGCTGGAGTGCAGCGGTGCGATCTCGGCTCACTGCAAGTTCCGCCTCCCGGGTTCACACCATCCTCTTGCCTCAGACTCTCGAGTAGTGGGACTACAGGTGCACGCTGCCATGCCTGGCTATTTTTTTGTATTTTTAGGAGGGACGCAGTTTCACCGTGTTAGCCAGGATGGTCTCGATCTCCTGACCTTGTGATCCGCCCGTCTCGGCCTCCCAGAGTGCTGGGATTACAGACTGAGCCACCGTGCCTGGCCTCCCTGATCCTTTCTTTAAGCTTCTGGTTATCTATTGGAATGACCTGGCAACTGTTGAACCTCCACTGTTACTGATTGCTCTACTGTTTTCTACAATACTCTGAAGTCTGTTACAAATAAAGTCAGGCCCTGTGACAGTTAATTTTCAGTGTCAACTTGAATGCATTAAGGAATACCTAGACAACTGGTAAAACATTATTTCTGAATGTGTCTGTGAGGGTGTTTTCAGAGACTGGTATGTGAGCCATTACACTGAATGGGGAAGATTTGCCCACAATGTGATTGACGCACAATCCAAACAGCTAGGAGCCTGGACAGAAGGAAAAGAGAAAAAGCTAATTCTCTCTCCACTAACTTCCTCCCCCCACGCCTAACGCCATACCCCAGGAGCTGAGACAGCTTTATTTTCATGCCCTTGGACATCAGAACTCCAGGGTTTCAGGCCTTTGGATTCGAGGACTTACACCCGTGGCCCCTTGGTTCTCAGGCCTTCTATCTCAGTCTGAGAGTTACACCACCAGTTTTCCTGGTTCTGAGGCTTCTGGACTTCGACTGAGTCATGCTACCACCATCACTACGTCTCTAGCTTGCAGACAGCCTAGTGTGGGACTTCCTAGCCTCCATAATTACATAACCTAATTCCCTCAAGACATGCCCTCATATTGGTTCTGTATCTCTGAAAAACCCTAATTCAGGCCTCTTGTAATAATGTGTTGTCAGTTTTTGAAGCTTACTCCAACCCTCCACTGAACAGAACCTCTGTACCTTTATGCTATGGAACAGCTGGAGGATAGAAAGAATGGTAAATCAGCTCTTCAGTGAATGCCCAAACCACAATCCTCCCTGTAAAGCAGCTCTGTTAGAGGAAGAGGGTAATGGGGGTAGGGGTGGGGGACAAAGTTCTAAAAATGTAATCTGCTAAGCAGGTATATTTAGTCTTCCACTCAGAAATACTATGTATCTCCCAGTTATATCTTACAGGTTTGGTTTGGTGTCTGTTTTTTTTTTTTTTTTTTTGGTTGTTGTTGTTTTTTGGCAGGCTTGTATTATTTTGTGCCTCTTATTATAGACGGGTCTTACTGGCTGGGCATGGTGGCTCATGCCTATAATCCCAGACTTTGGGAGGCCAAGGCAGGTGAATCACTTGAGGTCAGGAGTTTAAGACCAGCCTAGCCAACATGGTGAAACCCCATCGCTACTAAAAATATGAAAATTAGCTGGGTATCGTGGTGGGCACCTGTAATCCCACTACAGGAGCGGTACTTGAACCCGGGAGGCAGAGGCTGCAGTGAGCCAAGACTGTGCCACTGCACTCCAGCCTGGGGAACAGAGTGAGACTCCATCTCGAAAAATAAATAAATGGGTCTTCTTTTATTGTTCCCCAGTTGATTACTGTTAATTGTTCAGGAAAGTAACTAATTTTCAGTGTACTCCTTTAAACTTCCAAGATATTAAAAGCAAGTCATCTACAAGAGTATTTTGGTCTCTCTCCCAAATTTAACTTTCATTTTGCTTTCCTATTCTTTGACATTAGCAATAGCTTATGATGTAATTGATGATCGCAGGCAACATTTCACTCCTTAATTGAAAGATGTATTTCATGAGTTGCCACATAAACATAACCCTTACTTTTGGTTTAAGCACTTTGAAGTATATGGAAAAATTCTTATTTTAACACATTAGAAATGTCTTTACTAGGAAAAAGTATTTAAATTAAGCACATTCTTGGCATCTCCTAAATTCATGACTTCTAAAATTGATGTACATTATATTTTTTCCACACTATTTACTTGAAAGTTTCCACTCTTGTAACAATTATTCTCGTTTTAAAAAGATTCCTAAATTTGGAGGCATTAACAGAAGCTTTGTTAAACTAGTCAAAAAGCACCTCAAAGATGACTTCATGAAATACTTCCTCCAAGATACTAATTACTTCTCAATTCTCCAGTTATTAAGAGAGGCATACATAAATTAATAAACATCAAACTCAACCATTTCAACTCTCCATTACAGGAAAAAGTTTCCACTAATGCCATACTCTGCTAACTAGCAACAAATACCACCCTGAAAAATCCCCCCAGTAAGTTTTGCTAGATGAGATCCCCAATGGGTCAAGGTAGTATGCTGAGAGCAAGGATCCTAACAAGTTGCTAAGGCAAAGAACAGAGCCAACGCCCCAAATGGCTCTGTTAAGAAAGTTAAGGAAGGAAGTAGATGTCAATGGTGAAAAGGAATCTTATTTTTAAAAAATCAAGATAAGCTGTATGGAATTAGTATATAATATTCTGTTTTTAATTCACCTCCATTTTCTCCCACCCCAAGAACTTCTATTACTTTTTCTTAACAGCTATTTCAAATCACTGAAAGAATATCTAAGTCCTTTTCCCATCTAACCTGGACATAAATTCTCACAGCATTTCTGCTCTATCTCATTTTTAATCCCTTCATAAGTTGCACTACTCTTAGCACACAAATGACCTATTTTACCCACTAACCATTTTCATTACATTTACAGTCTCTTCACTGTTATACAAATACATCTATACTAGAAACTTTATATACATATTTTAGTTCGTACTTTGTAGCTCTTTTACACAGGTGAGGTACATCACGAAACTTATCAAGCTTGTTTTTTTAAATAAAAATCCCATTCTGAAAGCAGACTCTAGGGAATTCAAGCAACAGTCAGTAAACTATGTCTGGTGGGCCAAATTCAGCCCACTTCCTGTTTTTATAAATTGTTTTATTAAAACATAGCCACACTAATTCATTTACATATTGTCTATGGTTTTTTTCTGCATTATGAGAATTGAGTAGTTAGGACAGAAACTAGAAGGCCTACGAAGCTTATTTATCTGACCCTTTATTGAAAAAATTTGCTAACCCCCCAATGAAAATATTTTCCATTAAAAAAACTATTACATTTCAATTTGTGTTACTGAATACTTAGCAAGATAAATTCTTTGAAAACTGAATTATGTTTTTTAAGTACTTGCCAAATAGTAAGAAACCCATTTCAGTGGAGATGGACAAACTAGAAAAAATAAAACAAATTCCTCACACAGAAATTCAACTGCAAAACTAAAACTAACTCTTCAATTGTAATAAGAACCTCGAACTACTGAAAATCATATTTTGGAAAGCCCTCTTTGGAAAGCCACACACAAAAAATAAAGGATACAGGCTTTTGTTTTGGATTTTCTGCAATGGCAATAATGAAACTCTAAGCAGGTCTGCCTCCCTCAGAATAACTTAAGTTAACAAAATCAGAAAAAGTTCCAACTAGAATATCTGGAGCACAAAGCTTACTTTAAATGGCTGTTAAAACTTAAAGGCAAGAAGTACATATCTCGACATTATTTTCCTGATATGGCTATTCTGAAATGTAATGTTATAGTGCTGCGAATATTAGCAGGAAAGTTCCTTCTCTCTCCTTGCTATTTACAGCAGGTGATGTCTCATAACAGATCTATATGTAACAAACAGAGCATTTTAATTTTATTGCTGTTAGGGTACTGAAGACTATAAGCCTCTCTATGGCTCACCTTGCCAGCATAACCATAGTAAAATTATGGTATATGTTACCTTTCTTAAACAATATATCATCTATGATTTTGGGAAGAAAAAAAATCCCACACTTTTATCTATCTTGTAGAGTTAACTAGCATTGAAAAAACACATACACTTTAAAATCTGTATTTCCTAGAGAACAAAATTTCCATCAGATTTTAGCACAGTAAAAAAATTATTGTGTAAACACAAACAAGATAAATTTAATTGAAAATGTTCATTACAGAAATTAACAATGCTTACCATTCTTTAAACACCATGTACATTATTAATATATACTGTATATTTCCAATTAACTCCATTCTTAGGCTCAATTTAAGAAACACAATTGTAACATTTTATACAAAAAATACTTCACTAAGAAAGTAGACAAACTGCACAAAACAGTACAAGTATAATGTGCATAGCAAGATAGCTTGAAGCATTCTATGTATGGCTTTCTTTAAAAATAAAACTATTAGGGGAATGGGCCCATTTGGGACCTACTGTTACAGTTGACATATGTAAACTGTTTCACATCTTTTTTAGGCACTTGCTAACAATAGTGTTCAATCCCTGAAGAACGAATTTACCTCAAAAACAAAATCTACATCTGAAATAAAAACCAAGAAAATAACATGGGTAAAGTCTTATATATTCCTTTTAAATTAAACAACCAGTTTTATTAGTGCATGCACTGAACTAAACTGAAAGAAAATAAACTTATGCCAAAAATTTCTGTGCAAAATTTACATAAAAGGTACAAAAATATGTACAGACTTAATTTGTTATATACAGAAAAGAAGCCCTGAAGTTTTCATCCATTAATGAAAATGTCATTAACACTTGTAACAATGTAACAAAAAATCATATAGCACGTAATTTGTTAACACAAGAACTCCATTATCCAAAGAACCAGCAAAATTTGATCCAAACTTACAAGGTGAAAAATCTAAATCTATGATTCTGTTGTCATCATGAAAACATCCATTTTAAAACTCTGTTGGGCATGTCCCTTAGGAATCTATCCTAAGGTTTTATGCACTGCCTCTGGGTCCACTATTGATGCTTCCTTTTGCAAATGCCAACAATCTGTATATATGTTTTGGGTTGTCAGTCACACTGAGAAGCAGCTAACAGAAATGCTTTGTCCTAATTTGGACATGTTCAAATAATAAAGTGAATACAGACAAAAATATGATCTTGCTTCAAAATACTGTTTTGGTAAACAATTTTAATTTTCAAGAAAAGCCACTCCCTTGGAAGTGCTCCTATGTTCCACTCTTTTTAAAGGGATGGGAACCAAGAAGAAAAAAATGGCCATTTGTTTATGGAGGACAAACATGAGATAAGCATAGTTCTGTGCAAAGGGATCATCAGAGAATATAATCAAATTTAGAAATATGTTCAAGTTCTTTAACCAAACTTTCAATGAGACAAAGAGTTTAAATTCTTCTCTTGAAGCTGCCCATCTACTGCAACATTTGACACAGTCACTTAGAAAAAGAAAATCACCTTGGGAGAGTGTTCCCAATCTCTAACAAGTGACAGAGTTCAACTGGAAAAAAAATTTACTTGCCAAAAACTCTTCAAGCATTGTATGAGGTGTAACTGTAGTGAGTTAAATGTACTTTCAAGGAGCCTAATATCCTTCAAAATAACTATATTTAGCAGATATAGAGTGACTTCTTTACCCAGGTTCTCTCAAAGTATCTTCACAAATGTGAGAAACTCCTTCAGTTCTACGATGAAAGAGCTCTCCATCTCCAGAGGAGCTACACTTAGATGCATAAGGCTGGTGGAAGAAGAGAGGGAATGGGGGTGTCAGCCATTACCCTCTACTAAGAGTCACTAAAGAACTAAAGTGGGAAAATTGTTTTATCAAAATTTTCTTTAGCCCTAACTTCCCGAGAACACGTTTAAAAAATTAAATCAAGGTACTTCTGTGCTGTGATTAGTTTCTTTCAAAACTTTTGAGTGCAGGGATAGCATTTTCAAATATCATACATACAACTTTTACTCTTCCACAGAAATACAATCAACTTTTAAAATGTTCGATTTCAGGTACTATACTGAAGTAGAAAATGTCTGCATTATGGTAACTGAACCCGTTGTTTTCTTCTAAGGTAATTTTACTTTTCTTTTCCTTGGTAATTATGGTAAACTATTCTAACATGTTCCAATCCCGAGTAGCTTCCATTAAATGTCTCTGCCCATGACCAGCCCAAGTATCCTGATTGTCAAATACTCTACCACAAAACCAACAGTTAAATTTAGCCTTCAAAATATTTTCAGAGGTAGTCTTCACAATCTGGTAATTGTTTTTGCTTGTCTTTTTGAGTGTTAATTTTAGCACAAATCTTTCTTTCACAGAACTAACAGGTTTAAATGTTTTGTGCCTCTTGGAAAAATCATCATAAGTTGTTTTAGGAGGGTTATAACAAACTGGTTTCAGTAAAGCATTTATAGTTCTTTTTGACAATGAAACCTTAAGTACATGTCCATTAAATTTAGCAATAGTTTTCATTACACTTACTACTTCTGGTGCATCTGCGTCAGGATGATTCAAAACTACAACTGGTTGGTTTCTCCTAGGACATTTCACAAGCTGTTTAGAACTAAAAGGGAAAAGCCGCAAAGTTCTGATGGAATCTTTTGAAAGCCTAGGTCTGCTAAATCCAAATGTTTCACGGACATCTTCAGGTTTTGCCTTTTCTTTACACTTTCTATGCAATGTTGCTTTTCTTCTTGGAGGTTCTTGGTAACTATCCCTACACTTTCGTTTACAGTTTCTGTTTCTAGATACAAAGGCAGTTTCAGAGTCTTTACTTCCATGAGTTTTTGTTTTTGAAAAAATTTTTTTGGAAGTCTTTTTTCTATTGAAGTTCCTCTCAATTCTACAATTTGTTTTACACCTTAATACCCTGGACTCTGAACAGTCACTGACACATATTGGTTCCTCAGAAGATTCTGGGCATGTTGCAGTAGAAGTTATCACAATTTCATTTGCTGGCATTAAGTCATCTAGTAAGAAGGGTAAGGCATCTCTAGATTCTGGCTCTTTCTGCTCTCCTCCTATAATCTGATTAGATGGTACGTTGTCTTTTTGCAATGAGGATGCAGAGTTGCTTACTGACAGATTATTAGCAGCAGTCACATTTAAAACAGGGTTAAAAATTTTCAGCAATATTCTTTGTGGTGTTCCTTCAGGTTTCTTTGGCTGTATATTTTGATAAGTACTATTTTGGACTAATTTGGGCTTAAGCAGCTCAGTTTTATTTGGCATCACACACTTTAAAAAAACAGCTTGTTTGCCATCAGGCAAGAAGGTATAAAGAGGTGGTTTTGGAAAAATCTCATTCTGCTGTTTTACTGAATCGGAGATATTCAACTTAGTGCTCTGTTGCTCAGATAGCATGTTAGGAATAAGAACAGCTTTCACAGAACTCGTTGGTTTCAAAATGTAAGGGCCTTTTAATGGCAAAGTATTTTCTGAGCTACTTTTCATGCTCAAACAACTGCCAATGCTGGAACAAAGTCCAGGTGTAAGACAATTATTGTTTGGTTCTACCTTCAAAATAGGTGTTTTGCAAGGCTCCTTAGTCACAGTTCCACGAGCTGGGGCACCCTCGGTTTTGACAGCGGAAACACCTTCAAGTTTCCCATTATTAAGTGTTAAAACCATCCCAGGTTTCTTGTTTACAAAAAGAGAAGCAGGGATACCTTGTGAATTAACCAATGGAAGTGCATTTCCAGGAATAACTGGTAGCCCAGGCTTGTTAGTAATGTTCAATGGTATTAAGAATCCTTTTGAAGTCTGAACAATTATAGTTTTTTTTTGTTCTGAATTTAAAAGTGGACTCTGCATATAAAAAGAACCTAAATTTTGTGTGGTGGCTCGTAGTTTGTCTTTTACAAGCTGCTGTGTTATTATCGCATCTGACTGAGTCTTAAGTAATGTGCCAAAACCTGAAATTCTAGGCATCTTCTCTGAATCTCTCACATCTTGTGGTATTGATGACACTTGTTTTTCTTTTCCAAATTTCAAATTCAAATCATTTGTAGGCACATTAATACCCACACTGCCAGGTGGAACTGGGAAGATGCCTTGCACTTTGAAATCTTTCGAAGATTCAACAATTTTGCCTTCTCTCTCGTGTTTTTGAAATGACTGGTCACAATGAAGTGGCAAGCCTTTATTTGGAGTGTTACTAGAGTCTTGTTTTACATCAGGTTTTATTTTCAATACATCCTGAAGCAATTGGTTTACTTCAGGTGGCAGAAATTCTGATGCCTGTTGGCTCTGGAGAGAGAAAACAGATGTGATTCTAGGCATCATAGGTGAATCGACATTAGAAAAGTCTTCCCATTTAGATTTTTCAGTCGCACACTCTAAATTTTGATTTTCATTACTGTACAGGTTTTGTCCATCAATGTTTTGTCCTTTTTCTAAAACATACTGTTCTTCAATTTCAGATTTTGCTTTTAAAGTTCCATCTTTATCATTTAAAAGGCTAATAGATGCTAATAGGCTATCTGGTTTTGAGCTCTCCTGCCTCACTAGTGATAAAAATGATTCACTAATTGGTTGTTGGACAACTGTTTTGCTGGATGAAGATTCTCTTTGAGGGTTTTCATACACTGCTGTTCCTGAAAACCTACGACGTTTATTAGAATTATTCACTTTTGAGTAATTATGAAAAGGTAATGATCCTTGGTTGGAGGATTCAACAGGTAACTCACAGTTGCCATAATTAATGCAATAATTATGCATATCTCCACTGTTGTATGCATTTGGTTTGGCAACACAGTTGACTTTATCTGGACTTTTAATGGTGGTACCTAATACCTCGGGGTGACTCTGAGTGAGATGATTTCCCCAGAAGTCAACATTATCTCTTGTTTCAAATTTTGTGGTCAAATTCACTGATGCTGTAACCAATTCTGATGTTGCTGACAAAGAAGATACACTTTTCTCATAATCCATTGTTTGAAGCATATTATTCCTTTGAGATATCAAAGTCATTTCTTTTTCTGAACTTGCTTTCCCTGAAAGTATAGAAGATGAACATGAAAATGGAGTAGCTGCTTTCATATAAACTGTGTCATTTAACTCAGTTGTTACTCCTGTTAAAAATCCATTAGTGTCCAAAGTCTGGGGCTGCAAATTAGCAGTACCGTCCTTTGCAGCACCTGACTGTGAGCCTGGTGAACATACATTTTGTTTGATAGGCACCAATTTTAATACAATATGCTGTTTTCCATCCATCATCTTGAAGCCCATAAACGTAGCATTATAGTTAGGGGAAACTGCTAGTTTATTATTTTTCATCATTACATTTTTCAGTGTAGGTCCTAGTACAGCAGTCTTCATGAAACCTGAACTAGCGTTTGGTCCCTCTTCAGCTCTATTACCTTGCCCAGTGGACAGAGGAGTTGGCTTCTCTGACTCTGATTCAGGGGCTTTATCATTATTCTCACAGTGTAGTCTTTCATCCTTTTCTTCACTTAAATGCTCTTGAACAACATGGCTCTGGTCTTCAGATTTAGTCTGTGTTTTGTTCATTTTCTTAAGCACTTGAGTGTTCTTTTCTATACTTCTGTCACTTCCACTGTTAATTTTCTTACGTTTCCAGAACGTCTTCCTTGATGCACCTATTTTATATCTTTTCAGTATTAGCTTAAGTCCTGCAGAAGTCTTTGCCATTCTTTTTTCATATTTGTCTTTTTCCAGTTTTTCTTTTGCATATAAATGTTCTTTGTGCAAAGTTATAACATGTCTTACAAGGTGTTCTCTCCTGGTGGCACCATAGCTACAATATTGACAAGTGAAGGGAAAAGTACCAGAATGAATATGAAGGTGCTTCTGAAGCTCTCCTTTGGTAAAACATACATGATGACATTTACCACACTTATAATGAATTTCATTATGTCTATGAATGTGCTGAACAAATGTGCCAACATCCTGGGTGGAGAACTTACACTTTTCACATTGAAAATTACCATTAACACAATGTGTGGATGTGAAATGCTTTGTCAAGTTCAGTAAAGTATATACACTCTCATTGTTACAAATGTCACATTTTACTAAAGTGCTTCTATGGGTTCGTCTGTGTTGTTTAAATACCTGAAAGTCATTTGCTGAAAAGTTGCACATTTCACAAGGATATGAAGGTAATTCGCCATGGTGCCACATTTGAAAGTGTTTCTGCAAATCATTTGGGCTATATCGAGTGTTGTCTCGGCATTTTAAACAGCTGAAATTGAGTATTTTTGCAGACATTTTTACACCCTCTTCTTCAGCTCTCTCAGACTTATGAAGCAATGTACACTCCTCTACACAGCTTACAGTCTTTATACTGATAGATTTTCTTGCAGTCTGCTGTTTACTCTGAAATAATTTTCTGTATTTGTCAACTTCATGTTTCAATAGGACTTCATTTGGAATATTTATTTTTGGCAAATCAATTTTCACATTTTTTAGTGCATAATGAATACTTCCTGAAATTTTTGGTTTAGGTGCCGACCTATCAACTATCTCATTTTTCACATCATAATCTTTTTTTAAAGTAGTTTGTTTTTCATCACAAAATAACTGTTTCTGTTCAGATGGCATGATTTAACCAAAAAAGTCCCAATTTCTTTTTTTCTGAAAACTCTTGAAGTTATCTGTAATTTAAACAGGAAACGATACTGTGTAGAGACATCTTCAATATACAGGATTTTTCCCACAATAACTCACCTAAAATTAAACAAAGAATTGAAATTCTCATCACAAAAATAATAGTAAATTCGTATCTGTAAGTTCATTTTGGCACAAAGTAGGAATGTTAATCAAAAACATAAATTAAATATACAAAAGACTTTTTAAGTATTTTAAGAACAGCTTACCAAGAAGTAATAGTTTGAAGTAAAAATAACACTAATCTGGAAGTCAGGAAATGCAAGCTCTAGTTCCAGCTCTGCTGTGTGACCTTGGGAAAACTTCAACTTCTCTGGACCTCAGTTTCCTCATCTAAAGAAAACCACAGTTGGGTAAGTACGCTCAAGCGCTAAGATTTTTATATTAAGGTGATAATACAGTTTTTAAACAAGATTTTAAAAATCTTAGAATCCTAAGAAGTTCCAATTACACACATGTGGTTTATCCATATACTATTAACTTTTTCATTTGCTTAGTTGATCTAATAGCTATTCCCTGTGAGAATCCCAACAGACTTCTCTCCAGATTTTCTATTTCCTTAGTTCCTCAGGGATAATCTACAATTAAAACAAAAGCTTCATTCATCTAACGGAAACAACCAAAGACGGTATCTGCTTATCATTACTAACAAGTTAGAAACCAAACAAAAAGAACAAAAAGGAAGAAATTAAAAAGAACAGCAGCACCATTTCCCTAGTGTAGTCCTAAAGTCCATCTACTCATTACCTTTCTGGTTCCCTACCATTTTGGCTATATGAATTTATATCCTCAGAACTCAAGCCAGATGACAGCAAGGAAAAGCCCTTGGCAGATTAGAACATACCCATCACTACCTACCTGCATTAATTCAAGCACTTACTGGTCATGTTACTTTAGACAAGTCTCAACCTCTGTGTCTCAGTTCCTTCATCTGTAAAATGGGGGGAAAAATTAGTACTTCCCCTATGTCTTTCACAAGGTTGTTGTGAAGATAAAATGAGAAAATATATGTAAAAATATCCTTTAAAGTGCCATATAAATCACAGCTACCACTATTACTCTATGTGATTACCACGTATGGGACATAACAATATATTGTTGAGACAGGAATCTGAATACTGAAGGTTCAGTCATTAATATATCAAACTGTATTATTAGAAAAATTACATGTTTTTAATTTTGTGCTTTATATATATATATATGTATGAATAGACAAAATCAGATAAGCTAAACAAAACATAGTATAAATCACATTAAGCTCCTCATCCATAATGTCTATCCAAAGGTCTCAGCTTTAAACTTCAATTAATCTAAATACCTACAAACTTTACTGTTTTAGAAATCCTTTACTGAGGGAATCATTAAAAGTTGAATTACATATTAAGAGATCTATAATAAATTAATCAGAAGGGTACCAATTATTGAATTGTTTTACATGCCATGACTAATACAGTAAAATGTGAATCCAGAATGGGATGTTTGTCATAAAACTTTAGTATTACAAAGAAAAGGTAACACAAGATGAAGGCCTCATGAAGGGTTTTTAGGGCCCTAAAAGAAGAAAAGCTGAAAAAGTAACTGGAACTGTCAGGAAACCAGGAGAAAAGGCTGAGAAGAATTATCTGATGGCTATTCTTAAACTAAGATGGGGCTTACAGATGATTTCAGAATGACTAGCCAAGCAGAGCACTTGTCTTTCTAGGAGAATGAACTAGACACTAATTGAAGGCTCTACAATCCAACAGTCAGGTTTTAACTCACTGCTTTGTTAAGAGAAAAGAAAAGAAAAAAAAGAAAAGAAGGCAGGAAGGAAGGAAAAAAAAGAAAAGAAGGAGGGAGGGAGGGAGGAGAAAGAAACGAAAGAAGGAAGGAAAGGAAGAAAGGAAGAAAGAAACAGAGAAAGAGAAAGAAAGAAAAGATTGATGACAGGGTCTCACTCTGTCGCTCAGGCTGCAGTGCAGTGGCACCATCACGGCTCACTGCAGGCTTGACCTCCCCAGGCTCAGGTGATCCTCCCACCTCAGCCTCCTGAGAGCAGCAGGGACTACAGGCATGCGCCACCATACCCAACTAATGTTCTGTATTTTTTGTAGAGATGAGGTTTCGCCATGTTGCCCAGGCTGGGTGTAGAAAGAATTATATGAGTTGATTAAAAAGAAAATAGTATTACTAAATCATGTGTTCAGTTCTCCTTCAGGGACTAGGGCAAGAGTGGGGAAATGGAATATATGAAGAGGTAGGAAATCAAACTGTCTAATCTCGTAAGATACTCTAATATGTGACTCAGGAGTCAAAATGGTTGTGAAAACATAACAGACAGCTTTTCCTTCTCTAATAATGCCTCACTTAGACCTTGAGAATAGGATTATTAAAATGTAATACATACTTTTTCTGTTTGTGGGTATCAGAAGATTTTAGGTGCCTAGGAGATGGAAACTCAGTATTTCCACTGCTTATGTCCTATTTCACATTTGACACCTCTTCTGTGCTACTCGAGTTTTCATGTGTTTTCACTAGTTTCAACTTCAAATACAAGGGGTTCAAAAGCTTCATTGGGAACATTTTTGTAAGTCAAAAAAATGGCATAACAGTAAGGATAAAAGAGACCATCTTATTAAGAAATCCACTTAGCCCTTACTTAAGCTTGGTAACTTAAATAAAGCTGAATGTCAATCTTTTTTGTATTTAATGTATGGCATATACAATATGACATTAGAGGAGTTTGTATTTTAGGTAGTTTGGGGTTTGTTATTTGCCCTCAAATTTTAAGTTTCTCTAGAGAGTCTACTATGTCTTCAATTATGTTCAACTTGTTGCATGGGGAAGCAATCTGTGATGGTTAATTTTAGGTATCAACTTGACTGGATTAAGGAATACCTAGAAAACCAGTAAAACATTACTTCTGGGTTTGTCTGTGAGGGTGTTTCCAGAGACCAGGATGTGAGTCAGTAGACTGAGTGGGGCAGATTTGCCTCAGTGTGGGTGGGCACCATCCAACCGGCCAGGGGCCTTGACAGAACAAAAAAGGAGAGAAAAGGATTTCCCCTGCCTCTCTCTTGGAGCAAGGATACTCTCTTCCTCCTGCCCTTGGGCATCAGAACTCCAGGCTCTCTAGCCTTAGGACTCCAGGACTTAGCCCAGCAGCCCTGCTTTAGCCAGGCCTTTAACCTCAGACTGAGAATTGGACCATTGGGTTCTCTGGTTCTGAGGCGTTTGGACTTGGACTGAATCATACTACCAGCATCCCAGGGTCTCTAGTTTGCAGACAACCTCTTACAGGATTTCTCAGCCCCCATAATCACATCAGTCAATTCCCCTAATAAATCCCCTCTCATGTATTTATGTATCTATCAATCAATCTATATATAGTCACATGCTGCATAATTATGTTTTGGCCAACAATGAACCTAATAAACAAATGTGGTCCCATGAGATTTTAATACTGTAATTTTGCTGCATCTTTTCTACATTTAGATACACAAATACTCATCACTGTGTTACATTTGCATACACTATTCAGTACAGTAATACGCTATACAGGTAGCCTAGAAGCAACAGGCTATACCATATAGTCAAAGTGTGTAACAGGTTTACCATCTAGGTTTGTGTAAGTACACTCTGATGTTCACACAATGACAAAATAACCTCATGACTCATTTCTCAGAACGTATTCCCATCGTTAAACAAGGTATGACTGTGTATGTATCTTTCTGGTTCTGCATCTCTGGAGAACTCTTGACTAATACACAAACATGATATCTGACAGCAATTTATACTAAGGTTGCCACGTATGGACAAAAAATGTTGGCATGTTGTGAACGTCTCAACATAAAAAAAGAAAAATTTTATTACAATTGTAATCCTCCAACCTATGAGCTAATGCTCTTTTTACTACAGTCCAATCTCTACCCACCAACAAAGATTGCTGGTTTTACTTATTTATTTTGAGACAGGGTCTCGCTGTCGCCCAGGCTGGAGTGCAGTGGCGTGATCTCAGCTCACTGCAGCCTCAACCTCCTGGGCTCAAGTAATCCTCCCACGTCAGCCTCCCAAGTAACAGGGACTACAGGTATACACCATCACAGTCCGCTAATTTTTGTATTTTTCTGCATAGATGAGGTTTTGCCATGTCGCCCAGGCTGGTGTTGAACTTCTGAGCTCAAGCGATCCACTCGCCTTGGCCTCCCAAAGTGTTGAGATTATAGGTGTGTGCCACAACGTCCAGCCCAGATTACTGGTTTTAAATGTGCTATTTAAACTACTGCCTTCTATATATGTATTATTACAGCATAAGACTTGACCAACATCTCAATAAGTCTTGAAATAATACAATTTTGTAAAAGTATTAAAATAATCTGTAGTTTCCTATATGAACATGGCAACTGAAAACATCTGACTTCCTCCTTCTCCTAACTGCCCATTGAAACAACCAAAAAATATAATTTAAAAACTCCTACAAAATGGCTAGGAACTAGAAAAACATTCCATATACATATGGCAAGGTGTCTGACAGCAAACAGTCTGGTGAGAGGGGAGTAAAAACAAATGCCGACCCACTGCCAAACACCATTTTTAAAAAGGGAGTTCACTAGGAACATTCATCCAATCAATATTTAATGAGGATCTGCCCATTATGCCCAAGTAAGGAAGTGAGAGACATAATTCTGCCTACAACTTCCCCTAAACATACCTTGGAAGATAAAGTGAGGCCTGAGTGAAAAACCAGCTGGAGCCCTTTGGGTGACAGAAGGCTCAGGCTGAGGTACAAGGAAGAAGGAAATGAATCCAGAACTTCAAGCTAGATCCAGAGGCCAGACAGAGTAGGGGATTGCTAGCACCAACTGTTAGGAGAGATGCAAAGAGGACATTATTTCTGAACAAAGACGAATCTTCCTACACCCATGGCTATCTTCCTCTGTTTAAGAGCCCTGTCCTTTCGCTACATAACTGAATTATCTCTACACTGTAAGAAAAATAAATGAGGTTAACTCTCAACTTCCCCTTCTCCTAACAAAAACACTGAGAAAATCTTGGTGTATTCTTTAGGAATTCATCCCACCCAACAATGCCAACAAAAAAGATAAGTAGGCAGAAACATCACTGGATGCAGCAGCTCTAAAAAGAGAAAATAATCTGAACCCTCAGAGAAACCTCTCCCCTGTTCTCCCATCCAGCAGTGACCATAATGAAAGTTACTGCAGTAAGGCTGGGAGTGCTGGCTCACACCTGTAATCCCAGCACTTTGGGAGGCCGAGGGGGGCGGATCACCTGAGGTCAGGAGTTTGAGACCAGCCTGACCAACATGGTGAAACCCCGTCTCTACTAAAAATACAAAAATTAGTCAGGCATGGTGGTGGGTGCCTGCAATCCCAGCTCTTCAGGAGGCTGAGGCTCAAGAATTGTTTGAACCTGGGATGTGGAGGTGGAGACTGCAGTGAGCCGAGATCACGCCACTGCACTCCAGGCTGAGTGACAGAGTGAGACTCTGTCTCCAAAAAAAAAAAAAAAAAAAAGGAAAGAAAGAAAGTTGCTGCAATAAAAAAAAAAAGAAAACTTAAAAAAAAATCAAGTAATAACTAGCAACCTCAGTAAGATCTAGCATATTGAAAAAAAGAGCATACTGACTGTCATAAAAGAGAGAACAAAGTAGATGCGGGAGGAATAATGATTTTGAAAATGAGAAAAAATTGTACCTAAGTTTTTTTTTTTTCCAAAAAGATCTGAATTTTTAAAATCAAACGCTCTCCAAATACCAGGCAAGATTAGAAGCTCAGTATCTACAACTTATTCTTGTAAAAATTTCTAGCTTAAAAGATAAAAATGAAATGCTATCCAAAAAGGTGGGTAATAGTTACCTAAAAAAAGGGATTTTTCATCAGAACACCACCTTTAATCAGACATCAATTTTTTTTTTTTTTTTTCCGAAATGGAGTCTCACTCTGTCACCCAGGCTGGAGTGCAGTGGTGCAATCTCAGCTCACTGCAAGCTCCGCCTCCCAGGTTCACACCATTCTCCTGCCTCAGCCTCCCGAATAGCTGGGACTACAGGAGCCCACCACCACGCCTGGTTAATTTTTTTTTTTTTTTTGTATTTTTAGTAGAGACGGGGTTTCACTGTGTTAGCCAGGATGGTCTCGATCTCCTGACCTCGTGATCTGCCCGTCTCAGCCTCCCAAAGTGCTCAGATTACAGCCGTGAGCCACCACGCCCGGCCCAGACACCAATATTAATCAGACATTTTATTCACAACTCTAAACACGAGAAGACAATGGAGTAACATTTATATAGAGTTCTGAGGTAACCCAAGATTAATTTCACATCCAGAAAAGCTCCCATATGTGAGGGAAAAGCACAATTTTAGATATGCAAAGATTCAGAAAATATACTACATATGTACTCTTTGAGGAAAATATATACATTGAATATAAACATTGTTATTAATATAGTTAAAAAAGCAGAAAAGACTGGATGGAGAAAAAGAACACCTGTGACATCAAATATTTAGAATCCCTTACAGCAGAATTCACAATGGAAAACAGAAGAGGGAGCAATAGCAACAAAATTTTGGATACTGAAAAACAGATAAATGACCTTGCAGACAGCTGGGAAAGCTAGGAACTAACACATTTTACATTCTGAATCTTTACGAGGCCTAAGAACTGCCAGCTTGTGGGAGGAAGGAGGAAGGGGGAAGCTAAAACAGAAAGAAATTTGGAGAAAGTTGGTTGACTTATAGTTGGATGCTAAGATTCTCTTCCCCACTCTATCATGCTATTGGTTACTGTTGTTTCCCCACTACAGAAGTCTAGAGGCTTACTCTCTACAGTGGGTAAAACGAATCTTTGTTTTAGGGGAGACCAGGCACAGGGGAGAGAGTAGGCACTATGCCAAAACCAAGAGGATTAAACGACCATATACATGAGACACAAACCCTCACCTCATATCCCCTTTTTTTCTGCTTCTAAGTTGGCTCCTAGGCGACAGCAATGCTCCTTAAACTATGGTCTGCTGATGGCCCATAAGCCATCTATCACCAGTCCATGACAAGGTAAGTACCAAAACCGAAAATAAACATTTATAAACTTTTCAGAGTTAGACTTATCTGTTGAATCTAATAATAAAAACATGTACTTATGTTTTGTATGTCTTCATTTTTAAAATTTCATTATTCTGGCAATTTATTTTTATTATGCTTTAAAATTATCAGCTGTAACAGATTGAGGTAAAAGAAAAAAAAAATCAGGCCAGGCACGGTGGCTCACGCCTGTAATCCCAGCACTCTGGGAGGCCGAGGCGGGCAGATCACCAGGTCAGGAGATCAAGACCATCCTGGCTAACATGGTGAAACCCCGTCTTTACTAAAAATACAAAAAATTAGCCGGGTGTGGTGGTGGGCGCCTGTAGTCCCAGCTACTCGGGAGGCTGAGGCAGGAGAATGGTGTGAACCTGGGAGGCAGAGCTTGCAGTGAGCCGAGACCATGCCACTGCACTCCAGCCTGGGCGACAGGGCGAGACTCCGTCTCAAAAAAAATTCTGGAGCTTCACTAGTTGGAGAAGCACTGGGCCAGATTCTGGTGCCTGGCCCAGCCCAAAGAGCTCCCCACAGTGGGAGTCAAAACCTTGTGTTACAAGCCCTTCTGTGGGTTCAGACAGGGGCTTTCCATGAGCTTCTGAGACACAAGCAGACAGGCCAGAGGATTACTGGACAGTCTGAGAAAACCCTCTAATATTAGTTCAAGATCCAGACCAATTAAATCAAAAAAAGTAATTTGTTAGAAACTGAGACTATGTACTAAGACAAAACATTTTTTTTTTTGAGACAGAGTTCCACTCTTGTTGCCCAGGCTGGAGTGCAATGGCACGATCTCAGCTCACCACAACCTCCACCTCCCAGGTTCAAGCGATTCTCCTGCCTCAGCCTCCCTAGTAGCTGGGATTATAGGCATGTGCCACCACACCAGGCTAATTTTGTATTTTTAGTAGAGACATGGTTTCTCCGTGTTGGTCAGGCTGGTTATCGAACTCCCAACCTCAGGTGATCCACCCACCTCGGCCTCCCAAAGTGCTGGGATTACAGGCGTGAGCCACCGCGCCCGGCCAAGACAAAACATTTAAAACTCATTGATTTCTAGGGATATAAGAAATAAGAACAGGATGCCACAAAAAGGGAACATCAAAAGAACAAAAAGAACTCTAAGAAATAAGAAAACATAACCAAAAAGGGGCAACAGAAGGGCTATAAGGTAAAGGTGAAATAACCTCTCAGAAAAAAACAAAACACAGAGATGAAAAATAGGAGAAACAAGGTAAGAAAGAAGAGCAATCTAGGAGGTCTAACATTTGACTAACAGGAGGGCAGGAAGAGAGTACAAAGGGGAAGGAAATCATCAATAAAATAACTTTTTAAAGTACTGAGCTGTAGGAAATCAGTTTCCAGGATGATAATGTCCACCAAGTGCTCAGTGTAAGGTACGCAGGCATATCATTGCAAAGATTCCTAACAGTAGAGACAAAATCCAGTTTCTAAATAGAAACAAAAAAGGTCAGAAAACAAAGGATTAGAAATCAAATGACTTTAGATTTCTCAGCAACAGTAACAGATGGACAAAGACAAAGGGGCAATACCTTCGAATTCTGGCATAAAGCTTTCAACCGAGAATTCTACATTTTGCCAAGGGTCTAGGTATAAGGGTAAAATGAAGACATGCAAAATCTCAAAATTTACCTGCCAGACATCCTTCCCCAAGTTGTTACTATAAGATATACTCCAGCAAAATGAAAGAATAAACAGAGAGAGAGAAAGACATGACATAATATGCATTGGGAGATCAAATGGAGGAGAGAGAAGTAAATAATATCCCCAAGATGACAGTAAAGGGAAATACCAGGATAACAAACAGTTGGACCACAGATCACATGCTCCTGTCAGTCCAAAGACAAGACATCTTTGACATCAAAAGACACACTGAGGACTTCCATCACCAAAAACGTCACTGACACTGTACCGTCTTTTCAACCATTGGACAGAATCCCCAGGTAAGCCTGGCCCAGATTCTCATCTGTATTTGGCTTGTATTGACATAAACTCATGATGTTCCTGCTTTTCCCTCCATACCTTTATATCCAGATCAACTGCATGGTGAGCTTAGAAACCAAAATTACAGAGTAGCCTCTCTCAGACATCCACTATCTGGTCTATACTCTGAGCCTGCCAGATTCTCTGCTTACAGTGGGCCCTAAGGTTGCTAGGATTCACTCATGATTTACCTAGACTTCCCCAAAAGTGGCTCTGATAAACTCCAGAGAAGCTAAAACCAGACTATGATCCAGGTATGCTGTTACCTTAACTTCTCCTGGGAGCCTTCATCTACTAGTGGCACTGTTACCTTTTCACTGTATAGCCAGATTTAGGCTTGCTACCAAATTTTCAAAACTAAACAATTTGGTGTTTATAGTCACCAAAATACCAAAAGTCAGAATGGTAGTTTCATATTTGTTAGGAGCAGAGAGGAGGATATGACCAGAGAGAACACAATGAGGGTAGAGGAAAGGAGCTTCTGTTTCTTAAATAGTTGGTATGCAGATATTTGTTTTATCTTTAAACCACATACATAGTGTGCATTTTGTCCATAAACACATTTCATAATAAAAATAAAAACAAGTTACAAACTAGGCAAAAGACCCAAAGAAGAAAGTCACAGAGGAATATAAGTGAAAACATGCCCAACTTCACTAGAATTCAAAACAAATAAAAACAAGAAAACTTCTGCTAATCAGATTGCAAAAGATGTTACATATTTCTAATACCTAGTGTTGGTCAGTGAGGAAAAAAAGGCACAGTAATATACTAATGATGGAGATAAAAGCTGGCATGACCTTTATAAAGAACAGTTTGCAATACATACATAAAGAGTCTGGAGAAAAGGCATACAACTTCTGATTCACTTCTAGAAATGCATCCTAAAGCTAATAATCAGAAATATTATTTGTGCCATCGTTTATAAAATCACAAAATTAAAAATAAGTGTCCACCAATAAATGATGATTAAATCAATTACAGTATTGTAAGGGAATATTATGCAATTTAAAAACCAATACTGTAAACTCACATTTATTAACACAATGATATCTAACATACCTTAAGTGAAAAAAAAATAAACAGTAGACATATAGAGTTTAATTTGTTCAAATACTGATAGATGGATAGAAAATGGATAAACAAATGCGTCAAAAGTTAAAAGTCAAGAAGAATACACATACAAAAATGTTCCTAGTGATCACTGGTTACTCTTAGGTCAGTGTTTCATAAAATGCTGTCTTAGATCACCATGGCCTCCACACTGGCATACTACCTTATGATAGCACAAGCAAACACCTTACATTTGGACTTTGTGAGAACAGCAATCTTTTTGTCTCTAGACTGCAATTTTATGAAACTTTATGAAAAAGTGGCATGATGCAAATTCTCAAACAAAGCAAGTGATTTCTGTGGTAAACCAACTGAGTTTTTCTTAAACTCAAAATAATATACTTGCTGCCAGTATAAAACAGATCAATGTTGACACTAAAGGTGAAGAAGAGATCAAAACAATACAGGTATCATTCAATTCTGTGTTCTCCATATCAACACACACGTACCCAGTCATACCACTGCAGAGAACACTTTAACACAAGCGTCAAAGTTAATGGTAAACACTCAAGAGAATGATGAATTATGTTACTGAATTTCATTCATGCTATATAAATTCATGCTATAAGAGAAGTGTTTTTAGTCGGTTTATTTAACAATTAATTTGTGAGGAATGAGGCTACCTAAAAAGTAATGGGAATTAATACAACCAGAATAGCAGTTATGTATGCAGTGTTGTTACATAAATAAAAAGATGCGACCAGGAGCGGTGGCTCACGCCTTTAATCCCAACACTTTGGGAGGCCAAGGTGGGAGGATCACCTGAGGTCAGGAGTTCAAGACCAGCCTGACCAACATGGTGAAACCCCATCTCTACTAAAAATACAAAAATCAGCCGGGTGTGGTAGCGCATGTCTGTAATCCCAGCTACTCGGGAGGCTGAGGCAGGAAAATCGCTTGAACCCAGGAGGTGGAGGTTGCAGTAAGCTGAGATTACGCCACTGCACTCCAGCCTGGGCGACAGAGCGAGACTCCATCTTAACAACAACAACAACAACAACAAAACATACATGTATTTTATACGAAAACAAATGGTATTCAACTAATATGTTTCCTGATCTTGATACTGTTAAAAGAAATACTAAAAATTGTAACACCAACCTAATTTTGCCTATATATTTATTTCTATATGCTATACAAAGAAATGAATAGCAACTATAATGTTGAACAATTTTTGCAATATGCAGCATATTATTCTTTAATAAAGTGCTGAATTTCATCTGACAAAGTGTTATTTAGAATTTTTTTTTTTTGCTATCTGTAACAGTTTTGGTAGTGGTATTACAGAGGATTTGTAAAATGGATTGGAGTACTTACCACTATTTCATCTGCTCTGAAATAGTTCACTAACCAAACTACTGACAACAGTTTAATTTTTGTTCTTTCCTTAAAATTATACAGACTGCACCAAGAACACCATATGGACCTAGTAACACTTCAGATTTTTAGACCTTACAACCTTTGCAAGTTCTTCTATGATTTCTGGGCTCTTTAGATTTTCTACTGCTTGAGTCACTTTGGTAATTTATATTTTCCTTGAAAATACTCAATTTTGTTTACTCACAAAAACCTCACTTTTAAGAATATCCTCCCCCTCAACCAAAAAAGCATAACATATAAATATGGATATATCAGTATCACTTAAATGCCCAGAATAGGAAAATTATAAAATTACGGAACATCCACATGAAATTATACAGAAAGAAGTATGTGTACTGAATTGACTTGGAA
The DNA here is from genome assembly GCF_000001405.40 of Homo sapiens. Taxonomy (NCBI): domain Eukaryota; kingdom Metazoa; phylum Chordata; class Mammalia; order Primates; family Hominidae; genus Homo; species Homo sapiens. The sequence goes on along the minus strand of NC_000010.11, from coordinate 96,144,336 downwards.
CAGTATTTATTCCAAGCAATTTTTTTTTTAATTTTTAAAAAGGAAGTTGTAGGCTGGGCATGGTGACTCATGCCTATAATCCTAGCACTTTGGGAAGCCAAGGTGGGTGGATGGCTTGAGCTGAGGAGTTCAAGACCAGCCTAGAAAACATGGCGAAACCCCATTTCTACAAAAAATACAAAAATTAGCTGAGCATGGTGGCATGCACCTGTAGTCCCAGCTACTCGGGAGGCTGAGATGGAAGCATTGCTTGAGCTTGGGAGGTCAAGGCTGCAGTGAGCCGTGATCATGCTACTGCACTCCAGCCTAGGTGACACAGCGAGACCTGTCTAAAAAAACAACAACAAAGGAAGCTGCAGACTGAGGCACAGAATACATTTTTAAATTAGGAGAAATGATCCTTGTTTTCATGCTAAGAGGAAAGATCTTATAAGCATATGTGCGTATAAGCACAGATCTGCAGAAGGATATCCTCCAAACTACTGACAATAGTTTAATTTTTTTAAAAGAAATGACAGCATGGTATAGCAAAAAACAAACCAGAAAACCAAATCAATAGGAGAAAAATCATCAGCTCTCCTAAGAACCCTGACTGAAACCAAGAGGGCAATGTCACCACCACAAGCCTTTATGAGGTCTGCCTATATATTCCTACTCTTGAATTCCAGGAAATCCTGTATCCTTAAAATAATCCCCCCTTTCAACATAAGCTAGCTCACATTGGTTTCTACTGCTTGTAATCAAAGGCTTCTTACATACTACAGAAAGTTGACAAATCAACGATGACTGTGTTTACTTCACAGAAAGGTAGGTTTTGTGAGGACCCTTTAAAGAGTAGCAGGACTTAAAACATGTAAGAAAGAAGCAAAGGCAATCTAAACCACAAGAACAGAATAAAGAAACAATGGAAGAAAAGTATTTTTCTCCTAAGGTACCACAGGGTCTAGATGAAAAAGAGAATGCATGATGGGGAGGTTAAGTGAGAACAGACTATAGAGGACAGATCTGAACTGGAAATGAAAGGTAAACAGAAGCAATTGTTAATTTAAGAACAGAAAAAAGTTATAAAAGCAGTACATTAGAAATATTAGAAGGGTACTAGACAGCAAGATAAACTGGAGAAAGAGTAAAAATAGAAATGAGGAAATTAAGCAACTAGAGTGACAATCCAAATAAAAAGTGAGGAGCCAAGGAACTGGTAATGTTAACATACATAGGTCAGAAATCACGGCTGGGAGCGGTGGCTCATGCTTGTAATCCCAACACTTTGCGAGGCCAAAGCGGGCGGATCACCTGAGGTTAGGAGTTCAAGAACAGCCTGGCCAACATGGCGAAACCCCATCTGTACTAAAAATACAAAAAGTTAGCCGGGCATGGTTGCGGGTGCCTGTAATCCCAGCTACTCAGGAGGCTGAGACATGAGAATCACTTGAACCCGGGTGGCAGAGGTTGGCAGTGAGCCGGGATCACGCCACTGTACTTCAGCTTGGGCGACACAGCGAGACTCTGTCGCAATAAAAAAAAAAAAAAAGAAATCACACATTGGGTCCGGAAAGATTTTTAAAAGATAATTCCCAAAGTAAAATGCCAAAGATAAGGAAGATTTGAAGAGTTCATCAAAAGGCAACATTCCTAGACAGTTATATTTGCTTTCTAAAATAATTAAAAGTCAAAGGCATTCTACAGAGTCTAAAAAGGAAGAATCTATCTGCTACTTAACTATATTCAAGTTGCTTAAACACCAAAAAAAAACTAAAAACTCTAGTTTTAGCTTAGCTATATTCATGACTCAGCATGTAGCTCTCTAAGTTGTCTCATCACATAAAAAACTACTGCATTCCTTAAGTCATTCAATCCTTCTTCTGCAGATACAGGCAAAACAGTCATATGAATGAATATATGAGTGGTGATCAAACCAAAGCAGCATGTAACAGTAAAAGCTTACTGAAAAATATAAGGTTCTGCTAAAAGGAATCTAGAAACACACACACACACACACACACACACACACACACACACACACACACACACCCTAAGAATATTACTTTCAAAGCAGAATCTATTTTAGTGCCCTCAAAATAACTATTATCTATTCATGACTTGAAACAAACATTTTGGGCTTACTTTTTTTTGCAGCTGTTTTAAGTTTTCAAAAAGTTTACCTGAGAGACTAAAGCCTATCACATTTTAAGAGTGCAAGAAATGGTTGTATACAGTTTACATATGTAACCAAAGCCAGCTCCTTCCAAATCACTGTGGTCTAATGAACAACTTAAGCATAGAAAAAGAAATGTAGGCTGGGCATGGTGGCTCAGGCCTATAATCCCAGCACTTTGGGAGGCAGAGGCAGGAGAACTGCTTGAGTCCAGGAGTTCAAGACCAGCCTGAGTAATATAGTGAGACCTCATCTCTACAAAAGTATTTTAAAAATTAGGCAAGTGTGGTGGCATGTGCCTGTATTCTCAGGCACTCAGGAGGCTGAGGTGGGAGGATCCCTTAAACCTGGGTGGCAGAGGTTGCAGCAAGCCAAGCACCACTGCACTCCAGACCAACAGAGCTAGACCCTGTCTCAAAAAAAAAAAAAAAAATGAAGAAGAAAAAAAGAAATGTAGGGTTAAATATGCAAAAGTAATTAAATATGCAAAAGTAATTAAATACAGATCTAGAAATGTTCAAAATTCTAGTGTATCTGTGAGTCACATACCATTCTGGTATGCAATTGATATTGGTATACAATTATAAAGGAGTTTAAAATTAAAAATTAAAATACAGAAGCAGTTCTTGGTTCAGGTAAACCTTATTCTTTATTACTCCCTGAAACTATGACTTCTCACTGTGCCCAATATAAAAGATGCTTACCCACACATACACCTTTATTTACCTTTGTTCTGTTCATATAGTTTTCGGTCACCAGGCATGGCATCTCCTTCCTTCTATCTAAATTCAACACTATTCAAACTTCCTTTCAAATTCTGCTTCTTATAGGGACATGTAACCTTTTACAATACACACTAAATCTCTCCTTTCTCTGAGTATCCACTTAAAGAATAGCCAGTGCTCACCATTTATTACAAATTGCTTTATACTATTACATAATTTCATTATTTTTTACCTCCCCAGATAATTTATAAGCTTCCTAAATGCAAGTTTTACTTACTATTTCTCATTTTTCCCTCACAAAAACCAGAAGGCTGGGTACACAAGTGCCTAACCCATATATTTTTAAGCTATTCATTCTCTCATTTTCAAATCAAATATATGACTATGATTTTAGATTAAATCACTTTCTAGCAAACTTCAAAGAGCATGTAAACTTTTTTGCTGCAATAATTTGGAACTTGGTTTAAAACACAGAGTCAGAAATCACTCCCACAACCCCCCATCTTTTTTTTTGAGACAGGGTCTTACTCTGTCTCCCAGGCTGAAGTGCTGCAATGGCACAATTACGGCTCATTACAGCCTCGCCCTTCTGGGCTCAATTGATTCTCCCACCTCAATTTCCCAAGTAGCTGGGACTATAGGTATGCACCACCATGCCCAGCTAATTTTTCCAATTCTTTTTTTTTTTTTAAGAGATGGGGTTTCACCATGTTGCCCAGGTTGGTCTTGACCTCCTGGTCTCAAGCAATTTGCCTACCTCAGCCTCCCAAAGTGCTGAGACTACAGACATAAGCCACCACACCCTGGCAGAAATCACCTTTTTAATAGGTAGGAATTGGGAGAAAAATCTGAACTAATTTGTCCAAAGTGACATAAGAGCCATTGAATTCAGTATAGAAAAGGAATTATTTTCATCTTTTGCTCTTTTCTTTTTCTGTTTGTCATTTTGCTGCGACAGTGATTTAGAATAGGCAGATTTTGATTTGGAATACATGAGGGGAGGGAAGAAAATCAAAAGATGTACTGCTATTTGCTGGGAGAACATGTTATCATGTGATCCATTCTTACTCAGCTTCAGAAAATAATATAAATGGTTTAATTTTTCTCTAGGTCTACACAGCACCTGCCTCCATGATTAGAAGTTACACTCCCTGGATGTCCCCATCTTACTATATGGCACTAAAATTCATACAGTTCCACAACCCAGAAATCAAGACTCATCCTTGATTCCTCCATCCCTTACTCCCCACATTAATCCATAAGCAAGCCTGGTCAATTCCATCTCAAAACCAGATCTTGGGCCGGGCGAGGTGGCTCACACCTGTAATCCTAGCACTCTGCGAGGCTGAGGCAGGTGGATCACCTGAGGTCGGGAGTTTGAGACCAGCCTGACCAACATAGAGAAACCCCGCCACTACTAAAAACACAAAATTAGCCAGATATGGTGGTGCATGCCTGTAATCCCGGCTACTCAGGAGGCTGAGGCAGGAGAATCACTTGAACCCGGGAGGTGGAGGTTGCAGTCAGCCGAGATCACACCATTGCACTCCAGCCTGGGCAACAAAAGCAAAACTCCGTCTCGAAAAAATAAAAACAAAAACAAAACCAACAGATCTTGTATTTCCCTTCCTCTCTTCCTATCCACTGTCATCATCTTAGTCCAGGCCACCATCATTTCTAACATGAATGAAAACATCCTCCTAACTGGCATCCATGCTTCCACCTTGTCCACCACCCTCCTCTGAGTCCATCCTCCACACAGGAGCAAATGTTCTTCTTAAAATAAAACATATCACAAAGCTCCCCTGCTTAAAGCTCCTTGGTGGTTTCCCAAGTGTCCTACTCTGTTCTGGCTGCTGTAACAGAGTACCATAGACTTATTTCTCACAATTCTGAAGCCTAGGAAGTCTAAGATCAAGGCACTGGCGATTTGGTGTCTGGGGAGGGCCTACTTCCTGGTTCACAGGTGGCCATCTTCTCACTGTGTCCTCACATGACAAAATAGAGCCCTCTGGGGTCTCTTTTATAAGGGTACTAATTCCATTCATAAGGACTCTGCCCTTATGACCTAATCACCTCTTAAAAAGGCCCCACTTCCAAATGCCATCACACTGGAGAATAGGTTTCAATGTATCAATTTGAGTATGGGGAAGGGGGACATAAACATTCAGCCTATAGCAACAAGGCACTTAAAATAAAATTTAATCTCTTTACAAAGGCCTGCAAGAAACAGCGGTATCTGGTCTTGGGTCTTTTTCTTCAACTTCATCTCACACCACTCTCCCCATTGTACATATACTCCAACAAGCTGCCACAGATTCTCAGCTCCTCAAATATTCTTCCTATCCATCCTATCTCAGGCCTTTGCACCTGCTGTTCCCTACTTGAAATGTGCTTTCTTCCATTCTTCAAAAGGCTACATCCTTCTCATCTTTTAGGTCTCAGCTCAAATGCCACCACCTCAGAAGGGCCCTTCCCTATAAACCATCCCTTCCTCAAAAAAAAAAAAAAAAAAAAAATTCGCCACTTTATCCTTTTCTATTTCTTTTTTTGTAACACTTAATATCTCTGGCAATATTTTATTTATTTGCCCATTTATTTTCTATCTGTCTCTACCACCGGAATATAAGTTGCGTAAGGGTGAGAACTACATCTGTAATGTCCTTTACTACATCACCAGCATGTGGGATGCTGCCAGACTTGTAGCTAGCACCACATCTACGTTCTAAGCATTGGGAATATGGCAGTAAACCAAACAGACAAAAATCCCTCCCCTCACGGAGGTAACATTTTACTGATTATTTAGGTAATAAACAAAGTAAGTAAATTATAAAGTATATTCAAAGGCAACAATTGCTACAGAGAAAAATAAAGCAAAGACAGAAAGGCAGAATCAGAGTGTTGTAATTTTACATATTAAGTCAGGGAGCCCTCGACTTGAAAAGGTCTTATTGGAGTCAGTATCTTAAAGAGCTGAGGAAGCCAACAATCCAAGAAAACAAAAGTTAGTGACATGACCCTGAGTGTGCAATGTGCCTAACACATTTGGGGAACAGCAAGAAAATCAGTATGACCACAACAGAAAGCATTAGAGGGAAAGCTAGAAGATGAGGTCAGAGAAGTAACAAGGGGACAGAAACAGGCCCTGATAGAAACTGTAAAGGCTTTGGTTTTATTCTGAATCAGAGAGGAAGCTACTGGAGCATTGTGGGCAGAGAATTACCATGAGTCGAATTACTTCTATCACTTGGGCTGCTATGCTAAGAACAGAGTATTCAGGAGGGATTAAGAGTAAAGACAAAGACTACACAGTACAATTATCCAAGTAAGAGTTGATGGTGGTTTGGCTGAGACAATGAGGCATGGTCAGATTGAATATATTTTGAAGCTAGCACCTACAAGATATCCTGATATGCTTTCTCTGAAAGAAAGAGACATGTCAAGGATAACTCTAGAAGTTCTGACAGCATTGGAAAGAACTGAGTTGCTATTCACCGAGATATAAAAGATTGTTAAAGTAATAGGAAAGTTTATCAAAAGTTCCATTTTAGGCATGTAATATCTGAGATGTCTATTTGACATCCAAGAGGAAATGTGGACTGTGTGGCTGGATATAGAATACAGAGGGCTAGGTGGATGATGAAATTTGGGGAGTTATCGGTGTGTGTATATGTACATATGTACTTTCAAGTACTTGGAGCAGGATGAAATCACCAGGGGGAATAAACAAAAAGAGCAGTCCAAGGCCTGAGCCTCAAGATTCTATAACACATCCAACAGAAAGAGATTAAAAAGAACCAGCAAGTGAGACAGAAAAGAAATGACCAATAAGAGTTAAGGTAAATCAAGAATGTGGTATCCTCAAAGCAAAATGAAGAAAATGTTTACTGGATAAGGGATTGAACAACTCTGTCAAGTAAGAAGATGACTAACTAGACTTAATGTGAAGATCACTGGTACCATGGATTAGAACAGTTTCAGTGGAGTTTTAGAGGAGAAAGGCTGACAAGCTTGGATGTAAGGCAAAATGGGAAGAGAGGAAGTAGTGATGCAGTGCAGACAACTCTTTCAAGGAGTTTTAAGATAAAGGAGTTGTTTTGTTTTGTTTCAATTTATTTTTTGTTTTTTAAAGGTGGGAGGAATTACAGTATGACTGCACGCTTATTAAAATGATCTAGTAAAAATAAAAAAATTGATGATAAAGGATAGGAAAGAAATGCAGCAGTGAAGTCCTTCAGGTTAGAACGGACGGAATCTAGTGAACGAGCTGAAGAGGTGAACTTAGAAAGGAGCAAACATGATCCATCTATAGTAACTAGAGGGGAGGATAAATAAAGATGCTAGCAGGTGCGCAGATGTGACTGAGAGAGTTTGTGGAATGAAATGACGGCCTGCAGGCCAAATCTGGCCTGCTGCCTGTTTTTGTAAATTAAGTTTCACTGGAATACAGCCACACTCACTCATTTACATATTGCCTATGGCTTCTTTTGTGTTACAATAGTTGCACCAGAAACCATATGGCCCACAAAGCCTAAAATATTTACTATCTGGCCATTTACAGCAAAAGCTTGCCAACCTTGGTATAATGGAATAATCCAACTGCTACTCTCTGAGGGTCAGATGCGAGGCTCTGAGGAAAGAAGGTAGGCAAGGACATAGGAAACTACAGCATTTAATGAGACAATGACACAACAATAAATTCTACATCATTCCTAGTTCTGGAGCCCAAAATGAACGTTCTATGAGCAATCAATCATCACTTTAAGTCTGTTCCTTATCTTTAAAAACATTTTTTTTTAAATAGAGATGGGGTCTCACTATGTTGCCCTGGCTAGTCTTGAACTCCTGGGCTCAAGCGATCCTCCCAGCTCAGCTGCTCAATGTGCTGGGACTACAGGCATAAGCCAGCTCATTAAAAAGCCACATTAAAACGCCTTTAAATGTTTTTACATCTATTGCTACATTCGTTTCAAACTGGCTTTCTCACTAAGGAATAGGGTATGGCTTTGACTATTACTAAGAGATCTCTCAAAAAGGGAAAGGTAAGAAGAAATAAATAAATATATATAACATTTCTTCTTACCTTTCCCTTTTTGAGAAAGGTTATATATACATATTTATAAATCGGCATTCCAAGTTAATTGCTATTTTTAAAAAATCTTCAAGACAGATGAATAAAACAAAGGTTTTTGCCAAAATGAGTAATTTTACAGTATTTCATCACATTTAATTCACATTTTAGCATACAAAAATGAAATTATATGAAAAGAAATATACACATTTTTTCAAAGAAATCTCCATCTTAGTAGAAAGGGCCAAAATTTCTGCTTGGCTTTCCAAATGCCTCATACATAGATTTACCTAAAACAGTCACCTTATTTTCCACTACCTCATTTCCAAAGAACACATACTGTTACAGTGAAACCAATCTCCACTCCAACCTGGATCAGCCTATAATCATTTTTAACTCCATCCTTTTTTCAGTTATTCTCTGTGCCTATCAAAGCCACATTCATAAGCAGAAATACATTTAAAGTTGTATATTCTTCAGGAAATCTTCCTAAATGGGCCAACCTGCTCACTTCCTTCCCATCAAAATTCACTTAAAATACAACTGTGCATTCATTTATCTGTTTTTTCTGTTGTGTTTGCTGTATATTAATATGAATTCCTAACTAGAAGCACTTCCAAGACAAGGAATTCTTCTTGTTCTTACATTATTACTTAGATGCCAAGCACCACAGTCATTATTCTCAACACACGCTTATTAATCTGTGCACCAGAAATAAATAAAAATATGCTATATATCCACCATCCACTCAGTCTAGTACATATAATCTTGCCTATCCAGGCAGTTGCACATACTTGTACATAGTGGACACTCAAAAAAATGTTTGTAGGTTGAGTGAAAGTAGATTGAATGCATGCACAAATGATGAATAAATAAAGGGAACTCTTTATAAGGTATAGGAAAGTGGGGAACTACAGAAGGATGTGAATGATCAATCTGAAACTTTAGACCTTAAATTCATAAGGGCCATATATTCATCAGAACACTTTCTGCTGCAATCCAATTCAAACCAATTTACACAAAAAATTTTGGCACAAGGACTGAGAAGGACACCAGGATAGTTCACAAAATCAAAAGAAAAGTAGGTACCACTTACCATGTTCCCTGAGATTGAAACTGGCACTACCACCATCCATCTCCCATCTCCTTATGGCTTCACTTTCTCCCACTACACAGATGCGCTTTTCATACACGTGGTAAAGAATGCCACCAGCACCTTCCCAGATTAACAATTTCAGAGAAAAGGTAGTATCTTTGTCCTAGCATTCAACCATAAATTTCAAAAAAAGGATTCTGACTGGCTCTGCATGAGTAACAGCAATCACTGTTGCAATAGGGATGACCAAGCTCAGGTTATAAGACAGTAAGACTGACGGACAGCCCACCAACCACTCAGAATAGGGGAGGGGTGGTTCTCTAATGAAGAGATACTGAGTTGACAAAAACAATATATGACATGTCTTTTACCAGCCACAACCTTCAACAAACCAATATTAATCAGGAATTGACGATAAGCTTACTACATTTTGAAATTATCTGACTTTCCTCATGAAATGAGACCTATGTGAAGCCCACTTAATTTTCTGAAACTTCACATCATGTACCTTCATTCTAATATTCTGACACTTGTTTCATGCAGCCATACCAGTCACAACTTTAAATTTTTAGTCAGACTTTGCTCACAAGTTTTCAAGATAAATTAATACAAATCGTTTTGGTCAGTCATCACACAGCAGTCTCCTATTTACTTCACTACAACTACAGCTTTCATTCTTCATTACATTACTTTTTCTGAGTAGTCTGGGTCAAATAGTACAAACTGAATATTCCTTAACCAAAATGCTTGGAAGTAGGCCGGGAGCAGTGGCTCACCCCTGTAATCCCAGCACTTTGGGAGGCCAAAGCAGACAGATCACTCAAGGTCAGGAGTTCTAGACCAGCCTGGCCAACATGGCGAAGCCTCGTCTCCACTAAAAATAAAAAAAAAATTAGCCAGCCATGGTGGCATGCGCCTATAGTCCCAGCTACTCGGGAGGCTGAGGCAGAAGAATTGCTTGCACCTGGGAGGCAGAGGTTGTAGTGAGCCGAGATCGCGCCACTGCACTCCAGCCTGGGTGGCAGAGTGAGACTCCGTCTCAAAAAAACAAAACAAAACAAAACAAAAAAGCTTGGAACCAGAAGTGTTTCAGATTTCAGATTTTTGTGGATTTTGGAATATTTGCATTACTTACTGGCTGAATATCCAAAATCCAAAATGTTCCAGTGATGATTGCCTTTGAGCTTCATGTCAGCACTCAAAAAGTTTCAGATTTTGGAGTATTTTAGATTTCAGGCTTTTAGATTTGGGATGCTCAACCTTTAGGAAAATTCTTAGCATTCAGAATTACTTTATCTCTTCAGGAATAACACAGTACCCATGTGAATCTCGTGGTAGGAAGTCAAACAAATATTATATAGGAAAAAGTTACTTAATGACATAAACGATAACGTGGTACCTCAACTCAGCTCTACTGCTCTCTACTCAATGTACATTATTTTCTGACAAAATAAAAATTCATGCCTTTGTAAAAAAATGGCCCTGAACAGAAATCCATTTGCTGGTGAAGTTCAGGGAAGAACACGGTTATTATGATAATTAAAGCAATACTGTAAGGTGGTATAGTCTATGTCAGCTATTTCAGCAGTTACATAAATAATCTTATTCCTAATTTACGGTCATACTTATGTGTATACTTACTGCATTTAGAGGAATTTTATGATACTGTGGTATCCAAGAATCTTAGCATTTCAAAGATCCCAGGACCTATCCAACACAAAGAGTAGGAGACATCTGTGTTTTGAGGGTAGAAAAAACATGTTTTTTTACATGGGTACAATATTTTCCACTACATTTCCAAAGCTTTCCTTATAATACCATAGATTTGTTGGCATATTTTTCCTCCTTTTTTGTCTACACCCAGACATTCACATGACTGTCTTCAAGAAACCAATCATAACACTATAGTGATTCCCAAGTCCCTTTCCTGATTCATAATGAAGATGCTATTAGTCATAATATAAACACATATCAGATAATTTTTCTTTAGGTACATTGCTTTGCACTTACTAGACCAAAACCACAATCTTCTGGCCATTCATATAGCTTTGAAACATCTATCTACCACCTTTATCTCCACTGTTCATTACCCAGAAGACTTTAATGCCACTTTTCTATTCAGAAGGATGATAGTTAAAGTTATATTTGGATTTCTAATAAAATGTTAAGTAATAAACTATGAAACCAAAAATTACTTTTTTTGCTTAGATTAAAATGAAAACTCATGTTTAAGTATTTTATTTTAGCCAAAAAATAAAATAAAACTATAACTTATATAACTTATGAAAACTCATGTATATGTAAAACTACAGGTTGAGTGTCTCTTATTTGAAATGCTTGGGAACAGAAGGGTTTCATTCTTTTTTTCTTTTTCTTTTTTAGGATTTTAGAGTATTTGCATTATACCAGTTGAGCATCTCAAATCCAAAAATTCAAAATCCAAAATGTTCCAAAGAGCATTTCCTTTGACCATCATGTCAGCACTCAAAAAATTTTGCATTCTGGATTTTTGGATTTGGGATACTTAACCTATATTTTACTTTATTTAGTCCAATATTAAAACATACCAACTTACTACTTAATAGACTATATACTCCAGTATTTCAATCTTTACCATACCTCTTTCTTCAGGAACAAAAGGCACACAATTTAACACTTGCACAATGTCACAATCAGGAACAGTGATCAAAAGAAGAGATGATATCTGGAAATGAAGACCAAGATTTTAAAACTTTTGACGACAAAAACTGTTCAATTACACTTCACATTCAACTTAGGTGTATAAAGAAATGTAAAAAAAAAAAAAAAAAACTAAGAAAAAACTTCTATACACTTAAGCATACATCATTGATGACCAGTGATAACATGTCACAAATTTGCAAAAGTCACAACCTAAAGCTTAGAATCAATCTAACTCAGTATCTTCATTTATTACAAGAAAAAGAAAATGAGCCTTGCCCAAAGTCACAAAACTAGAAATAATATCTGGATCCGGTTCCAATTCAGTTATCCTACCACCACAATACTAACCCTTAATACTCATTTCTGGTATCTAATATGCCATGAAAACTGCTCACCATGAGAAGCCAATACCCCATATAGAACTGAAATACTCACAGCCTACACACCTGGGACCAGATAATAAATAAAAATTTCAAGACGGTGTTAAAACCTTTTTGTTCTGCTAATAGCACTTTGCCACAAAACCTTCAGTAGCATACCTGAAGGAATGTGGGCAAGATTCAAGTCTCCTATCATTTAAAGAAAAAAAAAAAAAGTAGTATTAAGTGCTCTAAAGTATGCAATGTCACAATGCCTCAATGAGAACAATTCTAAACAACTATAAACAGAAAAGTAAACAACAAAAATACACTTAAAGGGCATTTAAAGCATATCCTGAAGTCAAATTATAGATCTAGGCTAAAGTATAGTCCCTCTGTAATATTTCAAAATATAGAAACTTCTGGGATTACAGCATACTATTACCAGAGAGACTAGAACAGAATCCGAAGTGTGACCATGGCAAAAAATTGAAGCATTTAAAAGTTCATACATTATCAATGCACACAGTGGGTGTTCATTGTGGTTACTGTCTTTTGTCCTTCCATAAAACCAGATATAAAACGTTTTATTTGGTAATTATACTTATTTTCACGCAACAAACAGGAAACATTTGGTTGTGTAACATACCTACATTTTATTCTCCCCTTTTGTTGGCAATTTTCTGTATCTAGGGATGATCTAATTTACAGTTTCTATGGCAAAAATCAACATCGTTTACTATGCTTACCTTCCCCAGGAAATCCCAACACCCTCAAAGTGTTAACAGAACGCAATGTCTCTTTATAAATTTCAGAAAAGACAATTTTGCTGAAAGATAGTGAATGCATTTCTATAAATTTGCAGTTAAACTCAAAAAATGTTAGGAAATTTCACTGAATCAATTTAAATGTTTTAAATTAAACCTGAGGATATCAACCTTAGAGTACACTCAAATCAGACCCCTTGCTGCAGAAAAAGCAATTCAACAATTACCAGTAACTAGATCTAACATGCACACTTTCAAGTTAATAGAATTCCTATCCTGACAGTTTGGTGTCTTCATGTTTTATCACTGCGACAACTGTACAAATTCCAACATTCTTATGAATTCCTTGAACATTGACTTATTTTATTTTTCTAGGGTTTTTTAGACGTTTGACAACATACTCAACAATGTTTGCACTAAAACAGCTCACATACACTACTTGCTCTCAAATTTAAACCTAAAAAGAAAACTGAGTCTTAACTGTTGTATTCTGAACTTTAAAGCTACATCTGTTTGATCGGTCCACTTAAGAGTTAAAACATTTTTCCTTATATACATTTCGCTCTATGTACTTTTCAATTACCACAGCCACCTAGGAAGAGACTGTCTACTTGACAAAGAGGACACCATGTAACGAATAGAGTCAAAATGAACCCTACATGTGAGAAAGCCAGTTACAAAGAAATCCAACTGCCACTGGGTGTGGTTAGGGTCTGCGGGGAAGAGCACCTTTGGCCAACTCTGGAGAAGAGCGAGCGCGTCAGGGAGCAGGGCATCTCTGCAAGAAATGGCCCCCAATGACCATACGCTGGGCCAGCAATAGGGACGCCGTCGAGTCGGGCCTGCGAACCTATAGCTCGAGGGGTGCGGTCTGCGGGGCGCCCTTGCTGTCTCCACCAACCACGAAACCCGCCGAGTGAGTGCTTCGAGCGCCGCGCGCCCAGCTTCGCCCCAAACACCGCGCCCGATCCGCCCCTTCCTCCGGGGTTCGGCTGCCCCGCGGGGAGCGCGGAGGCACACCGTCTCCTACTCCCACCCAGCTCCTAGAATGTAGGAGAGTGTAGAGTTCAAAAAGCCCGGAAGTAAAACAACCCCAGGTTAAGAAAGTAAGGGTAAGCTCTAGCAGTCGGCAAAAGCGCTCGGCAAAAAAACCCCGACTTCTCCAGAAAAACTTTGCGGCAAGTTAAGCGGAAGCGCTGAATGGCCGGGACTATTTAACTCGCGCTTCCTCTCACAAGAGGCGGATCCCTGGACCTGTTTGGGGGACCCTGACGGTCCACAAACTCGCCGTTTGCCTGCTGGGTGGCCCTCTAGAAGTTCTGACATCCTAAAAGGTCTGGGCAGTCCCGCTGACGGGGAATACCTGTCGTAGTACCCATTGCCTGCGAGTCCCTGATGGCGGCCATTACACTTCCATCCGGGTATTGCCGAAAAGCTGATCGCAGCGCTACCGGGAGCGCACGCTGCGGCGGAGGGATCTGCGCTTTACCTGAGACAAGCGGAAGAGAACGGAGGCCGGCAGGGTCCGCGCTCGGTCTGACGAGACTAGGCCATGGAGCTGGGTTCGCCGCTGACCTCTCCATCTAGCGCGCGGCCCCGGCGCCCACCAGTCCAGTGACCCACTACTACCTCTTTGCTCACCAGCAGCTGCTGATCTTACTGCCGGTGAAATGGCAGACAAACGTCTACTCTGTGCTCTTCAGAGTAGACACCAGGAGCAGGAACTGTATGCACTTCCCAAGCCCTTGCTGACTGGGAATGGTCTCCACCCTGAGATTTTAACCAGTTCCGGTTTAGCAAATGGCGCCTCCCCACCTCTGGCTTCTGGCACGCAGGTTTTAGCAACCATTGTAGCCCACGTCAACGAAAGAAGCTGCCGCCAGTAGTTCTAGAAGACATACTGAACTCCAAACCTGTATATATTGAATAATTGATCAAAAACTATCTTCACAATGAGGGAGGCTCACATCTCCCTCAAACGAATACTTCCTCTACCTGACAACAGGGCTGGACAGTTAATATGGTTGGCTTTACCCCAAAGGCCAGTGTGGCTCCTCTTCTGTTCTTTATAAATCCAACCTACTAATTGATACCTCACTTTCTACATAATTCTACATAAATTATCTTCCTTTTAAAATGTGGGGAGGGAATAAGTGGCGGCAAACGTTTAAGCAACAACAAAAAACCTTGGCGCAGAAGGATATACCAATAAATTGAAAGTGAAACTATGATCAGATTTTTCATTTTTTAATGTTCCGTGTTTTCTTAAGTAGCATGTATGACATTTATAATTTTTAAAAATTTTTTAAAATATGTGTATGATACATATTTTTCATTGTCTTAGGGCAGGCTTTTGAAAATGTCAGCCTGTAGCCAAATGCAAGATTTTCTCCATCCTTTAATAAAAAGCACACTGAGAAATCCTCACTTTGTCTTTAGGAAGCCTTCTTTATTATTGTGTTTACTGGGCTACACAATTCCACCTAGAAAAGGCGAATGAGCGGAAATTCACATTAGTCATATTTATGCTTGTGTAAAACACACAAGGAGAAATCTTCTGTAAATACCAAAGGGGATGCCATTATGGAATGAAGAACATGTTTACAAAGTGGATTTTATTCCGCATCGTACATCACCCATCTCTCTTCAGGTCCTCATTTCTGTGCAAGCCAGACATGCACACACATCACAGCAGAAAGAGAGAGAACGAGATTTTTCTTTTAATAACAAAAAACGATGTTAGTTTGGAAAAATGGACAGAGTTTTTTGTTCTGTGTTTTGATGTAGTTTTTGTTTTTTCGATTAAGATATTGCATCCCCCCCCACAGTATTCACATTATAACTTTATTTTTACTTCTACATATACATTCACCTACAAAACCTTGCAAACCTGCATTTATGTTATAGAAGAATTGGAGAAAGTTAAAATAAATTAAAATATTAGTCAGACTTACCTTATCTCTTCCCCTTTCTCTTCCACCATTCATATCACCTCTTCCACCATTCATATCACCTTTTTTTTCTTGCTAACCTCTATGTTCAAAACCTGAAAGGTTTCTCTTGATCTCCTTTCAGGTTTTGAACATATTGGTTAGCAAGAAAAAAAAAAGTGGAAGTGGGGTGGTGAGGGAGGAGAGGAGAGAGGAGAGTGAATCAAGAAGGAAGGGAAGATGATTAAAAGGGAGAAAAAGATACAAAGGGGAGAAGGCTAAATCATAGCTTAGGAAAGGATTCTGGAATACTTTTTTACTTGAGAAGGATAGTTATGGGGATAGGACATCTAGATTAATGCTTTAAATAGTTGATCCCTCTGAAGACCTTACTACTGCTTACTAGCTGACAGCATTTAACCTCTGAGCTTCTCAGAGCTGTGCAACATATAACTAACACGTTATATATTGTTTGATAGACTGAAGAGAGTACTCAACGCCATTGCACCAAGAGTGTAATGGAAATGATAAAAGTGATGATGGTGGTGATAGTAATGAAGTTTCCATCTTGATTGCAAACCTCTTTCTGCTTTTCAATATACAACTGATGCCAGGTGCAGTGGCTTGTGCCTATAATCCCAGCGATTCAGGAGGCTGAGGTGGAAGGATTAAAAAAAATATGCGTACGATTCATGGACTCTGTGTCATAAAGCAGCTCACTTTAAGACAGTGAAATTTTCTCCTAAAAATAATATATAAATGGAAATTCATTTCTCTCTAAGGATTCTCACCTGTAAATCATACTTAAATCAAACTTATATTTGTTCTTACAACAATGTAAACATACTTTTAAGACACAGATAAGTTGGTACATCATAAGCACTATGATAATAAAAGATTAAATGATATTAATTTGGATAGTAAGAGTCTCTAAAAATGTCTCTCTTCTTTTTGCTGATCTATGAACTCAAGCCCAGGTTCTCTACCCCCAACAATATAATCAAGTGCAATCAGAATTGGGAAAAAAAAAAAAAAAAAGAGATATGAAGAGCCTGGGTGATACAGCATAAAGTGGTTACACATCCTGGTCAAAGATACGGCTTAATTACTTGTGGCAATCTATCATACAAGTGTTAGTTGATCTTTAAGTATTATTCTTCTCAATGTTCTTTTCAATTTTGTTGTTTAATATTTATTCAGCAGACATTTTCTTGAATACCTATTATGTGCCAGAAACTGCTAGCAATAAATAAGACATGATTCCTCATGGAGGGCCATCAGTTCAATGGAATTTTCTTGAATATTTGAAAGATTTTATGATCCAACAAAGCAATTCTAAAGATGAGATTTCAGACACTGTAACACAGGATGAGAAAGATTTTTCTTTAGGTTGGCATCCCTGACAGTTCCCTCTCAATTCACACTTCTTAGATGACCAAGACATTTTTATTAAGTTTTAATGAAAGATATAGTCCCTCTTTCTTAGTTCTTTTCATGGATACTATATTCAAACAGAAAGAACATTAAAATGAACTGTATAAACTATATTGGTCTTACCTAAGTATTTTAGGGTACCTCTCCCCACCCCTAATCACATCAAATTCTTCCTAAGACTGTCTGCATCCTGAGCGTAATGTAATAGATAGCACAGTTAATTCAAGTCCTTAGAAAAAGAAAAAAGAATTAAGTGGAATACTTGTTAATTACATTTAAGAACAAACCTGGTACACATATATGTTATATATACTCCTTTATTTCTCTTGTATATGCATAGAACATTTCATTATTTAAAGTTTTAAAAGAATAAAAATGTATAGGGTTTTTCTTTTCTTTTTTGTTAGTGCAGATTAATTTGTTTTTTTTGTCTAAAGTAGTTTAAAAGATAAATTTGATTTCTGTGAGATCAATGCCATATGGACTATGTTAATACCAATAAATTATACTTGAGAACTTGTAAAAGTAGATTATTATGGCTCATTACATCTTAAGGCAAACTTTTAATAAAAGTTTGATGGTTCATGGGGTGTCCAGCAACAGATATAATGAAAAAAAAAAAAAAACTCAACCCTGATACATTATAATGAAATTGAAGAATATCAAAGACAAAGCGGAACTTCTAAAAGTTTCCAGAGATAAAAAGATCACTTATACAGAACAAGAATCAGATTGAGATCATGTAGCTATCACAGCACCAGGCATTGTATCCTCCCTCAGCAGTATATTAAGCAGGAAGAAGTGAGAAAAAGCAAAAAAAAAAAAAAAAAAGATCTTCTCACACTCTTTCAAATTTTACTGGAGAGAACAACCTTTTCTAATGAACTTCTTATATTTCATTTGCCAACATGGAATCACATACTCATCTCTAGAACAAATTGATGGTAAAGAAAAACAGCATTGTTGTAATTGACTCAAACCAATCATGATTTATACCCTGGGACTCGGCAAATTGACAACTGAGCAAAATAGTAGTTCTGACTAGCATGGAGGAAGGATGAATAACTTTTGGTTGGCATATAAAAATGTTTGACATCTGTCAATATCACAAAAAAATGGGAGAAAACCAGTCATTATGGGAAAACAAGAGTGCCTATAGTATTACCAATTCACAGGAATTACAGAGGTCAGTGGAACATACTAAACTACACAATGAGCACAATCAACTTTGTGAAACTGTATAAGACAAATGACCTGTTTTTTCAACCAAACAAAAAATTGGACAGAAAAAAGAGATGAAAGAGAAAACCTATAGATTAAAAGAGACTTAAATTGTGTATCAATCAATCATCATGTGTGGAAGTTACTTGGATTCTGATTCAAGCAAATAGACAAAAACACATTTATGACATGTATGAGACAACTGGAAATTTGAAAACAGGATATTTGATTATATTAAGTTGTTTTGTTAATTTTTAGATGTAATATATTTGCTGTTATGTCTTCAAAGTTTATCATTTAAAGATACATGCTGAAATATTTACAGATGAAATAGAAGACCACATTTCATGTATGTCCACAAGTTATAGGTCTTCACTTTAACTGATCCTGTCACCAAGATGACCGATGTTCTTTAAAGACAAGAAAGCAGAGATATGGCAAAAGGAACTGACCCTCTGGACAAAATGCAGAGATTCAACAAATTTAAATGAAAAATGCCCCTACGTAGACAGAAATTACCTCACTCCCTTTTTTTTCCCATCTCCCCAACCTCCTCAGGCAGCTGAGTAACTGAAAAATAGAAACTATCAACATCCAGCTCCTAGCTTAAAGTCTGACACAATAATTCAAACAGTTGCTAGATAAACAGGAAAGGGAGTTAAGAGGACTGGGCCTATACAATTATTGACACAGAAAGATTAATTTAAAAAATAATAATAAAAATCACTAATAAAACTCATGGGGTACAGATAAATAAAATTTCTTCCCCTCCAAAAAACAAAACCAAACCAAAAAGAATTAAGAAGAAAAGTTTTTAGGAGAGGATTCTGGGAAGATGGCAACATAGGAAGCAGCAGGAATCTATCAACAAGTGGTACTGGCAGGATATGTCTGATGTAACTATTTTGGAACTCTGACATCTGTAGAAGGCTTGCAAGGTAAATTGCAGTTTCTGTCAATTTCAGCTCTTAGCTTCGCAATAGCTACCATCCCCCACCCTGTAGCCTCCAGCCAGGCAGCTGTGCACTTCTTCCTGGAGTCCCTTGCTTGCAGTTTGCTGGGCTTGGGTGGCAATAAGGAGCAAGTACTCATCCTCCAAATACTGGGGATCTGTGTTCTGACTGCTGATTGCTACTTCTGATCCTAGGAGTGTCCGCACAGAGGTGGACAGCCATTGTTGCACCACCACCACCCAACCCCTCCTCCAAGGTGGCAGGCAAGTCCCTCCCCCTCAGGCTGAAGCAACTGCCAGGAGACTTAAAGGGCCAGCGCCTTTTTCCTCTCCATTTTCCGTTTTGCCCTTTTGGAAGCCAAACATTAAAGACTAGGACATTCAAAGGCAACTGCATATCCAGGGGAAATAAGAAAGTCACCACACATGCCCAGGAAAAGACACAGGCTCAGAAAACACCTGAGGAGACCCTAGGTTTACACCTTAGGTTGATCCTTGGCTTGGCATGAGTACAGCCTACAACAACCAAAACTCAAACAACAAAAAACAGCAAACCCTGTGGGAATGTGGAGGACTTTGACTAGCAGCTGCCACATTATTAGATTCCAGTGGCCAACTTTCAACAAAGAAATCACAAGGCATACAAAGATATAGGAAAGTATGACACAATCACAGGGAAGAAATAAACAAAACAAAAATTGCTCTGCAAGAAATGCTAAAGAGAGTTCCTGCAGTTTGACATAAAAGGACACTAGACAGTAACTCAAAGTTATATGAAAACATAAAGCTCTTAATGAAGATAAATATATGGGCAATTATTAAAGCTAGTTTTATGGTAACAATAACTTGGTTTTTTGTTGGTTTGTTTTTTAAGACCAGGGTCTCGCTCTGTGGCCCAGGCTGGAGTGCAGTGGCATGATCTCAGCTCACTGCAACCTTGACCTCAGGCTCAGGTGATCCTCCCACCTCAGTCTCCAGAGTAGCTGGGACCGCAGGCATGTGCCACCATGCCTGGCTAATTTTTTGTATTTTTTGTAGAGATGGAGTTTCGCCATGTTGCCCAGGCCGGTCCCAAATTCCTGGGCTCAAGCTACCTGCCCGCCTCAGCCTCCTAAAGTACTGGGATTACAGCCATGAGCCACCACGCCAGGCCAACAGTGACTTGCAATTCGACTTTTTTTTTTTTTTTAAAGACCGTGTCTCGCTCTGTCGCACAGGCTGGAGTACAGTGGCATGATCTCTGCTCACTGCAACCTCTGCCTCCCGGCTTCAAGCGATTCTCCTGCCTCAGCCTCCCAAGTAGCTGGGAGTACAGGTGCCCACCACCATACCTGGCTAATTTTTGTATTTTTAGTAGAGAAGGAGTTTCACCATATTGGCCAGGCTGGTCTCGAACTCTTGACCTTGTGATCCGCCCGCCTCAGCCTCCAGAGTGCTGGGATTATAGGTGTGAGTCACCGCGCCCAGCGTAACTCCACTTTTTGTTTTCTATGTGATTTAAGAGACTAATAAATTAAAAAACAATTATTGGTCTAAAAGCTAGTATTCTTATAACTTTGGTTTGTAAATCCATATTTCATTTTCTACATAATGTAAGAGACTACTGAATTTTAAAAACCAGTGACTAGTTTATCTTTTCGGATGCACAATATATAAAGATGTAATTTTATGACATCAATAATAAAAAGAGGTGGACATGGAGCTGTAAAGGAGCAGACTTTTTGTATGCTATTGGAAGTTAATCTGGTATAAATTCACATTAGAGTGTTATAACTTTAAGATGTTAAATATAATCCCCATGGTAACCACAAAAATAATTATAGAATATACACAAAAAGAAATGAGAAGGGAATTAAAACATTTCACTATAAAAAGTCAACTAAAGATAAAAGAAAACTGTAAGGCAGGAAATGAGAGACAAGAAAGTTATGAGTCATATAGAAAACAAAGCAAAATGACATAACAAGTCCCTCCTTATCAGTAATTACTTTAAATATAAATAAATTAAACTCTCTAATTAAAAGACAGAAATTGGAAGAATAGATAAAAATACATGATCCAACTGAATGCTGTCCACAAGAGACTCACTTTAGATTCAAAGACACAAATAGGTTGAATGTGAAAAGATGGAAAAATACATTTCATGCAAATAGTAAAAATAGAATTACCATATGATCTAGCAATTTCACTTCTGAGTATATACCTAAAAGAATTAACAACAGAATCCTGAGGAGATATTTGTATACTGTGTTCATAGCAGCATTATTCACTATAACTAATAGAAAACATAAAAAAGTAAAACCTAACATCCAGGTAATAGGAGCCCCTCTTTTCCATGAAGAGAAATGAGAAGAAATTATTAAACAAATACAATAAAATGCCCTAGAACTGGAGGATATCACTTTCCATACTGAATTTCACACTGAATGTCACCAAAATGACAACGCTAAGATACATCACTATAGATTTTAGAACATCAGGATATAAAGAGCCTAAAATCTTACAGAGAGAAAAGAGAGGTCACATGCAAAAGATTGTAAATAAAAATAAAATCAGATTTCTCAACAATTACACAAATAACTAGACAACAATGGAGTAATACCTTTAAATTCTAAGGCAAATTAAACAATTAAACATAAGAGTAGAATCAAGACATTTTTAGGAAGGGAAATGCTCTAAAACAGCTTTCTTGCACTTTTTCCCAAAAAGGTAATGCTTCACTAAAATTCAGGGAGTAAATCAAGAAAGAGTAAAACTCAGAAATCAGATAATAGGAAGTGTAAGTCAGGAGAAAGTGTAAGAAAATCTCAGAATAATAGAAAAAGGAAGTACCAGGAACAAAACAAAATTATCCACTGGCTCTTCAGGGAACTGTGTTAGCCTCAATTTACTCTAGAACAGAGGCCTGTCATCTGTAATATAAAATCTTGTTTCACCCTGAGGGACTGGGGTAGGCTAAGAAAGACAACTTAAAAATAATTAAATGAGGAAGAGTGAGCAGAGAGCAAGAGCAAGAGTGAGAGAGAGAAAGAAAGAATGCCCGGGCGGGGTGGCTCACGCCTGTAATCCCAGCACTTTGGGAGGCCGAGGCAGGCGGATCACAAGGTCAGGAGTTCAAGACAAGCCTAGCCAAGATGGTGAAACCTCGTCTCTACTAAAAATACAAAAAAATTAGCCGGGCGTGGTGGCGGGCGCCTGTAATCCCAGCTACTCAGGAGGCTGAGACGGAGAATTGCTTGAACCCTGGAGGCGGAGGTTGCAGTGAACCGAGATGGCGTCACTGCACTCCAACCTGGGCAACAGAGTGAGACTCTGTCACAAAAAAAAAAAAAGAAAGAAAGAAAAGAAGAAAGAAAGAGAAAGAGAGGAAGAGAGAGAGAGACAGGAAGGAAGGAAGGAAGGAAGAAAGGATAAACTTCCTACTCAAATTGACTCTGCAAATTTAACTCCAAACCCCATAAAGTAATCTAATGCTATGAAAGTAGCCAATAAATCAAACTTCAGAATGTAAGTTCACTCCAGAAGAAACTAAACTGTCTTACAAAAAGGTAAACGAAAAAATGGTGTTATTAAAAACAGCAAGCAATGAATTAATAAGCAGGCAGAAATGAAGCACAAGTAGAGTGATATTTTAACAGAATGTATTAGAATTATAATTAGAAATCTTGGAAATAAAAAAATATAGCCATTGAAATATTATAAGTTAACAGATGGAATAAAGCCTACAGTGGTTATAATAAAGAGAATCAATGTGAAAATAGCCCTGAGGAAATGCAGTAAGGAGAAACAAACACATTGAAACACATGAAAGAGCTTTTAATAGACATGGAGAATAGATTGAGTGTTTTCAACATACACCTGTTATAGGAGTGCATGCAAGTGTGTTAATGGAAGAAAAGCAGTATTGGAACAGATAAAGGCTAAACATGTTTCTGAATTGGAGAAAACACAAGATTCCTCTGGGGTGGGCGGCAGGGATGGCAGGGAGGTGGGGATAGTTAATGGGTACAAAAAAAATTGTGAGAAAGAATGAACAAGACCTAGTATTTGATAGCACAACAGGAGGACTATAGTCAATAATAACTTAACTGTACATTTTAAAATAACTAAAAGAGTATAATTGGATTGGTTGTAACACAAAGGAAAATGCTTGAGGAGATGGACACCCCAATTTCCATGATGTAATTATGAATTGCATGCCTGTATCAAAATATATACATGTACTATGTTCCCACAAAAATTAAAAATTAAAAAAAGAATAAATTGTAACAAAAAACATAAAAAGAAAAGAATCCCCATTTGAAAATGTGCTACAAGCACTGGGTAGGATAAATAAAAACATACCTGGATACACCATAGTAAAATTACCAAAATAAAAAAAGTAAAGAGAATTCTTTTTTAAGTCACCAGCAAGAAAAGACAGATTAAATACAAAAGAATTAGACTAAAAACAGAATTTTTCAATACCTCATAAATATTATAAGACAACATCATAATTTTTTTAAGTGGTGAGAGAAGATGACTGTATATAGGATATCAAAGCTAGCTGAACTATTGTTATAAGGGCAATTTTAAAGATATTTGCCATCACATTTAAAGAGTAAGTAAATTTACCTCCAAATATTCTCTGCAAAGGAATATTAAATAATGAACTTCAGCCAGAAGGTAAGTAAATCAAGAGGAAAAGTATAAAATATAGCAGAAATGTTGAGTTCTGAAACTTACAAAATATGTGAGACAATTAATGGATTCTTCAAGAAAACATTTTCTAATCTTCGAGAAAAGTTGAAGCTAAAATGCTATGCAACAATTACAAGGTTTAGAGTTGGTCTTGATGCTCAGTGGATAAAAGTCATGTGGTATTCAGAAGAAAGATAGAAATATTGGGTAATCACATGTTGGCTCACACCTGTAATCCCAGCACTTAGGGAGGCCGAGGCGGGTGGATTACTTGAGGTTAGGAGTTCAACCATCCTGGCCCATGTGGTGAAACCCCGTCTCTACTGAAAATACAAAAATTAGCCAGGCGTGGTGGCACACACCTGTAATCCCAGCTACTTGGGAAGCTGAGGCGGTAGAATCACTTGAACCCAGGAGGCAGAGGTTGCAGTGAGCCGAGATCAAGCCACTGTATTCCAGCCTGGGCAACAGAGCGAGACACTCTCAAAAAAAAAAATAAAATAATAAAATAAAAATTGAGTAATTACAGACATTGTTAGAAAAATTTATATGTAGTTATGTACATCAAATATTAAGGGTTCCTGTTAAAAGAACAGAAATGTATTCTATAGCTTCTAAGCCAAGAGAGGAATCAAAAGGCAATACATTTTGTTTCTCAATCCAATCTAAGGAAGGAAAAAATAAAGACACAGTGATAAAAGATGGTAAACAGAAAATGTAAATGTAAATATTATGATAAACATAAGTTCATCAATCATTTTAACACAGTAAGCTTACCTATTGAGACAGATAGATCCTCAGAATATATCTCAAAAACAAATTCCATCACTGTGTTGCTTACAAGAGAAAATAAAAAAACTATAAAGTTTGAAAGTAAAAGTTAGATAGATACACCAAGAAAATATTAAACTAATGGAAAACGGCGTTACCAAACCAAACCGGGCTAGTTTGCCTGTGCAACACAAAGCCAAACACGGAAGCACCAGGTTTTTGCAACGTGAAAGGGTTATTGTGACTGGACTGGCAAGTAGACGGGAGGAGGAAACACTCAAACCTGTTTCCCCAAGCTGGGGGTTGGGCCAGGTTTTTGTTTTGTTTTGTTTTGTTTTTTGTTTTGTTGTTGTTTTTCAGACGGGGTCTCGCTCTGTCGCCCAGGCTGAAGTGACACTCCCAAGTAGCTGGGATTACAGGAGCATGCCACCACGCCCCGCTAATTTTTGTATTTTTTTGTAGAGCCGGGTTTCGCCACATTGTCCAGGCTGGTCTAGAACTCCAGGGTTCCAGCGATGCACCCACCGCGGCTTCCCAAAGTGCTGAGATTACAGGCATGAGTCCCCAGCGCCCAGCCTGGGTCGGGTTTTTTTAAGTATAGGATAATGAGAGGTGATCCGATTGGATCTTGCAATGAGTTGCTGCTGGGGGTCATGATGTCAGTGGTGTCTGCTTCTTAATTTAGTCCCTGTTCCTTGGTCTGAGCATTTAGGTTCCACCAGTGGTTGCACACTTGGTTCATCTGCGCATGCTCAGGTTACATGACTTTGAACCTGGGAGGTCCATAGCAACTGAAAAGCAATTCACAACCTCGTTACATAAAAGTTGAACCCAATTGGTCTGGTTCAGTTACAATAGGTTAAAAATACTAGTATGAGTCCAAAATATCATTTAAAGACAAAAGCTTTAATAAGGATTGAAAATAGTCACTGCATAGTAATAATAAAAGGAGCTATTAATGAATAAGGTATCATAATCCTCAACTTATAATTAACAATATAAGATTGGAATTTATAAAGTAAAATCTAACAAAAGAAAAAAATTGAGACATCTACAATCATAGAGGAAGATTTTAATACACCTTTTTTAGAAACTGATAGGGCAAGCAGATTAAAAAATTTGTGAGGATATAGAAGATTTCAACAACAAAATCAGTAAGCTTAAACTAATTTATATACTCCTGCACTTAAGCTGACAATAGATAAATGGAATATTTACAAAACTTGAACACTTTTTTTCAACACCTTTCCTAGAATCAACACCATGCAAACTAGAGATTGTAAAACTAGGACAAAATAACAATATAGAAAGAGTTGTGTCTTATTTCATATAGTATTGAAATATTAGTGACGATGGGTGTTTTCTTTAAAATTTCCAAGATTAATAAAAGTTTTAAAATAGAAAAGCTAAATATTAAGCACATTTCAAACATAACTTGAAAACATATAAAACAGCATTGCAAAACACATTTTTTTTTTTTTTTTTTTTTTTTTGAGACGGAGTCTCGCTCTGTCGCCCAGGCTGGAGTGCAGTGGCGCGATCTCGGCTCACTGCAAGCTCCGCCTCCCGGGTTCACGCCATTCTCCTGCCTCAGCCTCCCAAGTAGCTGGGACTACAGGCGCCCGCCACTACGCCCGGCTAATTTTTTGTATTTTTAGTAGAGACGGGGTTTCACCGTTTTAGCCGGGATGGTCTCGATCTCCTGACCTCGTGATCCGCCCGCCTCGGCCTCCCAAAGTGCTGGGATTACAGGCGTGAGCCACCGCGCCCGGCCTGCAAAACACATTTTTAAACATGCCTATCACTCAAATAAAATTTTTAAAGCAATAACTAAAAATAACACATTAAAAATACTGAAGCACTACCCCAAAATGGATAAAAGTTTATTTAAAATGAAAGGTAAAAAATGAAGTAATATTTGATGATTTTTAAAAAATGCAATCTTCAAAACAAAGTGTGTGTCAATGGTGTGTCAACGGTAACATCCTTGAGTTGCAAATACATTTTGTGTACATTTATTCTGGCTGTTTCTTCTCTCTTTTTTTTTTTTTTTAAAAAAACCCTCGTATCCTAGGACCAGCTATTTCTTCTTGTGTCTATTTTATTGTTATATTTTCCTAGATTTTGTCCAGTTTTTCTTAAATGGCAAATTTACTGACAATACAATTTAATCATTTTCCCATCTGTAGGATATATTTTGATATCCCCTTATACATTGCTGATATTATTTGTGATTTCTCTGTCTTTCAAAATCATTATCCCAGAGATATTTCTTTTTCTTTTTTTTTCTTTAAGTCATTTTAAATAACCAAGCTTTTGGGTAAGTTGATCTTCTATATTTAATATTTGTTTTCTATTTTATTCACTTCTGCTATTTATATTATTTCTTCTTTGTATATCCTTTGGTTTAATTTGTTACTTGGTACCTAGTTTCTTGACAGGAATCTCTAACTGATTTCAGTCATTCTCCTTTCTTACACATGCAAAGTTATAAATTTCCCTCCAACACTACTTTAGCTATATCCTACAGTTTTTGATTTGCAGTATTTTAATTAACATTGAATTCAAACTATTTTTAAATTTCCATCGTGATTTCTTTTTAACATGGGCTACTTTGATATGTATGGTTTAATTTCTAAACACATGGTGTTTCTTTCCTTTTCCTCTTCTACT
Source organism: Homo sapiens (assembly GCF_000001405.40). NCBI lineage: Eukaryota > Metazoa > Chordata > Mammalia > Primates > Hominidae > Homo > Homo sapiens. Next base: position 96,116,820 of record NC_000010.11, on the reverse strand, counting down.
GTTTACTTCTGTGTGTTGTTTTTGTATTGATCTCAAACTCAGTTCCCTTGTGATCAGGAAACATGTATTCCACAATTTCAATTCTTTGAACTGTATTGAGATTTGTTTTATAGCCTTGGATATGGTCAATATTTATAAATATTTCACGTGCTCTTGAAAAGAATGTGTATTCCATGGTAATGGGTATAGTGTTCTGTGCATGTCTCTTAGGTGCATTTAAATCATTGTTTTTACTCCTATATCTTCATTGATTTTCAAAAATTTTTTGTCTGTTTATTTTTTCACTTACTGAGAGAAGTATCTTTAAAACTCCCAGTATGATTGTTGATGTGTCTCTTTTTCCTTGTTGTTCTGTTATTTTGCTTTATGTGTTTTGAGACAATGTTATTTATGCACATATAATTTTAAAATTATTATATCTTCCTGATAAATTAGTTTTATCTTAATGAAATAGGGCTGTATTTCTAGTCAGACATTTTTTTCTTGAATTTTACTTTATCTGAGAGTGATATATATCTATACCAGGTCTCTTTAAGTTAGTGTTTACATGACATGACCTTTTATCTTTAAGCTTTTCTTTCATTACAGTTTGTCTCTTACAAACAGCAGATCATAGTTTCTCTTCCTAAGAAAACGGTTTGCTCCTAGCTGGACAATACAGATCATTTATACTTAATATAATTAGGTAGGGATATATGTGAACTTAAATCTACTATCTATTTTTTTGTTTTTTCTACCTCTTCCACGATCATTTTTCTCCTTTTCTTTTCTTCTTTTGGATTGATTAGATGTTTTATTATTCCTTTTATCAGTTTTGTAGTAATCTCTTCTTTACTTGTCTTTAAGTGCTTTATTATAGTTTATATTATTTACCCATGGCTTATTAATATCTAATGTACATCAGTACTTTTTCTTTTTTCTTGTCAATGAAGAGAACATTTTAACTCAGTTTAATCCCATCTTTCATACTTTATGTGCTATTGTTCACAAATTTTAATTTTCTCTCTATCATAAGCCCCAATAGACATTGTTATTACTGCTTTACATAGACATAATTGCATAATTGATTCAGATTTACTTCTACATGCTTTCCTAATATCTTGCAACTCCAAGCTTCCATCTGGGATCCTTTCTCTTCTGCTTGCGGGGGTGAGGGGGGAAACACTTGATCTTTTAGTGTAGGTTTGCTGGTGATAAAGCTTTTTGTTTGTGTTTTCTTGAAATGTACTTATTTCACCTTCATTACTGAAAGATAGTTTCGTTTGTTATGGAATTCTAGGTTGGCAGTTATTCTCTTGTACCACATTGAAGATAACTTTATGGTGCCTCTGACTTTCATTGTTTCTCTTGAGGAGTCACAGCTATCTATTCAATTTTTGTTCTGTTGAAGATAATATGTGTTTTTTATCTTTATATGAACAGAATTTTGCTTTTAAAAATTTCCCTGTCTTTGATTTTAGCAGTTTGGTTCTTATGTCATTTCATATATTTATCCTTCATGTTGTTTTTCAGAGAAAAACCCCCTCGGTTTTGGAAAAAAATTATGTTATTAGCTATTTATAGCTGCATTTAAAAATTACCTTCAAAGCTTAGCAGGTAAAACCAATAAACATTTATTATCAAGCTGGGCACTGTGATGTATGCCTGTAGTCCCAGCTGCTCAGAAGGCTGGGGCAGGAAGATCGCTGAGCCTAGGAGTTCAAGGCCAGCCTGGGCAACATATACTCCGTCTCTTAAAAAAATAAAAATACATTTATTATCTCATAGCATTTATGTTGGAGGGACCTAGAAGCAGCTTAGCTAGGTGTTTCTGACACAGAGTCTCACATGAGATAGCAGTCAAGATGCTTGCTAAGACTGCAGTCATTTAAAGGCTTGACTAAGGTTGAAGATCCACTTCTAGGGTGTCTGATTCAGTGCTGACTATTAGCAGGTGGTCTCAATGCAATGTCACATGGACTTCTCCGTTGGGCTGGTTGAGTATACTCCTAGCATGGCAGTTGATTTCTACCAAAGCAAGTGATCTAAAAGAACACAAGATGGAAGCCACATTGTCCTTTATTATATTGTCTCAGAAGTATGAGTTACAGAGGCCAGCTGTATTCAGAATGAGAGGGGACTACCCAAGAGTTTAATACCAAGAAACAAAAATCACTGGAGGTCATCTTGGTGGGTAGCTACCACATTCCACCTTCTCTAACCCAATTATTCATGTCCCTCTCATATGAAAAAATAGTCACCCTCAAAAGTTTTAATCCATTACAGCACGAGCTCAAAGTACAAAACTTTATATTGGGTCCAGATATGGGTAAGTCTTCTTGGGTGTAGTTCTTTCATAAAAGCTCAAGTATGGTTCCTTTCAATCTGAAGTCATATGAACTAAAGTGACAAGTTATTAGTGTCTCCCATGTCAAACAGTATGGTGGCACAGGCAAAGGATAACTGCTATAGATGCTCCTGTTTAAAAGGATGGGGGAAGTCCACAGCAAATCTGAAATTCACCTGGACAAATTTTTAAAGTCCTTGATCGGAATTCACTGCTAATCCTGCACAGGAACAATTCTCCATATCTCTTGGCTCTACCATCTGGGCTCTTGATTCTTTTCTTTGAGTTATTCTTCCTTTTTCATGAAACACTATCATTGGTTTTGGTTGCATGATTTTCTTGGCCTATTTCATGCCTATAAATGTTTCCAAATCCAAGGACTTATTTTCCTTTTTGCTATTTCTGACCCATTAAGTCCAAGCTAGTGGTGTTTCCACCAATATAAGTATCTTTAAAACTTTGTGGGTATTCTGTGAAAGTTCTTGGATTTACTCTACTAAGCAAAAGCCACACCCACAAATCTCATTGAAGTGATCCCTTTTCTACACTGGGCTTCCACTGATGCTGCTGGGGACAGCACACCTAAGAGTCACATAACCTTTATTCTCTGATTAAAAGTATCTAAAGTATCACCTTGGATCCTTCTGAGATCTTTAAAAGGATTTTACAGGCACACTCTCAGCTTCATCTGTTAGACCAGGTTTTTCTCAAAGTGCCTTAAATTTGACTTTTGTCTGGAAGCCATTTGTTAATTTCAGCATTCTGTGTCATTTGGAGAGGCTGAGAATGTTCAAATCCAGTGATTTCTGGCTTCTCTCACTCAACTTTTTAAAAACAGTTCTATTTTTTGCTTATTCTCGCCTTTCACATTTTACTATAAGCAAAATGAAGAATCAAGGAGGCACACAATACTTTGCCTGAAAATTCTTTTTAGCTAGATCACGTAGCTCATCTGGTATGTTTGCTACTTTCCATGTTACTGCAGGTACTAGTTTTGCTAAACTTTGTTTTTACATAAGGAAGATTTCCTTTCCTCCAATATTCAGCAAAATTTACCTCCCTTTCATTTTAAGTCCTCACCTGCAGTTTCCTAAAATGCCATCAGGTTTCTAGTAACAAACACCTAAAGGCTCTTCAAGGTTTTCACCATTTTATGTTCCATATATTGCCTAGTTCCAAAGCCATTACATTTTAGGTTTCTGTTACAGCAGCACTCCAACTCCAGGCCTCAAAAATCTGTATTTGTTATTTGTCACTGCATGCAAATTAGCCCGGACTTAGTGGCATAAGACAATCAACAGTTACTATCTCCTACAGTTTTTTTAGGGTGAAAAACCTGGGAGTGGCTTAATGATTATGGCTGTGACTCAGGGTCTCTCTTTTTTTTTTTATTTTCATAATTGAGATTTTATTGGTTGAGAATCAGTACAGACATTTCAATTTGTACACAATTCTTAACATATGTAATGAAATTTTAAAAAGCCATGCATGTATTGTAATTCTTTTTAAAAGTTATTCCAGTGACTTTCCAGCTTAAAATTTGGAAGCAAATTTTCCTTAAGAGGCTATCAAGTACCAATATCTTCACATGTTGGTCAGCTGTTACACACGGCCCACCAGTTCACAACTGAATAGCACATACAAAAAATATGGAACGCTTCACGAATTTGCGTGTCATCCTTGCACAGGGGCCATGCTAATCTCTGTATCGTTCCAAGTTTTAGGATATGTGCTGCCAAAGCGAGCGTGACTCAGGGTCTCTCTTAAGGTTGAATACCAGAAGACAGCTAAGAATGCAGTTATCTGAAAGTTTGACTGGGCCTGGAAGATCTGCTTCCAACATAGCTTACTCAATTGGCTGCCAAGTTAGTACTGTTTTTTGGCAATAGGCCTCAATTCCTGCCACATGGATCTCTCCACTGGGCTACCTGAATGTCTTCATGACATGAAAGTTAGCTTCTCTGAGAAAGTGATCTGAGAGAGCAAGATGGAGAGTGAAATATCCTTTATGCCTGGCCTTGGAAAGCACACTCCATCCTTTCTGCACTCTTTTATTGGTTATACAGATTAGCCCTCTGCAATGTGGGAGAAAACTATATAGGAGGAGAGAATACCAGGAGGCAAAAATCACTGTGGAAATCTCTGAGCCTGGAGATCACTTTTCAGTTTTGGGAAAATCTCAGCCATTATGTCTTCAAACATTATTTCTGTACCATTCTCTTGCTCCTCCTTTTCTGGGACTCCAATACAAACATGTTATACAATATGCAATGCCTTCTCATTTTATTCCCTAGCCTCTTAAACTTTTCTAAATATTTTCTTTTTTCTCTTGGTATCTTATTCTTCTGATGTTTTTCTCTGACATATCTTAAAGTTTACTAGTTAATTTACTAATTATTTTCTTCTTTTGGATGACTCAAGTATTTTTATTTTATTTCCCCTTATTAGTTTATTATGCAGTCCTAGTATTTACATTATATATTCTTGACTTGTTAGAGCCCCTATGAAATTAGTAATTTTATCTCTTCACAAACAATGAAAGAGCTTTACAAATTTTAAATCCATTTACCCCCCCAGTTTGTACTACTGTTGTCATAGATTTCATTTTATAAATATTTTAAGCCCAAGGCATTATTTTTGTCATTTGATAAAGTCAATATTCACTCTAATATACCTACATATTTACTCTTCACAGCACTCTTTATTTCTTTTTCTATTCTGTACTTCCACCTGGGACCATTTCTTTTCTCTTTGAACAACTCCCTTTAATATTTCCCTTAGTGAAAATCTGCTGGCAATATATTCTTTCAACTTCTTTGCCTGAAAATATCGTTATTTTGCTTTTTAATTTTTTTAATTGTGAAGAAATTTTTGCCAGTTGTAGAATTCTAGCTTTATGGATAGTTTGTTCCAACAACTTAAAGACATTGCTCTATTGTTTTCTGACTTCCGTTGATCCTATTGAAAAGTCATTTATCTGGCTTCCCTCACTCAACTGCCCATTTGAAAGAAACATCTCATTTTTCTCAGGTTGCTTTTATAATTTGCTTGTCTTTGACTATGCCGATCCCAAGTGTGATTGTATTTATCTTACCTATGGTTCTTAGAGAGATTTTCAAATCTGTGGTTTGATATATTTCAAAAATGTTCTCAGCCAACATATTCTGAAATACTGCTACTATTCTATTCTCTCTCCTCCTATTCTGTGATTTATACACAAGTCAGAAGATGTCACCATGTTCTATATATTCTTAACTTTGTTATGTATTTTCCATCCTTTTTTCTCTGTGCTTTAATCTTGATAATTTCTGGTCATATGTCTTCCAGTAAAAATATCCTGTTTTGATATGTCAAATCTGCTATTAAACACATCAACTTATTTCTTAATTTTAGTTATAGGTTATTTTCAATTCTAAAACTTCCATTTGACCTTTTAAGTAGATTCCAAGTGTCAGCTGAAATTCCGTCTTTCCCTTTGTTCTACTGACTATCTTAATCATTGTTTTTAGAAACATTTTTTCTCTTTTTTCTTTTTGATCAGCAATTAAACATGGATCATTATTATTTTAAAGTCTCTGTCTGCTAACTTCAATATCTGAATCACTGTGAGGATATTTCTACCATCTGTTTTAAATTTGTTTTTTCGTTATGTGGTCCTTCTTATAGCATGCCTCATAATTTTTACTGAATGCCAGACCTTGTGTATTAAAACTGTAAAAGGTTTAAATAATGTTTTCTCCTTCCTAAGTCAGTTTTCTTCTGACAGATGGGACAGATTATCTTAATTCTATATAGGCCTGGTTTTAGGCTTTGTAAAAGATGATTCAGTTTTTTGTTTTGTTTGTTTTTTGCCCTTACTCCTAGGATATGGCTTTCTGTGGTATCTTCTAAAAGTCTGTGGTATTTATATAGTTTTTCCACCTTTGCCAATCTTTTTAACTTGAACCTCTGTGTCCCTACCACCCCAAAGCTACTGAAATCCCTGTTCAGCTCTTTAGCCTCAAAGATGCTTCTTTATCTGGATTTCTTGAACTTTCATCTTGTGCATGTAAAGCTTAGCAACTGGCAAATGTCTTGAGGGAAGATGACATGCAAGTTTTGGATATACTTGCCTTGATTTTCTCTGCTCTGATATTTTGTCTCTCAATTTCTATTTGTTTGTCTCCTCAGCCCAGTGGCACTAGTGCTTTTTGTTTGAATCTATCTTGTCTAATCATCTATGTTAAAAATTGCAAATTTCCCTCAGGTAAAATTCCAAGAGTCTATCAAAACTGGCCAGAGAAGTTAACAAAGTACCAGGTAGAATTTCCAAAAAACAAAAACATAGTAATTGAAAATTAAAACTCAGGAACTGGACTAAACTAAGTATTAAAAACACATGAAAAAGTAAGTGAAAGATAGATCTGGAAACATTTCCTGAGTGCAGCATTGAAAGTCGAAGGGATGAGAATAATGAAAAGGATGTAAAATACATAGAAGAAAGACTGGGAATTTCAACACGTGTCTAATCAGAGTTCTAGTAGGAAAAAAAAATGCCGGAGAGGCAGTATTTGAAGAAATAACCACTAAAAATCGCTATAATTGATTAAAAGGTACCGTGACCAAGTGGGATTTATACAAACTATGCAAGGCTGATTCAGTATTTGAAAATCAATTACTGTTATATCCATCAAATCAACAGGCTAAAAAAGAAAAATTATATAGTCCTATCAATAGATGCAGAAAAAACATCTGACAAAATCCAATACCTATTCATGATAAAAACTCTCAGCAAACTAGGATAGAAGGGAACTTCTCAACTTGATAAAGAACATCTACAAATACCATAGCTGACATCATACTTAATGATGGTAAAGTAGATGCTTTTCACTAAAATTAGGAATGAAGCAAAATTGTTCCCTCTCACCACTTCTGTTCAATATTATATTGAAAATCCTAGGTAATTCAGTAGGTCAAAGAAAGAAAAGAAAAAAATATACAGATTGAGAAGGAACTAATGAAGTTTTCTTTGCTTACAGATAACGTATTTATCTATGTATAAAATCTCAAATAATTGACCAAAAAATGCTAGAACTAATAAGTGATTAGAGCAAGGTTACAGGATACAATGTTAATTTACAAAAGTCAATTGCTTTCCTATATACCAGCAGTGAACAATTGAAATGTGAAATTAATAACACAATACTAACTTATACCAACCACACTCTTGGACCACAGCACAATAAAAATAGAAATCAATACTGAAATAATCACTCAAAACCACACAGTTACATAGAAATTAAACAACCTTAAGACTGTTCTAAGAAACTTCCAAAAACATGTCACACTTAAAGGAATGGCCATTTTCTCTGAAAGAAACTGCTTTGATAGCCATGATCTTATTGCTAGCTGCTTTTACCAAAAGTCTTTTGTTAAAACTACCACCTACACTCTTTAAACAAGTAAAAACTGAAACCTCTTGCTAAAAAAAGAAAAAAAAAAAGGAAAGAAAGAAAAAGAGAAGAAATTAAACAATCTGCTCCTGAATGACTTTGGGACAAGTAATGAAATTAAAGCAGAAATAAAGAAATTCTTTGAAACAAATAAGAACAAAGATACAACATACAAGAATCTCTGAGACACAGCTAAGGCAGTGTTAAGAGGGAAGTTTATAGCACTAACCACCCACATCAAAAAGTTAGAAAGAGCTCAAATTAACTACCTAACATCAAAATTAGAAGAACTAGAGAAACAAGAGCAAACAAACCCCAAAGCTAGCAGAAGACAAGAAACAACCAAAATCAGAGCTGAACTGAAGGAAACTGAGATGCGAAAAACCATACAAAAGATCAACAAATTCAGGAGTTGGCTTTTTGAAAAAAATAATAAGATAGTTAGACTGCTATCTAGACTAATAAAGAGAAAAGAGAGAAGATCCAAATAAACACAATCGGAAATGATGAAGGGGACATTACCACTGACCCCACAGAAATACAAAAACCTTCAGAGATGCCGACGAACAACTCTATGCACACAAACTAGAAAACCTAGAAGAAACTGATAAATTCGTGGATGCATACAACCTCCCAAGGCAGAACTAGGAAGAAACTGAATCCCTGAACAGACCAATAATGAGTTCCAAAATTGAATCAATATAAAAAGCCTGCCAACCAAAAAAAATGTCTAGGACCAGATGGATTCATAGCTGGATTCTAGCAGATGTATAAAGAAGATCTGGTACCATTCCTATTGAAACTATTCCCAAAAATTGAAGAGGAACTCCTCCCTAACTCATTCTATGATGCCAGCATCATCCTGATACTAAAACCTAGCAGAGACACAACAAAAAAAAGAAAACTTCAGGCCAATATCCTTGATGAACATAGACGCAAAAATCCTCAACAAAATACTAGCAAACCAAAACCAGCAGTGCATCAAAAGCTAATCCACCAGCTTTATCACTGTGATCCAAGATTGGTACAACACATGCAAATCAATAAATATGATTCATCAAATAAATAGAACTAAAAGCAAAATCCACATGATTATCTCAATAGATGCAGAATAGGCTTTTGATAAAATTCAACATCCCTTTGTCAGAGGCATTCAAACCAGATTGACTCCATCTTGAATAGGGGCTGGGTAAAATAAGGCTGAAACCTACTGGGTTGCATTCCCAGGAGGTTAGGCATTCTAAGTCACAGGAAGAGATAGGAGGTCGACACAACATAAAGGTCATTAAGTCCTTGCTGATAAAACAGTTGCAGTAAAGAAGCTAGCTAAAACCCACCAAAACAAAGATAGTGATGAGAGTGACCTCTGGAAGTCCTCACCGCTCATTATATGCTAATTATAATGCATTAGCGTGCTAACAGACACTCCCACTAGTGCAATGACAGTTTACAAATGCAATGGCAACATCAGGAAGTTACTCTAGATTGTCTAAAAAGGAAAGGAATCCTCAGTTCCTGGAATTGCCCACCCCTTTCCCAGAAAACTCATAAATAATCCACCCCTTGTTTAGCATATAATCAAGAAGTAACAATAAGTATCCTTAGTTGAGCAGCTCAAGCACTGCTCTGCCTGTGGAGTAGCCATTCTTTGTTTCTTTACTTTCTTAATAAACTTGTTTCACTTTACTCTATGGACTTGCCCGGAATTCTTTCTTGCATGAAATCCAAGAACCATCTCTTGGAGTCTGGATCAGGACCCCTTTCTGCTAACATTTTCATGTTAAAAACCCTCAACAAACTAGGCATTGAAGGAACATACTTCAAAAGAATAAGAGCCATCTATTACAAACCCACAGCCAACATCACACTGAATGGGCAAAAGCTGGAAGCATTCCCCTTGCAAACCAGAACAAGACAAGGATGCCCTCTCTCACCACTCCTATTCAACATAGTACTGGAAGTCCTGGCCAGAGTAATCATGCAAGATAAAGAAATAAAAGGCATCCAGCTAGGAAAAGAGGAAATCAAACTATTCCTGTTTGCAGACAACATGATTCTATACCTAAAAAATCCCATAGTCTCTGCCCAAAAGCTCCGTAAGCTAATAAACAACTTCAAAGTTTCAGGATACAAAATCAATGTACAATAATCAGTAGCATTCTTATACACCAAAAATATTCAAGCTAAGAACCAAATCAGTAATGTAATCCCATTCACAATAGCAACAAAAAAGAATAAAATACCTAGGAATACAGCTGAGAGGTGAAAGATCTCTACAAGGAGAATTTCAAAATGCTGCTCAAATAAATCAGAAATGACACAAACAAATGGAAAAACATTCCATGCTCATGGATAAGAAGAATCAATATATTGTTAAAATGGCCATACTGCCCAAAGCAATTTACAGATTCAATGCTATCCTTGTCAATCTACCAATGACATTCTTCACAGAATTAGCACAAACTATTTTAAAATCCATATGGAACCAAAAATGAGCCCAAATAGCCAAAGCAATCCTAGGCAAAAAAAAAAAAAAAAACAAAAAAAAAAAACAGAAAACAAAAAACAAACAAACAAACAAACAAACAAAGCTGGAGGCATCATGCTACCCAACTTCAAACAATACTACAAGGCTACAGCAACCAAAACAGCATGGTACTGGTACAAAAACAGACACATAGGCCAATGGAACAGAACAGAGAACCCAGAAATAATGCTGCACCCCCACAATCATCTGATCTTTGACAAAGTTGACAAAAATAAGCAATGGGGAAAGAACTCTCTATTCAATAAATGGTGCTGGGATAACTGGCTAGCTATTTACAGAAGATGTTTGGTTTTCCCAACTTTATATATTCAATGTAATTCAAATAAAAAGCCCAGCAAGCTATTTTGTGGATATCAACAAATTCAAATTTATATGGACAGCCAAGAGACCCAAAATAGCCAACACAATACTGATAAGGCAGAAAAAACTGGAAGAATTAACACTACTTGACTTCAAGGCTTAGCATAAACGTATAGTAATCAAGAAAGTGTAGTATTGGTAAAAGAATAGACAAATTGATCAATGGAACATAATAGGGAGCCCAGAAATAGATTATAGAAATATACTCACCTGATCTTTGACAAAGGAGCAAAGGAGATTCAACGGAGAAAGGCTAGTCTTCTCAACAATTGCTCCTGGAACAACTGGCCATCCACATGTTAAAACAATATATATAGACACTGACTTCACACATTTCACAACTCATAATTCAAAACAGATTATATACCTAAATGTAAAGTGCAAAACTAAAACTTCTAGAAGATAACATAAGAGAAAATCTAGGTGACCTTGTGTTTGGTGATAACTTTTTAGATACTACACCAAAAGCACAATTCACGAAAGAAAAAATTGGTAATCTGGACTTCACTTAAAGTTAAAACTTTTGCTCTGTGAAATACACTGTTAAAAACATTAAAAGACAAGCCACAGACTGGGAGAAAAATATTTGCAGAATACATATCTAACAAAGAACTTGTATTCAAATATACAAAGAAGTCTTGAAACTCAATAATAAGAAAACTAAGAACTCGATTTAAAAAATAAGCTAAAGATCTGAAAAACACCTCCTCAGAGGAAATACACAGATGGCAAATAAACATATGAGACCACATACACCATACACCATATACCTAATGACATAATAACACCTTATGTCATTAGGGAAATGCGAATTAAAACAAGATACCACCACACGCCTATTAGAATGGCTCAAATCCAAAAACTGACAATACCAAATACTGGGGAGAATGTGGAGCAATGCAAACTCTTATTTATTACTGGTGGAAATGCACAGTGGTATAGCCACTTTAGAATACTGTTTGGCAGTTTCTTACAAAGTTAAATATAGTCTTACCATAGAGCTCAGGAATTGCACTCGTAGGTATTTGCCCAAATGAGTTGAAAATTTACGTTCACATAAAATCTGCTAGGAATGTTTATTACAGCTTTGTTCATAATTGCCAAAGACTGGAAGCACCAAGAAGTCCTTCCAAAAGGTGAATGGATAAACAAATTGTAGTATATCTATCCATGCGGTGAAATATTATTTAGTATTTAGCCATTAAAGGAAATGAGCTATCAAGCCACAAGACCTGGAACAAACTTAAGTACATATTGCTTGATAAAAGAAGCCAATCTGGGCTGGGCGAGGTGCCTCACGCCTGTAAACCTAGCACTTTGAGAGGCTGAGGTGGGTGGATTGCCTGAATTCAGGAGTTCGAGACCAACCTGGGGAACATGGTGAAACCCCATCTCTACTAAAATACAAAAAATTGGCCGCGCATGGCGGCACACGCCTGTAGTCTCAGCTACTAGGGAGGCTGAGGCAGGAAAATTGCTTTAACTCAGGAGGCGGAGGTTGCAGTGAGCCGAGATCACGCCACCGTGCTCCAGCCAAAAAAATAAAATAAACTAAAATAAGAAGCCAATCTGAACATGTCTAAGGTCTCCAATGTAATCTTGAGTAGTAATGGTAATAGAAAATATCCATGCATCTATATAACATCCTAACTTTTATAAAAATGCTTCTAAATGTAACCATTAATATGTGTTTATGGGTTTTGCATTGATGTCAATCATGACATTAAGAGGTGTCTTTCTTTTCCTCTTTTGCCAAGAAGTTTTTGTTTGTTGTTTTTTAAGAATCATGAATAGATTTTAAATATCATCAAACAGATTTTCCTTATCCACTGACCATTAAAATGGCCACATTTTAAAATTTGATTCCTTAATATGGAATATGAGTTACAATGATATAATTTTAGTTGTTGAACCACTGTTGTATTTCTGATGTAAAGTTGTCACAGTCTATTTTTTAATATGTTGTTTGATTCAACTTGTTGATATATTTACTGTGTTTACATCCATGTTCATAAGTGAAATGTGGCTATAATTTTTTTTTCCTTGTTCTTCTATGGTCTCAAAAAATTAATAGGTCGTGTTTCCTCTTTTTTTTTTTCTTTTTTTTGAGACAGAGTCTTGCTGTGTTGCCCAGGTTGGACTGGGAGTGCAGTGGCACGATCTTGGCTCACTGGAACCTCCACCTCCCAGGTTCAAGTGATGCTCTTGCCTCAGCCTCCTGAGTAGCCAGGATTACAGACACCCACCACCACGCCCGGCTAATTTTTGTATTTTTAGTAGAGATGGCATTTCACCATGTTGGCCAGGCTGGTCTCAAACTCCTGGTCTCAAGTGATCTGGCTGCCTTGGCCTACCAAAGTGCTGGGATTACAAGTGTGAGCCACCATGCCTGGCTATGTTTCCTTTTAAAAGAAATTTTTTTTTAATAACCTTTTAGCAGTTTGTGTAAGATGGGGTTTAGTTGTTTCTTGAACATTTGTTAAGACTGCCTATAAATCTATATACAGATAACATCTTTATAGTAGAAGGTAGACATTTTAATATTATTATTTTTGAATGATTATTTATTTGCTCAGATTTTCTAAGCTTTATTGGTGACTTATATTTTCATAGAAAATAATCTATTTCATCTAGGTTTTACAAATTTATTGAATATGGCTATTCAAATTATCTTTCTAAGGCTTTTAAAGTCTCTACTATAGCTGTTTTTCTTGTTTTAATCCTTTATGTTTTCCTTCTTTTTGTCTCTATCTTTATATTGGTCTGTTTATTATTATTCTAAAATAAAAAAAACTTTTGGAGGTATTATCTCTTTTTCTGTTATTTTGTTTTCTAAATAATTAAATTCTACTCTCATGTTTATTTTCTTCTATATTATCTGAGTTCATTCTATCTTATTTTTAACTTCATGAATTAAGTGCTTGGTTTATTTATTGTTTTTTATTTATTGTATTCTAAAATGTAAAGCCTATCAAGTTCCCTCTAAGTTCCATTTTAGCTGCACTGCACCTGTTGTTTATCTGGAGTGATTTCACTATCTTTTGATTTCTTAGTTGGACCTTGAGTTGTTTGGAAGTAAGGTTTTGTTTTCACAACTAATTTTTAACTATTTGCATTTATTTTTAATTTTATTTCACGTTTGTCAGAGAACATTGTTCCTGTAATATCAGCTTTAAAAAAAATAGAGACGGATTCTCACTCTGTCACCCGGGCTGAAGTACAGTGGCATGATCACAGCTCGCTGCAGCCTTGAACTCCTAGGATCAAGCAATCCTCCTGCCTTAACCTCCTGGGTAGCTGGGATAACAGTCATGTGTTACCATGCCCTGCCAATTTCTTACTTTTTTTTTTTTTTTTAAGAGATGGGGGTCTCTCTATGTTGCCCAGGCTGGCCTTGAACTCCTGGCCTCAAGTGATCCTCCTGCAGGTTTGTTTCATGGTTGTGTGATGCTGAGGTTTGGGGTATGATTGAAGCCGTCATTCAGATAGTGAGCATAGTAACCAACAGGTAGTTTTTCAACCTTTTCTCTCTCCTTCCCTTCCCACTCCTGTAGTCCCCAGTGTCAACTGTTCCCATCTTTATGTCTAATCTTATTTTTTTTAAATAAGCATACTTTTATTTGCTGACGCCATTACACAAACTGATTACATTAGCAACAAAAAAAGTGTTTTCTTGAGTTGAAGTCAGAGGCAGTTACTTCCCAAAATGTTGAGTAAAACAGGGTACGTACCCAATGTTTAGCTTCCATATATAAGTGAAAACGTGGTATTTGGTTTTCGGTTTCTACATTAATTTCCTTAGGATAATGGTCTCCAACTGCATCCATGTTACTGCAAAGAACATAATTTCATTCTTTCTTATGGCTGCATAGTATTCTATAGTGTACATGTACCACATTTACTATTTTTAATTGAATCTAAAAAATTTTTTAAATGGTTTCAATTAAATTGTGACATGCCCTTTTATCAAGATTTTTATTGTGTGCTTACTGAAATATACCTTTTTGATTTATTTAGACATGTACTCAACTATGTATAATTTTTGTACATACAAAAAGAAATATGTAAGCAAAACAAATCATTTAAGGTATTTCTAAAATTTCTTCACATTTACATTTGTGTTCAGTCACTTTAACTCAGTGGCACAAATATCTGTTTTTCTATCCAGTATCATCCCATGTACCATAAAGAAAGTTTGTGATGCAGCATTTTTAAAAAGTGCTTCATTATTAACCTCTGGGATTTTCTTACAAATTGCTGACACTGGCTCAACAGATTTTAATGCTGGCTATGACTAAGGGAAAAGAGTAAATTAGTATTGATTCTGCATAGGTATGGATCTAGATAAAATTTGGGGCTCTGTGCGCATAGAAGGGGAAAGAGGATACTGGGGGACAACTGGCAGTCTCAAGAAACATGGTAGTCATTTCCATATTATATACACAAGGTAAATGAAGCCCAGAGAAGTAGACTAATTTGCCCAATGATGCATAATTACTGCCACAGAGCCAGGATGAAGTCCAAATATATGCAGCTCTGCAATCCTACCCTGAAACATAAATCTAGAGTTAATAAGTAATAACAAGTGTTGGGTAACCCCAACACTTTGGCAGACTAAGTCAGGAGGATCACTTGAGCCCAGGAGTTCAAGACTAGCCTGGGCAACACAGGGAGATCTCGCCTTTACAAAAAATTAAAAATTAGCGGGGCACGGTGGTGCGTGCCTGTAGTTCCAATTACTCAGGAGGCTGAGGTGGGAGGATCACTTGAGCCTGGGAGGTAGAAGCTCTAGTGAGCCATGATTGTACCACTGCACTCTAGCCTGGGCAACAAGAGTGAGACCCTGTCTTAAAAAAATATGTAAATGTGCTTCTCCTTAAACTCAACTGTTCCTCTGGAATTTAGTCTAAAAATACCAGTACAAATGTGCAAACACATATAGGATCTACATGAGGGAGTCACTTCTGCAGACTTTAAATTGGAAACTAGTGTCATAAATAAGGGTGGAGGGTAAGGTGGCAGATACATGGAAATTGAAGAGTCAGCAGTAGCAGTATCATTATTGGTGCAAGCAATAGCATATATACCAGCAAGCACAGTAGTGATGTTCCCACTAGACCAGTTCCACAGTGTGATTTTGGGAATTTGCCTTGGTAGGCCAGTCTCCAAGATGGTTCTTTGCCATCCCAGAGATTCTGTGAGTTGCTAAGCATCTTTCAATAAATTCTCTTCCTGCTTAAACTGTTATATTGGTTTCCATTGATTGCAAGGAGAAGTCTAACTGATACACTGGCCACCTCTAGACCAGTTCCACAGTGTGATTTTTGGGAATTTGTCTTGGTAGGCCAGTATCCAAGATGGTTCTTTGCCATCCCGGAGATTCTGTGAGCTGCCAAGTGTCTTTCAATAAATTATCTTCCTGCTTAAACTGTTATATTGGTTTCCACTGATTGCAAGAAGTCTAACACATACACTGGCCACCTCTCTTTTCCTCCAAACTGCCAAGTTGTTACCGCCTTAGGATCTTTGCTTTCCATGTTCGTCTGCCTTGATCACACAGGGCCCATTTCTTTGTATCATTCAGGATTTAGGCCAAATATCACCCACCTTGCAGCAGAAACGACCCAGATCCTCCTCCTTTTTTTTTTCTTTTTATTATTATTATTTTTTTTTAAGACGGAGTCTCGCTCTGTCGCCCAGGCTGGAGTGCAGTGGCGCGATCTCAGCTCACTGCAAGCTTCGCCTCCCGGTTTTTTTTTTTTTTTTTTTAAAGAGACAGGGTTTCCTTCTGTAGCTCAGGCTGGGGTGGCACGATCATGGTTCGCTATAGTCTCCATCTCCTGGGCCGGGCCTCAAACAATTCTCCCACCTCAGCCTCCTGAACTCCTGAATATCTGGGACTAGAGGAGCATGCCATCATGCCCAGCTAATTTTTTTATTTTTAAATTTTGGAGAGACAGAGTCTTGCTATGTTGTCCAGGTTGTTCTCAAACTCCTGCACTCAAGTGATCCTCCCCGCTTAGCTCCTCAAGCACTGGGACTCCATTGGTGTGAGCCACTGCTTACCTCCCCAGGTCCCCTTCTGAAGAAGTTCTACACCCACATCTTTCCCTTTGTATGAAATCTCCCTGTTTTATTTGTCTTCACAGAACTTATCACTAGATGAAATTATTTAGTTCACATGTATTTGTTTTCTTGTTTATTTCTTCCCCTTTCTACCAACAGAAGCTTGAAAAATTACTTGCCAAGAAAATTGTCTGGCACGTAATATGGGCAATATATTTCTATTGAATTAACAAAGAAGCAAAGAATTTTATATCTTTGTTTTGTAATACCACTAAATTGGGAACATCTTTTGAATATCTATCAATAGGAAATTAGTTATACAGATAGGGGTACAACCATACAACACATCTACTAAAAAGGTAAAAGTGTATTTTCTGTATCTTGACACAGAATTCTGCAATATAACGCTGAGTGAAACAGTGATGAAAGTAGTTTATAAATATATAATTTCACATGTGTAATATACATAGAAAGAACACGGAAAGATATTAAGAACACTGTGGTGAGAAGTTAATACTATAATGAGAACAGTAAGGTAGAAGGAGAGGAGAAAATCCTGCTTTTTGCTTGATAATTTTTTGTATTTTTTTTTGCAACAATCATGTATGCATTGAAACTTCCTTATGGTTGCAAACAAACTAGGCTGAAAATATAAATTTACTGAAAAAATATCAAGGTATGATATTCTTCATAATGAAATGAAGGGTTGAATACACAGTTACTGAAAGGGTACACGTAACACTGGGTCTCAGGAGATCCCAGAAACAGTGATATAAAAATTTTCAGATTTCTTCCCATCAATCTCCTATCTCAGCTTCTCTTTACATGTCAGCTTTATCTCACTGCAAAAAATTTTTTGTCCTGATAGTAAAGAATGTTATTGTTTCTAAGTCTTCCATGTGATCTCATCTACCCTCATTTCTCTACCAGTTGAGAAAGACTAATCTGTCTTTTCCAGGCCCAGATTGAAAAATCCCAAACTTTTGGCTGGGCACCATGGCTTAAGCCTATAACCCCAGCACTTTGGGAGGCTGAGGTGGGCAGATTGCTTGAGTCCAGGAGTTTGAGGCCAGCCTGGGCAACATGGCAAAACCCCATCTCTACAAAAAATACAAAAAAATTAGCTGAGTGTGGTGATGCAACCTGTAGTCCCAGCTACTCAGGAAGCTGAGATGGGAGAATCATCTGAGTCTGAGAGTTTGAGGCTGCAGCAATTGCACCACTGCACTTCAGCCTGGGTGACAAAGTAAGACCCTATCTGAAAAAAAGAAAGAAAAGAAAAGAAAGAGAAAAGAGAAGGATTCAAGCAATTCTCTTGCTTCAGCCTCCCGAGTAGCTGGGACTACAGGCATGTGCCACCACACCTGGCTAAATTTTTTTTTGTATTTTTAGTAGAGACGGGGTTTCACTATGTTGGCCAGGCTGGTCTCAAACTCCTGACCTCGGGATCCGCCCGCCTCGGCCTCCCAAAGTGCTGGGATTATAGGCGTGAGCCACCATGCCAGGCAGACATTAACACCATTTCTATTCAACATTATATTTTGTGTCTTCACTGGTACATAAAGCAAGAAAAATAAATAAAACCATAAAGATTAGAAAAGAAGAATTCACAGATGACACAATTTGGGATATAGAAAATTAAACAGAACCTATATATAGATGATTAAAAGTAATATGAAAGTTTAGCAAAGTTGCTGGATATACAAAATCAACATATAAAAATGTGTTGCACTCCAATCAAATAGTTAAAAATTAAAAACTTAAAGATGATGCCATTTATTATATCATTAAAATATGAAATACTAGGAATAGATGTTTAAACAGTATGTAAAATATTTGTAGATAAAACTATAATACTTCAGTAAAAGACACTAAAGAACAACGAAATAAAAGGAGAAATATACAATATTCATGAATTGGAAGACGCAAAGTTGTAAAGATGTATTTATGCCTAGTTGTTGGGTAAGCAGGAGGGTACAGGCAAGCTCACACTGGTAGGTGGGTGTTAGGCAGGAAGTCAAGTGCACAGAACAAGATAGAGCACCACTGTGGATGCTGCTGGAACTGGGAGCTACAGGAAACTAGTGCTTCTGTGTGTGGCTTGGACAAGGGCAGCTCTGGGCAGCTGCACAGGCAAAGCTTGGGTGGCTGGCTCACTAGAGCCAGGGTAGCGTTGCTTGCAGGGCTCCTCACAGCCAGCTTGCAGGGCTCCAGGCATGTACACATTGTGGGTCTGAAGAATGGGCGAAGAGAGCAGTGACCTGGGAAGGCACAAATTCATGCCATTCTCCTGGCTATGCCTCTGCCACCCAAGTCTAGAAATTGACACAGTGGCCACTAGAGAAATCTGCCTCCTTTAGGTACCTCATACCGGAGAAAACTACACAGGCCAAGCTATAGAAAATAAAAGCAATAGAGAATAGAGGCCAAGCAATAGAGAATAAAAGCCACCAGGACCAGGAAGGAAAACTTCCTCCTCCTGCAATGTCTCTCCAGCTCCCACTTCTTAAGAAGATTAACATCATGCCCACTGGCTAAGGAAAAATATTTCAAGGACCCAGGTCCATGTTTACTGATCAGGCAAAAAGGTAAATTTGGGGCTGAGAGGCAATCAGTTGATAACTGGCATAGCTGCTTGATAAATACTGCCTAACAATGAGTCATCTTATAGTAGAAGGTATATCTCAATAAAACATTTAGAAAAGCAATGAGAAGTAGAACATCTGGATGCCTAATGCTTTTACAATATGTCACTCATGGTAGGAGAAAAATACTAGTACACAGGGGGTCTTCCTCAGGCTAGGTAGCATTTAATCTACCAGAAGGGAACCAAATATGTTCTTAGGGGCATCGTTGAAGACTTCTTAAAACCATTTACAGAGCCTGTGCAGTTATCTGTGGTTTGTCCTAGGTGAAGGAGGAAGTGATTTCTAAAGGAGGAGGGAAATGATTTCTAAAGAACCAATATGTGGCATTCAAATTAATACCATGAGTTCTTTTGCCTCACTGGACACACATTTGAATAATACAAATGATGTGAGATTTCAGTGATAGATATTTACAGTGACAACTTTTACATCTTCATCAGGGTAATTGCTTCTGTCCTCTAGATCATCCACATTTTTATGTTCACACAATCTCTAGGTAACTCATCTTTAAACATTGCTTCGAAGACTTCCACAAACTGGATATGGAAACTAGTATGTGATCCTTTGAATAGGTACCACCAATAGCTATACTACTATAGTATTTCTCATGATGACCTTGGTTAAATCTTAATCACATTTATTCAGATGATTGATATTTTATGCCATATTTTTTGCCCAAATTAGCCAGAACCATCAAAATCCATAAGGAAGTATTTTAAGGCTGTAGATGTATTAAAGTAGGCTACCTGCTATTTTTGTTTTTGTTTTACTTTCGTATTTTAACAGAATAAAGGATTATTGCTTTTTCATGTCCCGGTCCAATATGGGTTAACAGACATAATGAAAGGGTTCTACTCCATGCAGTCATTCAGGGACCTAAGTTTTTAATATCTAGTAGCTCCACCTTCCCCAAGAAGCAGAGTCCTCTGAATTCTCCACACCTGGCCTTCAGAAAAGGAAAGTAGAAAAATAAGTCAATATCCATATTTAACCACTACAATCATGACACCCATCACTTCTCACATTCCACTGGTGACATCTAGTCATATAATCTTATCTAAGTACAAGGGGATCTGGGAAACATAGTCTAGCTGCGTGCCCAAAAATAACAGGAGGAAACTGATATTGGTTGTCACTACTGATTTCTATCACAGTTGATAGAAAGTTGTATTTTTCAAGTGTTTATTTCTAATAGCCACCTCCTTTTAGCATGAATAATGTCATGGCTGTACAACTGTTTTAGCAGGTTCACATTCTGTATTAGTTGCAAGTTGCCTTTGTTTGCAAGTATCAGAGACCTAATGCAAAATAGCTCAAATAAAAAGGAGGATTGGCCGGAGTGGTGGCTCACGCCTGTAATCCCAGCACTTTGAGAGGCCAAGGTGGGCAGATCACCTGAGGTCAGGAGTTCAAGACCAGCCTGGCCAACATGGCAAAACCCTGTCTCTATTAAAAATACAAAAATTAGCTGGGCATGGTGGCACGTGCCTATAATCCCAGCTACTCAGGAGGCTAAGGCAGGAGAATCACTTGAACCTGGGAGGAGGAGGTTGCAGGGAGCCAAGATCATGCCACTGCACTCCAGCCTGGGTGACAGAGTGAGACTCTGTCCCAAAAAAAAAAAAAAAAAAAAGAGGACTTATTCGCTCACATAATAATCAAACCTCAGATAGGAGAGGGATAGAGCAAATCTTAGGGACAACCAGAATAACAATGGGATTCTCTCTCTTTCTGATCTATTATTTTTTCCCTGCATATATTTATTTATTTAAAATATAGGAGATATGCATTCAGATACAAACATGTTTCTGAAGGTGGGAAATTGGTGCAGTCACATTGGAAAATAGTCTAGTAGTTTCTGAAACGGTTAAACATACCTTTACCACAAGACCCAGTAATTTTACTCCTAGGAATATACCCAAGAGAAATGAAAACATATGTCCACAAAAAAATGTGTACATGAATATTTATAGAAGCATTATTCACAATAGCTAAAAGGAAGAAACAACCCAAATGTCCATCAACTGATGAATGAATAAACACCCGGTGGTATATCCATTAATGGAATATCTGGCCACAGAAAGAAATGGAGTACTGATACATGCTACAGTATGGATGAATCTTGAAAACATTATGCTAAGTGAAAGAAGCTAGACCCAAAAGACCCAAATTATTGTATGATTCCACTTACATGAAAAGTCCAAAGTAGGCAAATCTATACAGACAGAAAGATTATGGGTAGCAGATATGGGGGATTGGAGAGATACCTAAAGGTCGTGGGGTTTTTCAGGACAATGGAAATGTTTTAGACTTGATTGTGGTGATAGATGCATAATTCTGTGAATGCTAATAGCCACTGAATTTTACACTTTAAGTGGGCAAATTGTATAATGTGAATTATGTCAATAAAATCATTTAAAAGAACATGTAGACATGGACGACAGGTAAAATGAGCATGGCTGTGTTCCAATAACATTTTATTTATAAAAACAGGCAACTCACCAATTGGCCATCATTTTCTGACCCTTGTTATAGAGTAATAAAAACTAATTTTTTAGCTGGGCACTGGCTTACCAGAAAATAAAATACCACCTTTTCCACATGTCTTGCAGAGGATTGTGTGTAACATTTGGGAACTATCCTGAAATGAAACAATTGTGCTTTTCTTTGAATCCCCTAGTCTTTCCTGTTCACTGGAATGGCTACAGCTCTAACAGCCATCTTAGATCATGAAATTACCTTGGAAAATGGACACCACAGATAGTGGAGCAACAAGATAGGAGGAGCCTGGAATCCTCACCCCATGAATAACTGTACGAACTCTAAATTGATTTCATCTAGATGTCTTAAAAGAAAAAAAAATTAATTTATGTCATGTTTAAATAAACTTATTTTGAAAATTTCTATTACTTCCTCATAGCTGAACATAATTCCAACTATTATACCCCTTAAGGAATTAAAAAAACAGCTATACCTCCTGGAAGGATCAAGTGGATGCTAAAGGAAGCTCAAATCTATGTCTGTCTTTTTTTTGTTTTGTTTTGTTTAACAGCAATTCATTCTTAATATACTGGCCTTTTAAGCTGGAGTCTTACAACTACTTGAGTTCATATTTGTAAAAAAGATGTAAGAGGATATATTCTCTGATTAGCCAATCCTGTGTTAACTTTAAAAAAAATCAAATTTCATAAATAGAAGCAGTAACATATCCCTTATCAGAATAGTTCCACTGTTTACTAAGTCCCTGTAGCTAAGTACAAGCCCCAGGGCTTAGCCCAAGTCCTGATCACTATGTACACAGAGTCTGTTGTGGGTTTCCTCATGAGTTCAGTAGTGTGAACATTAGCGTGTGACATCCTCTGCTCTGCAGAACACAAAAATAACAGGGTCCTCTGGGTATCCAACTTTCCTTGACAAGATTAAAGTAATGTCTAAAGAGCTCTAAAAGTGTCACAAACGATCTATAGACATCATATTTACATTTGTTCATAAAGATACAGGGCTGCAAAGTCACCATAGCATAACTTCTCCTTAAGAGTGTGAGACATAAACACAGACCTAATGTTCTCATGACCGCCCCTACCCAAAAAAGGTATCTCTGTGTTGCAGAGTCACACTCTGTGATGGATTGAACGTTTGTGTGCCCGTCAAATTCATATGGTAAAGCCCTAACCCCCGCTGTGGCTATATCTGGAGATGGGGCCTCTAAGGAAGTAATTAAGATGAAATGAGGTCATAAGGGTGGGTCCCTGATCTGACAGAATTAGTGTCTTATAAGAAGATACACCAGAAAGTTCTCTCTCTTTCTCTTCCACGCCTCTTCATCTCGAGTATGTACCGAGGAAAGGCCATATGAGGATATTGTGAGAAGGCAGCCAGCTGCAACCCAGGAAGAATGCCCCTCACCAGAAAGCAAATTGGTCAAAACCCTGGTTTTGAACTTTGAGCTTCCAGGACAGTGAGAAAATAAATCTCTGTGTGTAAGCCACTCAGTCTATGGTATTTTGGCTGTGTCAACAGACTAATACACACTCCAAAAAAAGAGTGTGTAGAAATTTTTGTTTCAGCGTCATTTTC
The DNA here is from genome assembly GCF_000001405.40 of Homo sapiens. Lineage (NCBI taxonomy): Eukaryota > Metazoa > Chordata > Mammalia > Primates > Hominidae > Homo > Homo sapiens. The sequence continues at coordinate 96,093,363 of NC_000010.11, read as the reverse complement.
AAATTGTCCTCTGCTAAAATCTACTTTAATCCCGGCATGGTCATAAGCTGGTTTTACACTCTAGACCTGCTTGAAACTTAAACTTGGCTCACTCTCACGGGTGATTTTTAGGTTCGTTGGATGCTGCAACTCCTATGACACACAGAATGATCAAACATGGATTCCTGGGACTTGGGACTTTTGGTACTAAAGCAGGGAAAGTCCAAGGGCACTGGACAAGTTGGTCACTCTAGATAGGCAATACATTCTGTTCCTCCAGCTATTGCTCCATCTACAGCTATGGCTTCTCTAACAATCCATACCATACAGATTCTCTCCATACACAAGAGTCAAAAAGGTCTCAGGCCAACTTTCTCTTTTTTTCACGTGGCCCACATCTGCTGCACGAGAAACACTCAGGCATCATTTGCCTTGACAAACTACGGCAGTGACTACAGATCCCAACATAGCAACTTTCCTTCACTCCTATGCCAAAATTCTCACTGGCCCATCTCTCCTACCCCTGGGATTTCCCAGATGTGAGTCACGATACTACTGTACCTCTCAAAACCCAGGAAATGCATGTCAAGTTCTCTGAGTATTGCTATTGAAGCCCCCTTCACTAGACTTGAAGGTGACTGGGGAAGCATATAACAATGGCTCTCCCCAAAACTTCTCCTCATAAACTCATCTCTTTCAACATCTTCTTTTAACCCATGAAACTGGTGAAAGGTTCCAATAGCGGCAAAACCAGTTCTTGGACTGTGGCTGCCAATACAGGGAGCAAAACTGATCAAGGGCTCTAGATGCTTGCTGCACTCTGAATTCCCTGGCCACATTTTCACCCATGGGCTGCTCCAGCCGGTGACTGAGAGCAGCACAGATAATAAGGCAGGCTGGCTCCTGAAAGAAGGACTCCTCTGACAGGTGATTTTGGCTTGAGGATTTCCAATAGCCTTTCTAAATCTTGCTTAGACTGTTTGGCAGTCCAGGAAACTTCCACCACCCTTCCCTCTCTCTCTGCTTTACTCAATTTCAGACTTGCAGCCTCTCCCAGTCTTGCTTGGCTCCCGCCCATTCTCTCTCACAGGTGTTTCCTCTAATAAAATTGTTGCACATTTAATCCCATCATAACAACTTCTCATCAGAGCCAGACTAATGTAAAGACATTTCTTTGGAAAACATGCATCTTGTCAGCACCTCACTTTGGCGTTTCATAGTTGTTGCTTTATAATGCTGCAGGCAAAACTTCCAGTTTATAGTTATACTACTAACCACAGGATGAATGAATGACATGGTAAGATAAAAAAACAGGAAAAATGATGGGATTTTACTTTACATTTCTTGTTGTTCAACCCCTCCATTTTTGTTAAAATATATGTCTAATTTGAATGCGCATCAAGATGAATTTTTAGTAAGACTTATCACTGTGGGTGCTGAGTATGTGAGCAGGAACATCATAGATGCTAATTTACCTTTTAGTAGGCAACCAGGCCTGTGCCAGGACTTGGATAAGAAGGCTGTTACATGCTACCCTGGAGTTCCAAAGTAACCCCAATATCACCATCTGTCTTTGTTCCTCCACATTTTCTTCTTCCCGTGATCCCTTCTCATTTTTCCTTTCTATCTTCTTTTACTTGTTTTGTCACTGCTTTAGAAGTCACTAATAAGCAATAGTGGGAAGTAGAGTATGTGAATAAAGAATGAAGCTTTCTTTGGCAGTCTGAAATAAATTGCTTAAAACTGTACCCCAAAGCAGCCAGAATAAAAATAGCTTTTTATATTTGTTCTCCACCATTTCAAGTATCCAAACGCCCCACATGACTTGACCCCTGCAACTTTGTTTTAGGGAAGACTTTTGGTGGTAGCATACTCTCATACGAAAGTGTGTGAAAAACATCAATTTGCTTTTTTACTTTTCCTGTGAGGATTATAGAACCAAAACAAAATATCGAAAATTTTGAGAATACACTGACTCACAAAAATCCAATGCTTTTCTAGTCAAACAGGATTTCTCTACGTGATTTGTATCAAGGACGGTCATTTATCAAAATGTGACAACATGCCTTTGCCGTCATTATAACAGCAGGCAATTAAAAATGTTTTTACCATAGCCAGTTTGCTTATTTTTCTATTTTAAAAGGGTTTTATAGCAGATATGCAAAAGAGAAAGCAGAGAGAAAAAAATAAAATCACTCTCTATTCAAACACTATCACTGTTAATTTTGATGTATTTCTTGTGTTTTTCTAGGCATAATTTGTTTTTACAAAAACATAGCCTTAGTGGCTAGTCCCACTTTATTATGTGAGTACTGGTCAATGCAGAAAGAAGACTAAACAAACTACAGATTGGTTTTCAGTCATATTCTAAAGAAACAGAAGCCAAACAAACACTTGGTCTGGTGGAAAGTCCAAGATTATGGTCCTTGGCCCTCTGTTAAGGCCAGCTAGAGTATCTGGTGATGGTGAGAGGCCTCCAACTGTCTTAGTCCTGGATTTAAAAGGGCCTAAACGGAGCTAAAATGTTCCCCAGAGCCTAGCAATCATTGACAGTTTCCTCAGGTAACCAGCGCTGCAGACGGAGAATGCTGCAAAGGCAAGGTGTCAGAAACCAATTGAAATCCGAGGTTCAGCCAAGGGGACCCAGGCACACACGTGGGCCTTGTGTTCACCATAAAGAGCATACTGGCTACAAGTTGGCCCCTCTCTGGGCAACAGAGTGCCTAACTTAAAGGGGCTTACGAGGATGCCATGCGCCAACAGCTCTGGTTTTACAAAATGGAGTCACCAGGGAGAACGCGGTGTCTGGGTTAGACCACGTTCACCAAGTACCAGCTATACGATCTCGGACAAATTTACTTGCCCTCTCTTAACCTTAGTTTCCCCATATATAAAATGTAAGTGATACATTTCTGACTGCTGGGATTGTAAGGAAGGGATTAAATGGCTTGCCAATGAGGTGTTCAGCACAATGCCTGCCTAACACGTAAAACGTGTTGGGGTTGGTTGGTTGTAAGACCCACAACCTCTCTCCCCACTCTACCCCCGCCCCGCCACCAGCAGCCCAGCTGCAGCCGCTTCCGGGAACCACTTCGCTTCGGTCTCCCACTGCCGAACGCGGATCCCTCCGCGTTGCGTCACTTCCGGGAGACTCTGGCCGCGGCGATTCAATATATCCGGAAGCAACTGTCATGGCTGCTGTCAGTGAGGGCCCGTAATGGAGATCGAGTCAAGGGTTGCCCAGGGACACTTAAGAGCCTTCGGCTTCAAGGAGGCCTCTCAAAGGACAAAGGATGAGACTGCCTGGCGGCAGAGTGCCCCCCACAATCGTAGGAACTGTGTCGCCGCGCTTCCCGTTAACTTGCCGCTAAGTTTTTCTAGAAAAGTCGCCCTTCTTGCCAGGGTGGGACCTCACTTCTGACCTAGCCCTTCTTTGTGTACCAAGTTTTTGTTTCCGTCATTTCCCGCAGCCCGGGAGCTCGGCGGGCGATACTGTGGTAGCCTGGGAGGAAGGGGCGGGCCGGATGCTGGAACCGAGAGAGGTGGGGCTCGTCGAGGAGTCACGGGCGGCCGAGGCTGGAGTCTCCTAAATGCAACCTTGAGCTGTTCCACCCTTTGGTGCTTGGTCTGTTAGCTCGAGGTGCTCCTCACCGTGGAGGCGTTTAGAGCTGGTCATAAGGCTCTTACCTGCTGACCCAACCACCCTCAACCACAGCTTGCCCTGCTCCAGATAGACTTTGATCCTAGAAAATATCTAAGATGGGTGTAGTGCAGTATGTTATTGTTTTAAGTCTCAAACATAAGCAAACTATTATTAAAAGTTTTAGAATTAATAGGCAGAGTTCACATATTGGGTCGTGTTATTGTTTTAAGGTTTAAATTTAGATAACATGTTAGTACTTGTTGAGATTTTAACAAAAGCATTAAAAAAATGAGAAAATAGATTAATCTTTAGAATATTTTAAGTTTGCTACTGCGCAGTGGTAACATGAAGACACCTCATAATAAGTCTTTGATTACCAGAAGCTTCTGAAAGTAAAATTATGGGTATATTAATGTGAGTTTTCCTCTCTGCAGGGTGTCCTATAGACTTTGTCATGGAGTGAAACAGAAACAAATGTGAGTTAATCATTAACATTTCCTAGTGGTTAAAATTACTTTTTAAGCGCTTAACTGTGTATTTTTTAGATTGAAGATTTCAAATGAAATTTTGATTTGACTGAAATATTTAATATGTGATGAGTTGATATTAAAATACAGAAGATTACTATTTTTATAGAAACAATAATGTAGAAACTAATATTTGAAGCAGGTTTACTCCACATACTGTGTTATAATTTAAATTTTCACTTAAACTCTCAAAATCAGAAGAGCTGACCTAGTAAGGCTTAAACCTCTAAAACTTGTGGTTTTAACAAGGCTTAATATACGTAGTTATAATAGTTTTTAAAAAAATTGTTATCAAGTTCCTCAGGTGATTCTGATATAGTATTTTAAAGAAAGCAAAGAGAAATGATCTGTTTATACATTTTAAATATTTTGTTCCTTATTTATGTATTGAGACTGTGCTTATAAATGCATTCACACGCATTGAAGTACATAATTTGATCGTCATGCCAGCCTGGAATCTTGCTTTTTGTATGGTTTCTTGCAGGTAGGTCTATTGGGTTCTTGGCATAGTACCTGGACAAAACATTGTTAAGGTGGAAATTTTCATTGTATTTATCACTTCAAACACTTGACCAGTTTATTTAGTTTTCAAGCGCTTTAGACAACTATATGTGGGCTTGACTTAGTGTATAATAAATGTAAAGTTTGATCTCAAGTAGTTGACATTTATGGAGTATTTACCATATGCCAATCTTTGTGATAATTGCTAGACATATTTTATTTAATGCTTACAGCAGTACTGTGAGTTAGGTTTGTTAAATCCCTGTTTTAATAGATGGAGAAACTGAGGCAAGGACGGATTAAGTTACAAATCCGTCTTTGTAACTTAGAGCCATCTTCTTACCTACTTGTTTTGTATGACACCCTTTTCCTCCATATAACTGAACACTGGTAGAAGAGTGAATGACTGTAGAAAACAGACCTGGACTCTATTCTACCTGTCCAGCTTTGTAAACTAGGGCAAGTTGTGTGACCACTCTGAATTTCATTTTCCTCACCTATAATAAATGAAAACTTTGAACTATTATGTTTTATTGAATCTTGAATCATCAGAAATCCTTAAGGCTGGGTGTGGTGCTTCACGCCTGTAATCCCACCACTTTGGGAGGCCCAGATGGGAGGATTGCTTGAGGCCAGGAGTTTGAGACCAGCCTGGTCAGTCAGCATAGCGATATCCCATCTCTACCACAAAAAAAAAAAAAAAAATTCCTTAAAATGGTGCCTTTACCATCAAACCTGGGATTTTCTTCCAAGCCCCTAGTGCTCATTCTGAGTTTTGAAGTTTTGATGCACGGCAGTGCCAACTCCATCTCCATTGCCGTCTAGTCTGATTACATTGTAAGATGTGACTGATTTCAGAGATGTCAAAATGTAAAATAATGTGCATCTTGGAACTAATGAGCTCTTTTTCAACCCTGACTCTGTAACATCTGTGACTTTTTAACATTTTATTGCAGGATTAAGTATTTTTGAATGTAAATGATTCAAGATAACACATAGACTTCGTTTGATGACATCTGCAAAATAAATTTTTAAAAAATTTGGGCTTCATGATAATGGAAAAGTAGAAACTATGTTTGTCTTTATCACCTGTGAATCCCCCATATTGAGAACATGCCTGGCACATAGTGAGTGTTCAGTAATCATTTACTCAATGAAGTAAACAAGTCTTCATTTCTTTTTTCTTTGTTTGAGACAATCTCACTCTGTTGCTCATGCTGGAGTGCAGTGACGCTATCTTGGCTCACTGCAACCTCTGCCTCCAAGGCTCAAGTGATCCTCCCGCCTCAGCCTCCCAAGTAGCTAGGACTACAGGCACACACCACCGCACCAGTTAATTTTTGAATTTTTTTGTAGAGACAGGGTCTTACCATATTTCCCAGGCTGGTCTTGAACTTCTGGGCTCAAGCCATCTGCCTGCCTCAGCTTCCAAAGTTCTAGGATTACAGGCATCAGCCACTGTGCCCTGCCACGTCTTCATTTCATATTACAAATACAATATTAAAAAATTGTGTTTGACTTGAATTAGACATAAAATACACAGTCATGCATCGCTTAATGACAGGGATACATTCTGAGAAATGTGTTGGGTGATTTTGTTATTGTGCGTGTACTTACATAAATCTACATGGTATGGGCTACTACATATCTGTATGGTATGGCGTATTGCTCCTAGGTTACAAACCTGTATAGCATGTTACTGTACTGGATACCATAGGTGGTTGTAACACAATGGTATTTGCATATGTAAACATGTCTAGACATAGAAAAGGTACAGTAAAAATATTATAACTTTATGGGACCGTCAGTGAAATGTCATTATGTAGCACATGACTGCAATAGTATTAATAGTGTAAAACTATTTTGCACTGAAATTTTTTGCATTCAGAAGTTCACTGTTGTAAACTGTCTTTCTTTCCAAATATCTTTTCTTCTGCTGATTATTGCTGATTGTCATCAAGTATGGGGTATATTTTGTTCCTCGAAGAGTTATAGTAAAAATTGAAATGCTGGCTTATAGACTTTCCAACAAAGAATCTGATTTATTTTTAAAGTGGCCAAAGTATAGGAACATTATTTAATTTTTAGAAATCTTGATTGTAAAAAAAGTTTTAAAAATGTGATTTGATAGCTTATTTAATTTTTGTGAGTATTCTGGAGGTGATTAGGCATACTATCTTTCCTAGTATACAAATAATATTGAATATTTCTGAGTTATGAACAATAAAAATAAACTACAATTGAAATTATGTCATAATTGAAATTATGTCAGTGGGCAGAAAAGTGTTCCAAGTTTTTGGGTGGGCAAGTGTAAGAATAATGTTAACAGGAGAAATTATTCCAACCGTAATTATGGATGTCTAATAGTCTGTACTTTCGGTTAGAACCAGGAAGGTGGCACAGGAATAATTATAGAGTTGTAGACTGTTCTCTGTAGATAATCAGCTGAGTTTTGTGCTGTGGCCAGAAAAGCCAGTGTGTGAGGTATCATCAGGAAGGGATTTGGGAAAATTAACAAAAAAAATGTTACCCTCAAATAACACAGTGTTTTAACTAAACATGAGATACAAGAAATTATTTTATATTCATAATCCAGATGTTAAAAATCGTTTCAATTGTTAAATGTGATTATGGCTATAATTTTACTTACATAATTCTGTAAAGGGTATATGCCTGTATATTCAATTTTTAAAGACCAAATATAGGAGTAAAATCATTTACATAATTACAAAAATTCCTGCCACTAAAATAAAACTCTGTACCACTTGATAGCACTTCATTACTGAGTGAACATTGACCATGAACATCTTGGAATTTTCACTATCAATTTCCTTTTCTCAGAGTCCTTTTTTACAGAAAACACAAAGTTTTTATTCTTTAGTTATGCCTGTGCAGTAATGAGGAGGGAATAGTATTCACTTCTGTTAGTACTTACTTCCTTGCACAAACTTTGTAATGTATACTTTACTGAGTTCTCCAAACCCAAAGGAGAATAAGGCCAAGGGCCTATAATAAATTATTTTATGAGTCCAAAAAAGTAATTCATTTTATGATGTTTTCACAGAAGTTTATGCTTATTAATCAAAGATTTCAAGTTTAAAGAACTGAAGGAGAAGTGATATCATTAAATTTGGAGCAAATATGTTCTTTCAATAATTTTTTAAGTACCTAAGGATTGTTTTGTACTACCCTGAAAATTGTTTTCCTTTAAAGTTTTTATTATTTCCACACCGTTTTTCTCCATCTTTCTGTTTTCCTGTAAACGAATAACAGTAAACCCCCCACCCTAACAAAATGTGAATTCACCTAGGCTGAAATCATAAGATATATTCACTTTGTTTTCCCTACTTTTTCTACATGTTCAAGAATTTATATCAAATACAGATTAATTTGAAAATTTGACATTTGGAGATAATCTCAGTGACTAAAAAGAATAAAACAGGCATGGGACACTTGCAAGGAGGAACAGAAACAAAATTTTAAAACCCTCTCATTACTTAACCTACAGCAAAGATGAATTTATAAGCATCTCATTTAAACTCTAGGGTAAGTAAATTTTTAAAAAGTTTTTAGAGAATGAGGAATACAAAGGGATTTTGCTAATTTAAGACATCATCGTTTTTAGTTTAGTGTACTGGGTAAAGGATTTTCCAAGTTAACTAACAACTTTATTCTCCAAATCCTGAGTTTTTACTTTTGGGTGTCAGCCATGACTACTTCTCATCAGGAGTATTTAAAAATGTTATCCTACCAGTTGGTGAAAAAATATCACACCTCCTTTCTAATCTTTATTGGAAAATCTCCTTTTCTTTTCTTTTTTCTTTTCTGTTGAGGCCTGGTCTCGCTGTTGCCCAGGCTGGAGTGCAGTGGCGCAGTCTCTGCTCACTGTACCCTCTGCCTCCCAGATTCAAGCGATTCTCCTGCCTCAGCCTCCTGGGTAGAGGGGATTACAGGCACCCGTCACCACACCCAGCTAAGTTTTGTATTTTTTCAGTAGAGACAGAGTTTCACCTGGTCTCGAATTCCTGACTTCAAGTGATCCACCCCGCTCGGCCTCCCAAAGTGCTGGGATTACAGGCATGAGCCACCGTGCCCAGCCAGAAAAAAATCATTCTTTATAGTCAAAGCTTAAATGCTTCATGACCCATCTTCATAGGAGAGTATTCTTTTTATGCTCTGTTCCCTGATTTGGTGACTGTGAGAACTCTTATATAACATTTATGAAGTGCTTACACAGCATTAAGAGATAGGCATGAAAAGATGACTACATCTTGCCTCAGCCCTGCAAGTACCTATGGGAGAGTGACATTTAAATGTATACATGTAGCTAGGTGTGGTGGCTCATGCCTATAATCCTAGCACTTTGTGAGGCTGAGACAGGAGGATCGCTTGAGGCCAGGAGTTCAGACCACTGTGGGCAACATAGGGATCTCATCTCTACAAAAAATAAAAAAAAATTAGCCAGGTGTGGTGGTTTGCAACTGTAGTCCTGGCTGTTCAGGAGGCTGAGGTGGGAAGATCACTTGAGCTTAGGAGGTCAAGGCTTCAGTGAGCTGTGATTTTGCCACTGCATTCCAGCCTGGTGACAGAGTGAGACCTTGTCTCCAGTCGATCAATCAATCAATCAAAAAAAAAATACATAAAGTATGAGCCATACTGTGGTGGACGTATGTGTAGGGGTAGAGAGAGGACACAAATGATCCTTCGAAAGGGCTTCAGAGATGCCATGACATGTGAAATAGCCAGGCTTCTTTGAGAAGGCACTCTAAACAGTTTGATGGCTGTATTTCTCAGCAGGAGCAGTAGTAACATTTTGGATAGGTCAGGTTGCTGTATTGTCATTATACTCTCTTAAACATCGCAAGATATTTAGCAGCCTTGGGTCTGTGGTCTTTTCCCACCAGCTAGCATCAGTTGGATCTGGGGAGAGCAGCTGGCATCCTTCTTTAGATGTGCTTATACAATATGACTTTATTATTTTCTGAACTTCCTGTCCCTGCCATTCCCATTCATTTCATTTCATTCACTGAAGACTTTGGCACCTGGCTTATAGTTACCCTCTTCTCCCCAAGTCCCACCTTTATGACGGTCACTTCAAATTCCATGTGGTTAACTAAACCAATATCCTGGCTCTCAACTGCTTGACCTCAAATTTAGTGACCTTTACCTTTTCATGAAGCCACCCAGTCTCTGAATCTTATAATTATTTATGTCAGCAGCTACACCCTTAAAAACTTAAAAAACTCTTCTGCTCTTTGCCCATTTTTCTAGCTTTTTAGCTGAATGACTTCCAGTGCATCTGTACTTCAGCTTCAAGAACTCCAATCCCTTGGCTGTTCTCTCTCCCAGTCAGCTTCCATCACTTCAACCATTACACTCTTGCACCCTTTTCCCTCTGTTAGACCTACCGAGTAAAACACAACCCTAGGTCAGAAATTATAATAATAGCTAACATAAACTGAGTGCTTATTGTATTCCAGACACTCTTCTGAGTTTACCTGGTTTGTCTCCTTTAATATTCTCAATGGCGCTGTTATCTCCATTTTGTGCGTGAGGAAAGTAAAGCTCAATTTTCTGTCTACTGTAGTAGGGTATAAACCCTAGAAGTTTGCCCTTAGAAAATGTGCATTTAACCACTTATTTAGCCTGCGTTTCAAAACAGCTGTCTTCTCTGCTTCCCCACTTGGACTGCTGTACTGTTTTCAGGACAGAGTAGGTTTGGCTAGGTGGAGAGTGTTGAAAGCACTCATCTTAAACCTTGGCTATGTAACTAACCCTTTTGGTAGGCCTCTAGCCAAGCCAGAAAACAGATAAAGAGGGAAGTAACAGTGATTAGGTATTCAATGTCACCAGCTGCTTCTGGGTGTCTGTAGACAGAGGGAGAAGAAAAGCTAAAGAGAATAGGTATCAGTTTGGGGATTGAGTGTGATGTCACCTTTGCCTGATGACCTACTGAACATTAGAGACTGAACTGACTTAAAATTGGTAGAATAAGCATGAGAGAGTCCTCCATTTGTTTGTTTGTTGTTTTTAATTTTAGGTGAGTCTGAGTGATTATGTCATGTATATGTATGTCATGGCTGATGGGCTGAGGACCTCCATTGCCCTCTCCGAGGCTTGGCTCAGCTGGCCTGGAGAGATGTGCTAGGGAACATGCACCCTCTTGTTACCTTCCATCTCTATCTGTTTTGAGAAAACCACTCTAACTAGTCTTTGCTGTGGATTTCTCTCTCTAGATGTCCTTCCTTTTGTTCTGGATTTGTTGACGCTGACATTGTCACTTGAAGTGACAGGGTAAAGCTTTTGAGAGCTGATTGCTTCAGTTATTAGGTCACCTGTGGGACTCTCTAAGTACCGTCATGCATCACTTGACTGTGGTGATATGTTCTGAGAAATGTGTCATTAGGTGAATTCACCATCATGTTTATTTACACACACATAGGTGGTGTAGCCTACTACACACCTAGATTGTATGGTATAGCCTGTTACTCCTAAGCTACAACCCTGTGCAGCATGTTGCTGTACTAAATACTGGAGGCAATTGTAGCACAATGGTGAATATTTGCATTTCTAAACATATCTAAACATGGAAATGGCACAGTAAAAATACAATATAACAGTTGTTTTTGTTTTTTAATACACCTATATAGTGCAGCTCCATTTTAATCTTACGGGACCAGCAGTGTATATACTGTTCATTGTTGACTGAAACATTGTTATGTAGTGCATGATGACTGTAATTAATTTAGGGCTTTGTTTTGACAATGGTTTTGTTTGTTTGTTTGTTTGTTTTTGAGAAGAGTCTGGCTCTGTTGCCCAGGCTGGAGTGCAATGGCGCGATCTTGGCTCATGGCAACCTCCGCCTCCTGCGTTCAAGCGATTCTCCTGCCTCAGCCTCCTGAGTAGCTGGGGCCACAGGCGTGCACCACCACACTGGGCTAATTTTTGTATTTTTAGTAGGGACGGAGTTTCACCACATTGCCCAGGCTGGTCTTGAACTCCTGTTTTCAGGTGATCTGCCTGCCTCAGCCTCCCAAAGTGCTGGGATTACAGGTGTTAGCCATTGTGCCGGCCTTGACAATGGTTTTCATTTTCCTGTACACAAAAACTTTCCTGTCACCATTCTTAGTCCCTTAAAGAGGCAAACTTTTATTTTCTAGATATTTAAAATAATACCAATAACTTCCTATAATTTTCAGATTCACCATAATTTCTGCATGTGATACTCACATAAATGTATTTCCACCACAATTTTGAACGTGAATTTAAGTCACTCAACTTAATTCTCACTCACAAGAGATAAGGCAGCCTCTGGTGGCAGGGATTTTTCTTAGAAACCCCTTTCTGCTCGAAAGACTTCTTAGAGAAAAATCACACATTGGTGAAAACTAATAGCATGACATTTATGTTCATGACTTTGCCTGGCAATTCTTCTCTTTCCCATTCTCCACAGGAGCTGTTTTAAACTTCTGCTGACCTTAGACCCTTCCCTATGTGCTCACTAGATCTCCTACTTTTTCATTCTCAGCAGATTATTTTACCTCCCGTTTTCTCAGAGAAAACAGAAAACATAAGATGGCAACTTTAGCAAATTAGTGCGACCAAACCTTCAAACTTACTTCATTGATAAACCATTTTTGTTCTTTTTTTGTTTGTTTGTTTGTCCTTTTCTCCTTGCACAGTGGAAAAGGTGGTCCTCTTCTGGTCCAAGCCTCTGGATCTCTTCCCATTCATTCCTACTCTTTAGGATTTTTCTCGTTTACTTAGCTATGGCTCCTTCCCACTGGCATTTAGGCATTCTCACATCTTTTCTGTCTTAGAAGAAAAAAATAAAACCATCCTACACCAATTTGCCGCTCTCTCTTCTGTTTCATACCTCTCTGTCCACAGACAAGTGTTCATGAAAAAGTTGTCTTTACTCACTGTTTATTTCCGTGAACTTCCTGTTTATTCTTCAACCAACTGCAACATTTTATCTCAACTGAAATTACCAGTTTTAAAGGTCACTAACTACCACTTCATTTCTAAATCCACTGGGTATTTCTCAGACCCTATCTGACTTGACCTCTGTTCAGTCCAGTGTGACAGTTTATCCACTTTCTTCTTGAAATCTTCTTTTACTTGGGCTTCACTGACACCAGTGTTTCCTAGTATTAAATAATTTACTTCTGTGGTCATTCTTTTGAATGTCTTTAGAGCTTTGCCTTCATTCATTCTCTCATCCTTTTATTTGTGTATTTATAAAGCATTTATTACATGCCAGGCAGCATACTAAGTATTGGAGACTGAGAATCTGAAGCAATACCTGGACTCTTTCTTCAGAAAAATATACTCCCAAACAAACACTGAAAATTTGGCATACATTTTCAAGCCTCTCACACAGTGTTAAATACATGCATATCACTCTAGAATCTTGCTTCAGGGCCTCCGAATTATCTTAGCAGAAAGTTGTTTTTTTTTTTTTTGAGATGGAGTCTCGCTCTGTCACCCAGGCTGGAGTGCAATGGCACAGTCTTGGCTCACTGCAACCTCCGCCTCCTGGGCTCAAACGATTCTGCTGTCTCAGCCTCCCAAGGAGCTGGGATTACAGGCATGTGTCATCACGCCCAGGTGATTTTTGTATTTTTAGTAGAGACAGGGTTTCACCATGTTGCCCAGGTTGGTCTTGAACTCCTGACCTCAGGTGATCCACCCGCCTCAGCCTCCCAGAGTGCTGGGATTACAGGTATGAGCCACCATGCCTGGCCAGAAACTTTTATAGAAATATTTTTTAAAACTGCCCCAAGAGGCTTAAATTTTCTTTTAAAGCCCATGGAAAGTGAAAATGAAAACAGTTTTTCCCAGAAAAAGATTTTGCTACCGTTGGAAATTTTCTTCAAGGCATTAAGACTAAACAAGTTCTTTCAAGCTAACATTTGTGAACAATCTACTTTTCCCCTTCTCCCTCCAACCCCTACTCCCATATGCTTTGATTGGTGTCATAAGAATACAATTCAGGAAAGAGACTTAACCCATCCATGAAAAGGAGAAAATGGAATTATAAGAGCTGATATCTTTACTTGAGAGTAGATTGAATAGGGTTCTCACATCTACCAGGGTTCAAATGGTGGATAGGATACCAACTTCAGAGAAGGGGTGGAGACAAGAGGTTGAGTAATTCCTCATTTGATGAAGTTATTTTCATGTCAAGAGAAGGAAATGGTCCTGGTGTTGATATCTTGTGGTTACAGGTAATAGAATATCTGCATTCTGGGCACTATCCCTTTATGTCATCTATGCTTTACAACCCTCTTCCAAAATGGGTGGGTGCTAAGAAGATCCAACCCCATCTTCCTCATGTAACATATATTTTAAAAAAGAATCTTCTAGCCAAAGACTTGTTATTGGGGTTCTTTCGATCGCTGGAAACAACTAGGGAAAAAAGATGGTGAATTTCATGTTGCTTTTGGGGGCTATTTTGTAGGAGATAAAACATTTGCCAATGTTTTCACCCATTGAATACATATTGAGCATCTACTCCAATAGAGGGCTTGTAAATGGTGAGTAAAAGCAGGTAAAACCCTTGTCCATAAAGCTGATGGTTTAATGTTACAGATCACCAGTAGCCAGATAATCACAAATACAAAAATGCAAATGTAACAGGTGTTAGGAAGAAGCACAAGTTTCTATAGATCACCAGTAACCAGATAATCACAAATATAAAAATGCAAATATAACAGGTATTACAAAGAAGCACAAGTTTCTATGAGAGTCTGTAACAAGAGAATTTGATTTTGTTAGATCAGGGAAGTCTCCCTAAAGTGATGCTCAAGCAGAAATCTGAAGACATGAATAAATGTTAACAAATGAAGAGGGAAGGAATGTGTGCCCCTGATAAAAGGGCTAATATATGCAAAGGACCTGTGGTAGGAAAGAACATTCAAATATAGGTATCAGAAGAAAGGCCAGTGGTCGGAGGGGAGAGAAGGGGGAGGAGATGACACTTGAGACCAGGTTCGAGTTTTGAGAAGATCTCCGTGGCCGCAATTGGAGCAAGGATTAGAGTGGGGCAGAGTAGACCTAAGACCAGTCATCCAAGCATGAGATAATGGTAACTAGGACCCAGGTAGTGGGGATGGAAATTTAAGACATTGATTGTATTTAATACTTGGTAATTGGTTTTGAATATTAGATTAGATTATATATAATTGTTTGCTAGTATTTAGCAGAAACAGTTTGACTCTTTTGGTATTGAAATAAGAATTAGTGGTTTAAAAAAGTGTGTGTATGTATGTGTGTATATATAAAAGTATATATATATTTTTTACCTTTTGAATATTGCTATATGTATTTATTACCTATTCAAAACATTCTTAGTTCTAAAGCCTTTTGTAAATATTAATTCAGGGATTCTCATTGAATTGGTTAAGAGCAGAGACAAATGCTAAGCAAATAAATCAATTCATAATTTCCAAGTAGAATTTTACCAAACCGTAGATCTGATTGGTCATTGCAGCAAAGTTTCTTCTTTTTATTTGGGAAGAGCCTAAAAATATTCTTCCCATATACCAAAGGACAAGGGGCAGTCAGTGAAGACACCTCCACTGCCCTCCACACAATCTTCAAAAGTGCCTAGAGAAGGATTTTGTTATACAGAAAGAATCAGAAACTATAAAACATGGTGTGTCGAAGTCTCAACCCCCGTTCTGCTGTCATGAAGATTTAGAGGAATGGGGTTGACTTATGAGAGGCGGGGCAGGCCTCCAACTCTCCGGATTAAGGAAAAGTGTTGTAGGTTGAGGTAGCTGTGAAAGAGACTGTGAGAGTGATTTGGCTATAGGTGGCTTAATGAGGAGGATTCTTGGGTGTAATATGAGTGAGGGAGTAAAGGAAGCAGAATTAGGCAAAAGAAGGAGTTAGTTGAGCTGTGATGCAGTCACAACAAAGATGTAAGGGGATCCTACAAGGGCACTCCGGAGTTGGGATGACCCTTCAGAGTTGTTGCAAGTTGGGGCAAGGGCACAAAAGTACATGTACTTTTAAAAAGTCATGGAAGACTGTACACTGACGCACAAGCCAGTCCCTCCTTGAAGCCTATTACATCCATCAAATATGAATAAGCCTTACTTTTGAGAAAATTGAGTCTTGGACCTTTGAGAATCAATCTTCAAACTAAAAAGTACCTCTGTGATTTTAAAAGCAATTTTTATAACCAGGGTTGAGATTATTTAGCTTGTTTAGATGGGCTAATGGAACAGTCTTTTGTTAGTATTCTGCATGATTCCCTTACTGACATTCATTTTATAACCGTACCCAACTCTAATTCAAATGCAGATTTAGATGTGATACTTAAAGACCTGTGGTAAAATTGCAGGAAGAGGGTGTTTGTCTTTCTCAGTGTGTTTTCTGTAATAGTGAAGGTTTATTGGTTTCTCACTTGCGTGCCACCAGCATGCTTTGAATAACAAGACTACTTACGATCTCTATACATATGGCTGAATTTCTAAGGTGTGCAGCTTCTTCATATTAATTGGTTTAGGACATTCATAAATTACAGCACCCAGGTGGGTAGGTATAATTAGCTAAAATTTTATTTTTTGCTTCAAAAATCATGGTTCAGTAGCATTCACAACCTTAAGAGCACTAGCAGCTGTAGCGTAGGAGTCACGAATATAACACATCTCAAAAGACATGGGAAGTATGAACATCTTAACCTTAAGACAAGTAAAGAGGGGTGTCTGTGTATGTGTGTGTGTCTGCGTGTATTTATGCATGTGTGTAAAATATCAGAATATTCAGAAATCCAAAAGGTAGCATTTTGAGGAGGGCACAATAAAATGTACACATATCTGACCGTATTGGAGAAGAATACAGGAAACTATACAAAGATGTCTGTATCAGTTACAATGCTTTTGGCAGCAAGTAACAAATCCAGACTCCAAGAAGATTAAATAGTAAAATTAACTCATTGATGACAGGAACTCCAGCTATAGGGTAGGCTTTGAGGCTTGGTTGCCTTTATTCACTGGCACAGTAATGTCATCAAGGGCACAGGTTCTTTGCAACTCTCTGTCATATTTTATGTTACAATTGGTTGGTGAAAGTATGTAATCATGACTTCAACCTCAAGCTGTAGCAAGACAGCTGCAGCAGTTCCAGGCATCACATCCAGAGCTGGCAACATTTGCTCACATTGTTAGAAAACTTCTAGAATCCTCCCAGCAGAGTTCCTCAGTGTGTCCTATTGGCCAGATTCTAAATGTGCCCATTTCCTTTTTTTGCTTTTAGAGACAAGGTCTCACTCGGTTGCCCAGGCTGGAGTGCAGTGGCATGATTATGGCTCACTGTGATCTCAAACTCCTGGGCTCAAGCAGGGTAGCTGGGAATACTAGCATGAGCCACTATGCCCAGCTAATTAAAAAATTTTTTTGTGTGTGTAGAGACAAGGTCTTGCTATGTTGACCAGGCTGGTCTTGAACTGCTTGCCTCAATTGATACTCCCACCTTGGCTTCCCAAAACGCTGGGATTACAGGCATGAGTTAACGCACCTGGCCTTGTGCCAGTTTCTTGAACCAAGCACTGGCAAAGAAAATGAATTACTTTTAGTCTTCTAAGTCCTCTCCCTGTAATTGAGGGCAGGTTCAGCTTCCAATGTTGATGTGGGGGTGGGGGAAGGGCACATGACAAATCAAGCTTCTGTTAGAAGGAAAAAAGGAGAAATGGATGCTAGGGTAGGCAAACTGAATCTTCTGTAATACATCTATTGTCTTCAAAGCTCTTTGATTAGAACAGTGCACACCAAAAGTAGGGGGGCAGTGAATGAGAAAGCTGCTTCATATTCTACCAGTGGACCACAGAGTTAGAAAGCTACTGACCTAATAGGCTCATTAAGAAGTCATTCTTTTGTCAGGTAGCATTTAACAATATATTTGACAAAGAAGGTTAAAGGAGCGTGGATTGGCTGCTAGGAGAAGAAACTAGAGCTGTTTTGGAGTTGATGAAAGTTCACCTCATCCCTTTAGCAGTGGTTCTTAAAATATGGACCTCCCAAAATCTGAATCAGAATTTCCCAGGGTAATTATTAAAAAATGCAGATTCATAGGCACTGTCCCAGACTTACCTTATGAAGTTGGGGTAGGGTGTTAGGAGCCTGCATTAATTAGCTCTTTGATTAATGCACACTGGCATTTAAGATTCACTGCTCTATAGACTAGTATCATATATAACAATAATGAACTTCTTTCCACTGTGCTACAAATAAACCATTCATGCTGGATTGGTCAAACAAAATCAATTTGTAACATATTTGAAGACCAGTGCCATGAGCTAAAGGGTCACTCTAAGCAAGGAGCCCAGATCCTGAAATAAACTTATATACTGTACCACTGAAAGATTCTGGCAGTGGCTTTCTCTAACACCCCTCCCCCAAATCTCCCTGCATTTTAAATCTCCAGATAGCTGACTGTCTCTGTCATTCAAGCTAGCATTTTACCTCATCCAAATAATATGTTCTGTGTGTATATAGGTTAGCATGAATGAAATCTCTACTACTTAGCTAATGAAGGGGCTGTGAGATCTTACTTTTTAGAGGAACTTTCCAGAGTCATCTTCACATTCAATGTTCTTATTGTTGCCCTATTCCTTAAAAAAAAAATCCACTTAATGACCAAACAGTTTTAGGGTATTTGTAAACAGAAGTGTTAGAGGAACTGTTTCTCTTGTTTCCATAGCGGGTATGAGTTTCTACTCCAGTCCGTAGGGAGAAAGAGGAGTGAGAAATACTTTCGGCCACTTCCCCTCCTCAGGGTAGGAGGGAGACTATATGATCTGTGAGTTGAGGATAAGGAAATAGGCATGTTTGGCTTCTCTCCCCTTCTGATCTTCACATTGGCAGAGGGGGGCATGTCTGGTTCACTCATACATGCAGGAAGTTTATTGCAGTAAGCCTATTCTGGTAGGGAAGGCCTACAGTTGTCCTGCCCTGCCTGTGTCTGGGAATACTGAATTATGTGGTAAAGTATCTGTTAGGTCACCCACTGAGATAACACATCTAAGGCATGCCCTTTGAGGTAGGTTTTATTAGTTCTAAAGCTGATACTTTGATCTTCGTCTGCCTTATTCCCATTTTTATCTGTGCATTGATCTGACTTTTCTCCCTTTTTGGGGAGGAGAAGAAAAGGGTGATATTTATTAGCCCCCCTGGAACCTAGAATAGAATCATGATCAAATTTCCTTGTCTCCAGGGGCACACCTGTGAGGTGAGGGAGCACGATGGGGAATAAGGCTCAAGGAAGATGATATGACTCTGGCTTCCCCTTAGAAATTGTGCTTTACTCAAGCTTTGGAGCTTGAGGGTGCCTTTTGGCAGGGACTGCAAAAGTTATCTGTCTTTATCTTGTCTTATAATTAGTGGGAGAAAGTTCATAATTATGATTTTATGAGCATGAATCCATTTGTTAACAAAAGTAAACGTCCCAATTGTGTATATTTTTGGAAGTCTCCAAAGATCTTACTTAGTGTGGGCTAGGGAAGGTTGTACCCATCTAGTGGAATGCTTTTTCCATTCTCCACTTTATTACTCACATTGCCCTGTCTGTGCCAGAGTCATCCCGAGGCTCCCTGCAGATATCATCATGAGAAGCCATGGTAGACACAGCATACATATTGCCTACCCAGTATGTATTTATTCTTTCTTTCTTGTTATTGAAACCTCAGTTTCGCTTGGGATAACAATTGCCAGCCTCAGTCTATGAGTCATGATTCATATGTGTCAGTCATAACCATCTTGTTTCATTTTGCAAGACCCTCATTGGCCTTCTTGCAGATGTGGATGGTTATGTGACCCAGTTCTGGTGGATGAATCATAAGAGGAAATCTGCTGGAGGCTTCTGGGAAGATTTTCTTTTCTGATAACAGTGACAGATGTTTCTTAGCTCTTCCTATCTTGAACATGGACATACTATCTTGGCTGCACCATCTTACCTCATTCTTATGACAGAACAAAATACACTATTCATGAAGTCTGCAAAGAACATTGAGACACTGGGTGCCCAGCCATGTAAGTTTAACGCTGCCCCATACAGTTTTCACATAGATAAGTAGGGCTACTATTGAATATTACACAGAATAATCTTTTTTCCCAGGATCAAAATTAGGTACATGATCCCAGAACCAACTGTGCAGCTTACATTTAACCAATGGCTGACACATTGCCTGATACATAAAAGGCAATACTACAACAGAATTTGTGGAATGAGAGAAAAATGAATCATTGAAAATATGTATGGGTGAATGAAGTAACTAATGAGCCCAAATACCATTTATCATGAATTTCTAATATGATGTAGTTTGGTTTCGTTCACTGCTGAGTACAAACAAAATAGTACTGTACTCAGCACTAAAAACAAACAACATGGATGAACCTTAAAAACAGTATGCCAAATGAAAGAAGTCACACCCAAAAGAGAACATCGTGTATAATTCCGTTTGTTTGAAACTATAGGAAAGGCAGACTTATTCCACGTTGGTAAATCTTCATCTCATGGGTGTTTCTCTCAGTGGTTGCCGGGGCCAGGGGCTTGGATACAGGGAGGATGGAGTGGGAGGGGCACAAAGAATCCTTTTAGGATAATGGAAATGTTCTGTATCTTGGTTGTGGTGGTGGTTGCATAGGTGTCAAAAGTTACTGAGTATGTGCATTTTATTGTGTGTAAATTATACCTCAATAAATTTGAATTTTCAAAAGAAAGCTCACTTCTTCAGGACCAATAGTAGGGAGAGGCACTGATGCTGAGTGTGACTCGTAATTCATGCAGCCGTGAGAGATCCTCATAGAACAGGAGGACAGAGGTGAAAAGGTTATCTGCCAGACAAATTTTTCTGAGTCTACAAGGAAGTGGCCTTAGACCAGGTCATTTTTGTAGGTTCCCTGCATCTTTGTAGGCTCCTTTGTAGGCTTCTCTCTACTTGAGCAAGAAAAGGCCCAAATTTTGTTGTAGATCAAGACTTAGAAGGTTCTCTTGGAATGAGGTCTTCAATACTTGAACCTTTGGATTTTTTAAAACCGAAAAAAACAATATCTGCACAAATACCTACTAAGGCTTTTATCTAGAACCTGCTCTAAGATATAATGAAATCAGTCTACTTTTTGATCTAAGAAGCTTTTTTTTCCTAAAAAAGATATATTTTCTCAATTGTAAAAGTAATCCATAATTACTGTAAGAAAAGTTAGAAAACACAAATTTGCAAAGGCAAAAATAAAAATCATCCATTTTCACTACCCAGCGATAACTATGATGACCCCTTGACAGACATCCTTTCAGATTATCAAATTAAATTAGTTGTCTTTGAATCAGTTAAACATACCCATTAAGCTACCAGGAAGTGACCTGTGAATAAGGGAGGCTTTCAGCCTCTCTGTAATCAAAGACTACTTTCACTTAGTACCTTACTAGAAGGCATATCTGTAAAATGTGAGTCTTACTAAATGTACCAGTTGCTAATATGGTAGCACATACCCTAACAATCCTTTTAATATATATTTCTCAGTGCTATTTCTTGGAGAGCATGGTTTCTAGGATTCTAGATTTAACTTTTATTTTTCCATGCCTTGATATGAGACCCACAGAGGCCATAGTCCTTAAAAGACATGAACAGTGTTTCCCTCAGGTATGTGAAGGAAGAGAAGTGTGAAATTGGAGGATATGGTCACCTTATCTCAGGCTTTGACAGGCCCCCTCCCTGGTGTCTAAAACCCATGAGGTACCTCTGCCAAAAGGAAAGACAAAGAACCTTTGCTGAGCTATTTATTGCCTTCTGTGTGTTGGGAGAGGGGGTAGTGTTGGTGGCTGAGTGTGAAAACTCCTGGGACAGTCATCTTTTTATTTCCACTAGTGCCCACCACAGTGCCTGAAATGCAGTAGTTTAGTGGTGTATTGAATGAAGGTATTAACAATTGTGTTAATAATCAAGGTCAAAGAGAACTCAGGTCATGTGAGGTCATATGTTGATACCAGCTCACTTCTGATGACTCTTAACTGTGTAAAAGACCCAGACCTTAGCCATGGCTGTTACCCTTCCAGGACATGTCCCTAGCCCGGTAACCCAGTGGAGTGGAGGTCGGTACAGGAATAATCTGCAGACCATTACAAGAACATGGCTGCATTCTGTAGGCCCATGCCATCCAGTCCTGCACTTCTGTACTGGGGTGGCTTTCCATGGCAAAAGTTTGTCACCCGCTATCTTGGGAACCTTTTGGAGAAGGACATGCATGTATATGGAGCATAGTTTTTCAAGTAGGCCTCAAGACTTTCTCCATCAGAATCACCTGTATAGTGTCTTTTAAAAATATAGATTCTTGATTCTTATTCAAGATTTACTGAATTGGAATCTTTTGGTCCTGAGATGCAGATGATTCTTATGTACCCCATTTGAGAACCCAGGACTAAGTAGTGTATTTCAAGCTTTTTGGACTCTGACCTAGAGTTAGAAATAAGTTTAGTAAAAACAATATTTGTACTTACTAGAGCAGTGTAGTCTTACAGTTTCTATTTGTTGTTGTTTTTTTGTTTTTGTTTTGTTTTGTTTTTTTCTGTTTAATTTGCTGGCTGCGACCCAGTAATTTCTTTTCTTTTTTTTTTTTTTTTGAGACCGAGTCTTGCTCTGTTGCCCAGGCTGGAGTGCAGTAGCGCGGTCTCAGCTCACTGCAACCTCCGCCTCCCGAGTTCACACCTTTCTTCTGCCTCAGCCTCCCGAGTAGCTGGGACTACAGCCGCCTGCCACCATGCCCAGCTAATTTGTTGTATTTTTAGTAGAGATGGGGTTTCACTGTATTAGCCAGAATGGTCTCGATCTCCTGACCTCGTGATCCGCCCGCCTCAGCCTCCCAAAGTGCTGGGATTACAGGCATGAGCCACTGCGCCCAGCTCTGTGCTTATTCTCATCTACATGTTTAAATATAAGCATGTATTCATGTACTGTTAGTGTACTTAAAAACACCTTGAAAGTAAAATATGGTTCTAAAACATAAATCATCTTTTTATATATGCAAACAATAACCAGATAAAATACAGTGGAAAAACAAATTTCATTCACAGTTGTGGTAATTTTTTTTTTTTTTTGAGAAGGAGTCTCGCCCTGTCACCGAGGCTGGAGTGTAGTGGCACGATCTCAGCTCACTGCAACTTCCACCTCCTGGGTTCAACTGATTCTCCTGCCTTGAGTAGCTGGGATTACAGGCGCCCGCCACCACGCCCAGCTAATTTTTGTATTCTTAGTAGAGATCGGGTTTCACCATGTTGGTCAGGCTGGTCTCGAACTCCTGACGTCGTGATCTGCCCACCTCACTCTCCCAATGTGCTGGGATTACAGGCGTAAGCCACCGTGTCCAGCCGGTAATTATTTTTAAAGGGTAAGATACCCAGAAGTAAACTTAAGAAATGTGTAAGATCTATATGAAGAAAACGTAAAGATTGTACTGAGGGTCATTCAAGAAGATTTCAATACACAGATATATCTTGTCACACTCGGGCACTCCAGCCTGGGCGACAGAGTGAGGGGAGAGACCCTGTCTCAAGAAAAAAAGAAAAAGGAAGATATATGTTGATAGGAACATGTCCCCCCTACAGTACAAGCAAGGGTAAAAAAATGTTAACTGGTAAAAATATTTGTAACAGGTAAAATAGTTAATGGGCTAATTTCTGACTATTTGGAGTGCTTTTTAAAACCAAGAACTAACAACCAAAGGAAAATTGGTAAAGGAATGAACAGCTATTTCATCAAATAAGTATAAGTAGTCAGTACACTCACACAAAAATGGTCATCTCTACTGAGAATTTAAGAAATGCTAATAAAAACAAAAATGAGATATTTTTACCTGATATATTTACAAAGATGAAATCGTTTGATAATAATGTCTGTTGTTGAAGAAGTGTGGTAAAAATATATATTTATTAGAGCATATTTAAATCATTTCAAAACATTAGAAAATGATTAAAATATATTCTATTCATATAATCCGTATGGCCAACCCTTCCAAAATATTCTTTGGATATATTTTAATTTCATGAAAAAATATTGTTGCTGATATATTGTGAAGTACAAAAAATATAATACAAAATTACATATTTAATATGCAGTCCATGTAGAAATAATATATGTGTGTACAGGAAAGATCCTCAAAGCAAATGATTAGTTATGTCCCCTTTTTTTTGTTTTTTTGGGAGAGGGTCTCACTTTGTAGCCCAGGCTGGAGTGCAGTGGTGCAATTTCGGCTCACTGCAACCTCTGCCTCCCAAGCTCAAGCGATCCTGCCACCTCAGCCTCCTGATCCCGAGTAGCTGGGACTATAGGCATGTGCCACCATGCCTAGCTAATTTTTTTTTGTATTTTGGTAGAGACGAAGTTTCTCCATGTTGGTCAGACTGGTCTTGAACTCCTGAGCTCAAGTGATCTACCTGTCTTGGCCTCCCAAAGTGCTGGGATTACAGGCATGAGCCACCATGCCCGGCCCGTTATGCCCTTTTGCTTTATATTTTTCGTTTTTCAAATTTTCTTTCTTTTTTTTTTTAGACGGAGTCTCGCTCCGTGCCCAGGCTGGAGTGCAGTGGCACGATATCGGCTCACTGCAACCTCCACCTCCCTGGTTCAAGCAATTCGCCTGCCTCAGCCTCCCAAGTAGCTGGGATTACAGGTGCACGCCACCACATCCAGCTAATTTTTTTGTATTTTTATTAGAGACGGAGTTTCACCATTTGGTCAGACTGGTCTTAATCTCCTGACTCAGGCAATCTGCTCGCCTCGGCCTCCCAAAGTGCTGGAATTACAGATGTGAGCCACCACACCTGGCCCATTTTTCAAATTTTCTATGTTGACCAGTCAGAAACAAACAGTGAAAATTAATAAATAAAAAAAAAGAGACCTCATGTGATCCTGTAAGCATTGGTGTAATGGTAGCATACTCTGTACTCTGATATGTCTTGGATATCATCCATACCAATGAGTATAGAGAAATATTTTGTTCTTTTAATGCCATTATAATAGCAAAACAGAGTCCCTATGGATGACCATTTAAGTTGTTTCTCATCTTTGCTCTTATCAGTAATGGTGAAATAAATAATTTGTACCTATCCCATTTCACATGTATATAACTCTTAACCTGTAGAGTACATTCCTAGAAGTGGAATTTCTGGGTCAAAAGATTTTTGCTTTTGTAACTTTGATATATATTGCCAAATTACCTTTCATAGAATTCGACCTATCAGACACTCGTAAGTAATGTAGAATAATGCCTACACCCTCACCAACACTGTTACCAAACTCTAAGATGAGGCTGAATATCTTTTCTTCAGAGACATTTGTATTTCTTTTTCTGGGAACTGCCTGTTCATATCTTTCCATCTTTATATGTTAAGGAAATTATCCCTTTGTCTGGAGATTAATTGCAAATACTTGACCTATGTTGTTATTTGTCTTTTGACTTTGATTATGATGATTTTTGCCTTGTAGAAAATTTTGAAAAATTTATATAAATTTTATTGCATTGGTATTCTTTTTTTTTTTTTTTCTCTGAGATGGAGTCTCACTTTGTCGTCCAGGCTGGAGTGCAGTGGTGCGATCTTGGCTCACTGTAACCTCTGCCTCCTGGGTTCAAGTGATTCTCCTGCCTCAGCCTTCTGAGTAGCTGGGATTATAGGCACATGACACCACACCCAGCTAATTTTTGTGTTTTTGGTAGAGTCAGGGTTTCGCCAGGCTGGTCTCGAACTCCTCATCTCAGGTGATCCACCCACCTTGGCCTCCCAATGTGCTGGGATTACAGGCAGCCACTACACCCAGCCTGCATTTGTATTCTTACACATTCTGTCTTTGAGGTTATAAAATAATTCTTCCATGGTTTCTTTTTGGTCAGAATTTAAATGTTTTATTTGTTTATTTAATTTTGTTTTAAGAGATGAGGTCTCACTCTGTTGCCCAGGCTGGAGTGCAATGGTGAGATCATAGCTCACTGTAATTTCCAACTTCTGGGCTCAAGCGATCCTCCCACCTCAGCCTCCCTAGTAGTTGGGACTACAGGCATGCACCATCATGCTTGGCTAATTTTTAAATTTTTTTGTAGGGATGGGATCTCACTGTGTTGCTCAAGCTTGTCTTTGAACTCCTGGATTCAAGTGATCCTCCCACCTCAGCCTCCATAGTAGCTAGAACTACAGACACGTACCACTACACCTGGCTAATTTTTGTATTTTTTACAGAAACGAGAGTCTCGCTATATCACCCAGGCTGGTCTCAAACTCCTGGCCTCAAACAATCCTCCCACCTCAGCCTCCTAAAATGCTGGGATTACAAGCATAAGCCACTGTGCCCAGCCTAAAACTTAAATTTTTTGAGGTGTGGAATCCAAATTTGTTTTTCTAGGTGGCTACCCAGTTGACCTAACTCAATTTATTGAATAATATTTATTTTCCTCTACTAATTTAAGATACCACCTTTATTATATAATAAATTCTAAATATGTTTATTTTGGGAATTTCTGTTCTGTTTCACAGAATTGTGTGTCAACTCATTTGCCAGTACCATTTTTATTTTTTATAGATTTGTAATATATTTTAATATGTCATGGGGCTTTTCTATATTCATTATTCTTTATTTAGGTAATTTAAAAAAATTACCTTGTTAGAGTATGTTAAATTTATAGATTAAGGACAATTGACATCTTTATAAAGTTTACACTTTCTATAAAAGTATATGGTATGCCTTGTGCAACTTTCTTTTGTGTCATAAGTATTTTAGAGTTTTCTTTATGTAGATCTTGTGCATGTGTTGTATTTATTGCCATTTTGTCTTATTTTGGTGGCCATTATAATTGAGTATATCTTGCATTAAATCTAATTGGTTGTTGTTTGTATATATGAGAGCTATTTTAATTGTGTAGCCAGCCAATTTACTAAATTTCCTTATCACGTGTGATAGTTTTTCAGTTGATTACCTTGCATTTCCAGGTATACATTGATTCTGCAAATAGTTGTAATTTTACCTCCTCCTTCCCAATGTTTAAACTGTATTTTATTTTCTCTTGTTTAGTTGTATTGCATGTATAGGTAGGTATTAGTTTTTTTCTTTTTCCCTTTTATAATTCATTTTTACTGCTTTTGTCTTATTTCTTTCCTCCTGCTTTTGTTTGGTTTCTTGTTCTTAGACTTTTTCAGTTGGATGTTAATTTTATTCTGAGCATTGCTTTAGTTTTATCCCAGAGCTCATGATACGTAGAATTTTTGTTACAAGTGATTTTCTAGATAATTTGAAATTTCAGTTTCGATTTCTTATTTGACCTAAAGATTATTTGAGTTCTTTGGTCCTATTACATATTTCTTTTTAGTCACATTTTCATCAGAATATGTCTTCTGTAGTAATTCTACTTTTTGGAATTGTTGCAGTTTTTTGGTGGATTAATACATAGTCAAGTTTTGTAAAACCTCACATTAGAGTTTGATATTATCCAAGAAAACTTACAGAAATATAGTCAGTTATTAGTATACTGTTGTGTAAAGTGAAATCCAGTAATGGATTGACCTCATCTAACAAAGGCAAAAGTGGAAGTGTTTTTGCAGTTTGGAAACCATGAATTTTATTTTCTCTAGATAAGCTGCAGATTAGCTGGTAGCTAGCAAAGAGGCCAGTAAGGATATTCTGATCTCAGGCACCTAGATGGGTCAACAAAGAAAGCAATTTCAGTTATCTAAGGACTCTTTAGAAGACAGAATTTTGCTGTTGGCATGCGTGACAGGCTATCTCTGTACATCTGGCGGTGTACTTTGTTTTCTCTGCCGTCTTTGTTATTCCAGGTCTGCACCATTTCCTTCTCAGAATATCTAATATGTGTCCATTAGATGAACCATAATGGTGTGTTAGGGTTTTGTATATCCTTGCTTTTTTTTTTTTTAATGTTACTGATCTGTCATGGACTTAGAGAAATAAATTAGTTTCTTACCTACCATCTTTTTTTTTTTTTTTGAGACGGAGTCTTGCTCTGTCACCCAGGCTGGAGTGCAGTGGCGCCATCTCGGCTCACTGCAAGCTCCGCCTCCTGGAGCTTTCTCCTGCTTCAGCCTCTGGAGTAGCTGGGACTACAGGCGCCCGCCACCACACCCGGCTAACTTTTTGTATTTTTGGTAGAGACGGAGTTTCACCGTGTTAGCCAGGATGGTCTCGATCTCCTGACCTCGTGATTCGCCCGCCTCGGCCTCCCAAAGTGCTGGGATTACAGGCGTGAGCCACTGCACCCTGCCCCATGTTTTTCTTTTATTTCTCTGTAAAACCTTTATAGTTTGTGCATAATATTGCTACAGTTATTTGATCCAGAAGTATTAATAACTTCATCCTTATCATGAACTGTAACCTTTAGCATTATAAAGTGCCCTTTTTAAAATTTGGTTTAATACATTTTGGCCAAAATTCAGCCTTGTCTGTTATTAAGATCTTGATCCTTGCTTTTTGTTTGAGTTTTTCTGGTATCTCTACTTTTTCGTTGATCTTCAACCTTTCTTAATCATTTTATTTTAGACCTGTCTCTCATACAACATAGATTTGAGTTTCACTTTGTGATTCAGTCTGAAGTTCTTTTTCCCTTAATAGTTGAGTTTGTTTTCATTTATTGATTTGATATGTTTGGACTTAGTTCTGTCAGATTATTTTGTTATACTTTTGCTATTTATACCTTTAAAGTATAGTTTACTATATGGAAAGTTTGCTTTGTTTTATTCCTTCTTTTCATAATTAGAAAGCTTTGTGTTTTTGTTCCTGTAGTTAACTTTGTAATACAGATTGTATAATCAGTATTTCTGTTTTCTATTTAGCCAGTATCTCAGTATCTGTAATTCACTTTTATAAGTAATAACAGAATTAGTATATTTCCTTTCCTTTATTCTATCCCTCAATTCTATCAATTTTGTTTTCTTTCTTAGGGTTTACCTTTGTACCATTAAATATCCATGTACCATTCTTACTCAATTTGTCATTATTGCAGAAAGCTTTCTGACTCCCATCTTCTCTTACTAACCTACCCTGATACTGTCAGATCATTCTTCCTAAAACCACCATTTTCTAAAATCATTATTCTTTCTAAAACCAATCTTCCTAAAATCATCATTCTTCCTAAAATCACCAGTATCATATCACAAATCCTCAGCGATATCTCTGACCCCACAAAGTCTGTATTCTCTTCTGGCTTTCAAAACTCCGTAACTCAACCTCATTCTACTCACTCAACTTTATTTCCTCTACAACTTCTCAATGAGTCTGCCCTCACTGTCCAACAATTGAGCTGAGAATATAAGAAGGGAAGGGCTTCAGCCAGGCTAGTGCAGTCTGCTTTGTGCCAACACTGGGGTGATGACTGCCCTAGTCTAGCTGAAGCTTTTCCCTTCTTTCTACACCCAGCTCAAGTCCCAGGTCCATAAAACCTTTAGAAACTCTTCAGAAACTCTTTAGAGCTTCAGAAGCTCTTGAGAATTGGAAGATGTTTACACCCAAGTTCAAGGATTACTTCCATCCCATTTCTGGTCTATGTCAGGGGCCTCTGTTAACTAGGAACTCAGGAACTCTCAAAGCAGCACTACTCTGTTTGTAACATTCTGGCTTATTATTCATTGAAATGTGAGAAACTTTGGACCACTGACTTAATTCTGCCCTTTGCAGTAATAGGACTTCTCACATCTGGGAAGACAAGCATTTTACCTTTCCTTAGGCTTCCCCAGGTGAAAACACCACCAGTTCCTTCAGTTGTTACTCATATAACATGATTCCTGGACCCATCACCAGCTTGTGGCAAAACTTGGGTTTATCACCATTCCACTTAAAATTCAGTTCACAAGATTTTTGTAGATACGATCTAACCAGTGCTGAATCTGATGGGACTGTGCCTTCCTATGATCAGAGTACTCTACTTTTTAAATCAACCCAAGGCAGCATTTGTTTATTAGTCACTGCCTACTTTTACACTGCATTTTTGTTGTTGTTGTTTTGAGACAGGGTCTCACTTTGTCACCCAGGCTGGAGTATAGTGGCACAAACATGGCTCACTGCAGCCTCGACCTCCTGGGCTCAAGCAGTCCTCCTGCTTCAGCCCCACAAGTAGCTGAGACTACAGGCACACACCACCACGCCCAGCTAGTTTTTTTATTTTTTGTAGAGATGGGGTTTTGCCATGTTGGCCAGGCTGGTCTTGAACTCCTGAGCTCAAGTGATCCACCCACCTTGGCCTCCAGAAGTGCTGGCATTACTGGTGTGAGCCACCGTGCTGGCCAATTTTTTGTTACCTACATCCCAAGAGCCTATGATGTGCTATCATACATCAGATCCCTATCACACACAGGGGCGTAAGATGAGTAAGACAAAATCCCTGCTCTCAAGAAACATATGTTCATTCTATGAAATACCTAACCACGGATTTTCAGAACTGTCGAGGTCATCACAGACAAAGTCTGAGTAACTGTCACAACCCAGAGTTGCCTAAGACCTGAGTGCTAAAGGTAATGTGATATCCTGCATAGGAATCTGGGAGAGAAAAAGGATATTAGGGAAAAACTAAGGAAATTTGAATAAAGCATGGATTTCTGTTAGTAATAGTACATCAGTACTGGTGCATTGTGACAAATGTACCATCTCAATATATTAATAAGAAGAGAGACTGGCTGTGGGCTATATGGGGACTCTGTGTACTATCTTAGTAATAATTCTGTACATCTAAGCTGTTCTAAAATTAAAAATCTTAAGAAAAAAAAAGGACAGCCTGGGTAACATGGCAAACCCCCACCTCTACAAAAAATTGTAAAAATGAGCCAGGCATGTGGTGGTGTATGCCTACGATCCTAGCTACTCAGGAGGCTGAAGTGGGAGAATTTTTTGAGCCCAGGAGGTCGAGGCTGCAGTGGGCCATAATGGCAACACTGCGCTCCAGCCTGGCAGACAGAGGGAAGATATGTTTGACATAGTTTAGATATTTGTCCCCACCCAAATCCATGTTGAAATGTAATCCCCAATGTTGGAGGTGGGGCCTAGTGGGAGGTGTTTGTCATGGGGGCGGATCCCTCATGGCTTGGTGCTGTCCTTGTGATAGTGAGTTCACTTCATGTGAGATCTGGTTAAAGTGTGTGGCACCTTCGCCTACCCCCACTTGTTCCCACCAAGTGAGATTCCTGCTCCTGCTTACCCTTCTGCCATGTTTCTTGAGGCCTCCCAGAAGCCAAGCAGATGCCAGCTCCATGCTCCCTGTACAGCCTACAGAAGCATGAGCCAGTTAAACCTCTCTTCTTTATAAATTACCCAGTCCTGAGTATTTCTTTATAGCAATGCGAGAACGGCCTAACACAAGGTTCTAGTAGGGAGAAACTAGCAAGTAAATGGATACAAGACAGTCACTCTTACATTTTTAATTACAGGTCCCTTTGAGTAGACAAAACTTTAAGAATAGGGGAAATCATTTACATATAAATTGCATACCATGTCAAGGCTTCATGGACTTAAGAACTAATAAATTCAGGGTGGTGATGCTTACCTGGGAGGCAGAGGGTGTTATGGGAGGAAACAGAGTGGTAGTCAGGCAAGGATAGGATAGCAGGTGTCCTTCCCATATGATCCCTGAGCCTGGTCCTTATGCTGTCAACTGACTGTACTTGCTACTTTAAAATCTAAGGGATTGAAAAATGAATGTTGAGTGATTCCTAAACTAACACGATATTAAACCGAGTTCCAGACTACACCAGCCTAATTTTATTTAGTGGCAGACTCTAGCTCTGTTGCCCAGGCTGGAGTGCAGTGGTGTGATCTCAGCTTATTGCAGTCTCCACCTCCTGAGTTCAAGTGATTCCTGTGCCTCAGTCTCCCAAGTAGCTGGGACTACAGGTACGTGCCACCACACCCAGCTAGTTTTTGTACTTTTAGTAGAGACAGGGTTTCACCATGTTGCCCAGGCTGGCTTCAAACTCCTGGCCTCAAGTGATCCACTGGCCTCAGCCACCCAAAATGCTGGGATTACAGGCATGAGCCACCGTGCGGGCCTCTACTAGCCTAATTGCTGCAAGTGTGCTAGTCGTATTTATCAAACTAGATGTAAGCTGCTTGAGGCTAGGGAGGCTTTTACCACGTGCCTGAGAGGCAGTTGTTGGTTATAAACTTGCCACATGGGGCTCAGATCACCTCAAGGCAAAGCTACCTGGCCTGGTTTGGAATGCTTTTTCTTTTTCTTAAAGTCAGCCCTAAAGAACATGGTATATTAACTCTTGAGGGCTGCTAAACCCTGGCACTGTGCCAGAACAAGTGACAATACGATAGTTTTGAGACTAATTTCAAAAATGTTTTTTAAAAAGGCAGTGTAAATTCCTAACCCGCTTGTACAAACCTGTTAAATTTTACTTTTCAAAACAAATTCCATCTGCTAAGGTTTGAGTTGAATTAAGTAGCAAATGATATTTATACTCAGGTAAATAGACCATTCTCACTCACTGTAGACCCTATATTCCTTCTCATAGCTTTAACCATTTTCTGTGTCCCTACTTTTGACATCAAACTTCAGATTTTCTGATGCTTGCATGATTGTTGAATAAATTAGAATCTGTAGTTGCTAACATACTAACAACTGATTTTAAGCTCAAAAAGGCAACAGTGGTGTCCAATATACTTTTGTGGGCTTTAATGCTCAGTATGGAATACGCAATGAACGGATGTTTTATGCCACTAATGGCTATATTCTACATCTTGATGGCTTTTAGTAAATAAAATCATGATTCCAAGTCTGAATTACATGATGAGATGGTTCACTAGAGCTGCAAATATACAAGTTTGTATTTAAAACAAAAATACCGAAGCCATTTTACTGAAAACTAGTTTTATTTTAAAATTAAGTGCATAGCACTCATCTAATTCCATTGGTGTAGACTTTAGCACCATACTTGCTATTTGCAATTAATGTCGTAACACAGATACATTTTGGTTTGCAGTCTGTACTTGAGTAGTGTTTATTTAGTGGACTTTGGTAAAGCCCTTCATACATATTAATCTCTTCACAGTACACATTTAATGATGGTCCAGTATTCTCAAAAAAAAAAAAAAAAGCCTACTTTAAAGACTAATCAATAAATTAAACAAAACAAAACCCACACAATGTTCCCCCACCCCCCAAAGCTAGCAGTTGTGAGTTGTATTTATATTGAAACCTAATGTTTTAAAAATAGTTCTGGTTCTCCAACCACCCCATCCCACCCCGGGTATGCAGCAATAGTAATCAATTATTTTATTCTACCCTCCCAAAAGATTATTAATCCAGTGTTCTTTAGCTTTTTAAAATATAAATTGGGAAAGTGTTATTAATAAGCTTTTTTAAAAGGCATATTCTTCTATAACAAGAATGGCATATAAACCAATCAATAAAAGTATTTGACAAGACATTAAGTTACCACAGGCACTGGCTGTTGTTTCAAGTTGGGATCTCTATCCCAATATCTTACATTCATAGCATTATTGAGGTAGTTAAAATACTGAAAATTGGACTCCAGGTTGCTGGGTTCTGAATGTGAATGTGAAAGATATATTCTCTTTTGAGCCTACTTTCCCCCAAATAATTCAAGTTTTCTTGAGGTAAGAACTACCAAAATCCAATTAGCAGCCTTCTTTAAAAAGGAAAAGTGATGATACTTTCAGAAAACAATTTTCATGCTTAAAAACTGCCATGAGTGAGTGTTCTTACCTGAGTGGTTTTTCATTTTATCTACCAGACTAATAAATCCACATCATGCCCTATGTACTCTAAATATAAAAGTTATTTTCTTTTTAAGGAAAGGATATTTCTCTAAGCATTGATACTGACAGAAGCTACCCACCCACATTCATCCCCGGGAGCCATCTGGATCAGTCCATCACTGTGTTGAGCCCCTTCCCTTCCTGACAAAGGCCATTGGCTTGATTACTGAGACTCCTGCTGCATACCCACAACATCTTTATAGTAAGTTTGTCTTCGATGCATATTGTGGCAGTCACGTATCTGCCATGCAGTTTTCCCTTCTATTCAAGTGCTATCTTAAAAAAAACAAAAAGACACACCTTACTAATTTTTAAACCAGAAAGCTTCCCTCCACCAAATCTTTCTTCTCCCACAGAAAGGAGCACAATGTATACAGTTTATCAGTTATTACAATGACTTTTTAACTTTTTAAGGTTATTCCTCCAAAATGCTTTACCCCCAAACTGCCCTTGCTGTAATGACAATTATTGCTGTTTGCAGTTAATACTGGTACAGTGAAATGTCCCAGGGCAGTTGTAGGGTCAATCCAATGAAAGTAGCTACTGAAATTTAGTCATCAGTTACCTTTGCCTGCTTAGACTGACTAGAGCTGGATTCAAAGGTTGCTTAAAAAACCTGTCTTCCACATAACAAAGTGCTGCTCTAGCACAACCTGAGAACTACCCTGGCCACAGTCCCTTCCAAAATAAACCTACAGGACTTTATTCTAGCACTGACCTCTTACAGTTATGCCATCCCTTGAAATAACTTTTTAAGAATGTCGATTCTGAGTATAAATCATGGATTGCACTGAGATATGCAAAACCTACATATGTATTATGAATCACAGGAACTACCACTTCATTCTGAGCTATATTATGTTCTCATTTGAAAACACACCCTAGCAAGCGTATTTTAACCTATGTTATAAAGGTAGTTCACACTATAACATTCCCAAGGCATGTTGCATTACAGTTAAGTGTTTCCAAGTAGTACAAATTCCCTGAGTTAAATGTATTTTAATTCTAAAAATTTGATGTTGATCACTTAGGGAAAAAAAGAAAAATTATGACCATGATTTAAAAAATAAGATCTTCTCCACCCTTAATTTTAGTATATAAACCCAGATACCTACACTATTTGTGAGACGAAGTTATATAGAATCATCTAAAAAAATTTTTTTTACTGCAGATTGGTATAGCATAACAATTCATGAGTTTAAACTTAGTCAAAAATTCATGTGTAGAACAAAAATAAAAAATTGCAGAATAAAAAAAACCTTTTCAAAAATTAATACTGTAACTTTCCTTCATAAAAGACTGTTTGGCAAGTCCATAGATGAGATAAACATTTAGTCTTTGACTTAGAAGCCAACATTAGGCCCAGATGCTACCACAGGTCAAATCTCAAAATGGCAAATTGAAGTCTGTCCAAATTTTCTGTTGTACTGAATATTTTTGAAATATTTGGACCATCAGCCAGGACTTGAACATTTTTGTCATACAGGGATTTGTTGTAACAGAATTTGACATACTGTTAATTTGCTTAGTCTCCCAGGATTCATGGTGCATTAAAAAGGATATTCAGTCTTCCTGGTGCTGGTACCTGAAGAGTTCTGATGTCATTTAGATCCCTTTCCTTTTGAACAGAAGTTTACAAAACGCTTACCCATAGCTTCATGTCACAAAGCAGTCTGGGTCGGTTATCAGCTTCACAAATAATCACCTTTCAAAACATGGAGTAATACAAGGGTAATGTTCATTTATCTGATAACTCCGGTTGTAAGAAACACTCAGACAGGGCTTAACTTCTACTGGTATTGCCAGTGACATCCCAACACCAGTCTGCATGTGCCCAAGGCCCTGAACACTAGTTTGGAAGCCAGCAGGACATGTCTGTAGTGTGTAAGATGAGGTGTGTGTGGTCGATACAATCTGCTGACAGCTTGGTTGTTCTGACGTAGGATGGCGATACTGCAGTGAGGTCTGATGTGTCTGATGGAGATACTGAGGTTGCTGAAAGTGAACTGGCCGTGATGGCTGGGAGGCTGTCTGGAATACACTTAGTTGCGCTGACTGAGGTCCTGCTTGCCCTCTCTGTTTGTTTGCTTCTTTCACATCATTATCATGAGCGCTGAAACGTGGAGAGAAAGGAAACTATTAAAAATACTGCTTGAGAAGAAATCTGCAAGAAAATCATGCCCCATCCCCAACTCAACAGCTTCTTCCACCACCACTACCCAGGTAGCAGTCACTGCACCATAATTCCAACAACAGTGAGACCTCGCTTGTGTTCTTCTAAAGCTATTTCCCTTGATGTGAACCTTCCTGGTAGCTTTGAGGATTATTTCCAGTTTGGGAGATGTGTCCATAATAAGCACGTAAGTGTGGCTGCCAATTTGGTAACATCCTGGTGGCCCCCAAAATTCAATGATGTTAGGAATGGGGCAAGGCTGGCCTGGACTGATCTCAGGGTTACAGACTTACAGACACACACAAGCAGCTCCTTTCCTTATAATGTGCCCAGAATTATTCTAACAATGACACCTTCCCTAGAGTTCTGCTCATACATGGGCTTGCTCATGGCAGCAAGTAACTGCTGCCAAAAGCAAATAACCTAGGAACTCTGTGCCTTTCAGAAGCTGTTTTCAGGGCACCTCATACATGAAGAAAACTGTTAATGAGAAAGTACAAACACAAGAATAAAAAGGCTTACATCAACAGTCGTTCAATACACTGCACTAAGAAATCCCAAGAGTAGGCAGTAAGACGATGTAGTCTTGTAGGCCACGTTGGAGAAAGACGAAGTATAATCCTCGAAGAAGCCACACATGCAGCAGCTACTAAAGAAGGTGCATAATTTAGAAAGGCATAATCTGTGGAGACACCAAAAATGAACTTAAGGAACAGAATACACGAGTCACAAGTGCACAAGTCACTTACTGGTATTCACAACAACCCACCTTGCAAAGATACTTCCAGGAAGTAATCTGCATATTTGGCCATGTAGAGTTTAGTCTTTTCCAAGCAAATCATTGGCCAGCCGTCATGAAGATCTGTTTCGTGTACTGCTTCAGAGAGATAATACTCAATGAAATGGGCGGCTGTTGGAAGGCAGAGGTTCCACTGAAAGGTTTCTAATAATAATAGTTCCATATGTAGCAAATTTTGTTTTGTTAATACTAGATTCATATTAGTCATACAACCCAGGCTGTTGAGCTGCTCCAGCTTAGGCACACTGTCTTCTTTTTCTTCAAATTTACCTTATAAGAAAAGGGGATGGGAGGGGAGAGAAAATGTCAGGCAAGTGATCATTATTGGTCTAGTCAGTAAAATGGGATTTGCTGTCTTATTGCCAGGATTTAGATCCAAAGACGTACTTACCTTACACAGATACAATTGTGCCAGAACCCTGTGTTTTCTTTCCCAGTGCCACCATCCCCAACCTTTCCCCAATCCCCTAAAAAAAAATGCTTGAAATACATAAACATTTTGATCTGTGTTCTAGTATAGAATGGAAATAGTCATGTGCCAGTGAAAAAAATAACTCAATCTCATCAGCTGAATATTTTCAGGAAATTTTTTTTGCAGGTGGGTGGTAGCTGGTAAAATAAATTATTTGATTTTAGAGTAGAAGATAGTTTTTTTTTTTTTTGAGATGGAGTCTTGCTCTGTCGCCCAGGCTGGAGTGCAGTGGCGTGATCTCGGCTCACTGCAAGCTCCACCTCCCGGGTTCACGCCATTCTCCTGCCTCAGCCTCCCGAGTAGCTGGGACTACAGGCGCCCGCCACCACGCCTGGCTAATTTTTTGTATTTTTAGTAGAGACGGGGTTTCACCATGTTAGCCAGGATGGTCTTGATCTCTTGACCTTGTGATCTGCCTGCCTCGGCCTCCCAAAGTGTTGGGATTACAGGCGTGAGCCACTGCGCCCGGCCAAGAGGAGAAGATAGTTTTAACAATTTAATGTCATAGCTTTATCTGAAATAAAAAATAGTTAAGCTCCAATTGTTTCATCTTGGCATCAACATAATCTCAATTCCAGAGAGAGACTGGAGGGAAAAACTGGGTGAACATTTAACACAAGCACTATCATTCCACAAAAAGCCCCATCCCCCACTTCTTCTGAATTCAAAACAAAAATCTAGTCTGTTAAAGAAAAAAGGGGCATGGGGGAGATAGTTTATATCTGCTTTTAAATTCCCTTACTGAAAGCAGAATAGGAGTAAAGACAATATGATGGCTGAACATTATTCAAAGGGATTAATTTCTTTTCTGGAAATACCCATCTATAAGGTTTCAGCTATGCACAGCTGAAGAATAAGATTCTCTTTCCAGCCCCAGAATGTTTCTATAGATTATGTACCATCTTACACTTTACTTTCCAAACATGCATTTTACTGTCTCTACATATAAAGGCTTCATTTTAGTAAGTATTTCTAGAACTGATGGCTGGAGAACATTTACAAACTATTAAGTACTACTATGATTTTCCAGATGCAGCAACAGAACCAGAGTTGTCATCAAGCCTCTTTGGGTCTTTGTTCCATGGTGGTCCACAGAAGAAAGGAAATTATAACTAAAGCTCCTATTACTGTGTTCTATTTTAGATTTAAGGTTTAAAACCATCATATTATGCCTATGCCAGGAGATTCTAAGCTCATGTGTTGTGAAGAATCTAAGCCCAAGGAAGCAGGAGTGATGGCAGAGAGGTGAACTTCCTTAGATCTAAACCACTCTAAATATTGCTGCAGGTAGAAGTTGATCCCAAACTTAAGTAATTCAGACTTGAATCTAGATAGCCCTTCCTAATTAAAATCACATAAAGATCAATTTAACAAGTTTTGCCAATAGCAAATACTTAAAGTTGAAAGCACTAAAGTGGTCTGTATGACATAGTTATCCAGCTTATTGCCTGAAAAAAGAAGAGGGAACCAGTGTTCCTAGTATGAAGTGAAATTCTTCAGAAGGAGAATGACCTAGGAATTTAGTTCAGTGTCTCTGGATGAATCATTACAGCTTTCAAGCACCCTGCCATTTGTGAAGCAACAGCAATACTGGCAGAATACTTCAAAGGAATACTGTAGAAATTAATGAGTTTATTTATATTATGCTTAAAGTTCCTTTGAAGAAATTAATACATCATAATTCAAGGAGCAAGAATGTTTCATATTATCTCCTTGAAATCTTCAACATTGGGAAAAAAAATTGCATATGACCAATTTCACTGCTCAAAAACCAAGGTAGCGAGGTTGGCCAATCCATTTAAGGTCAGATAAGTTAAATCAAACCAAAAATGGAAGCCAAAAGGAAAATTTATGTTTGAATTCCCAAATTTGCACTTCTAGACCAGAACTGACAGATTTCTGTATTATTAAGCATCTATGGGATGTTTATATTTATAAAATATTTGGCTACAAGTGTGAAAGACTTTGCATATTGATCTTGCAAAGTTAAGAATAATCTGATTCTGAATAAATAACCATACTTGGGGTTTTAATTCAGGGTTCAAATTTTTTGGAACTTTTCCATTATGTATAGTAATAAATATTCAGATACATGGATATTAAAAGATTTCAAAAAGTGTGATAATGTCAATTGAGTACCTGCATTCCTATCTATAGTTTTTGTTGTGCTCACTGCTATGCCTATGTTCATTTTAAGTTTACTTATCCACATTACCACACACAGTTCACAAAGATCAGTTTCTTCAATTGAAAGGAAATAACAGAAGCCATGTGATTATATTGATAAAGGCCCCAAATAGGAAATAAGGGCACAGGAAATTCATATCTGCTTCCCAGAAAATAAAGAATTAGAGGCCACAGAAACAAAAACACTGGGTTGTCTTTCCTTTGTAGGATATGTTCATATCAGCCATGGAAACCAACACATTTTCAAAGCCAGCAGTGAATAGTAGGTATGTGGTAGAGAAGATTTATATACTGAATAGGGCACGGATCAGATGTCACCGAGTGCTCTGCCAACCCACATTCTATTTTTTTATTACTAAGTAGGGGGAAAAAAGTCATCCCTAACATACACTAAGAATTATCACAAATTTATAAAATGAATCTAATATAAAAATGGGCAAACAAAAGAAAAAGGTAATTCATAGAAAAAAATTCTGAGCTCATTAAAAATTGAGATGTAAATTAAACCAACTGTGAGATATAAATTTTCACACATCAGTAAAAAGCTTTGCTAACCCAGTGTTGGTTGGCAAGGGGAAACAAGCACTTGTTACAAATTGTTACTACTAAAAGCCTCTGTCTCACTTTTCACTTTGTCTTGACTCCAAGATCATTTCTTAGTTATGTAAGATCTTGAGCAAATTATGAGAAATCTTATCTCCAAGATTACTTCCACATGCTCCATAAATGTAATGTTGGTCACAGAAGCCAAGGGAAGCCAGGGCATACATGTGAAAGAGTTGGAATAGGAGAACTTCCCTGGACAAATTAGGGTCCAGTTTGAAATAGGTCAAAACCTTTAGGGTAAAGGAGGCAGGCTAAAGGTAACAGAGCAACTTATGGAGGAATTAATAATTACCATGCTAATCTTTTAATGTTTCCATTTCCTACATGCTTTTAAACATATTACCCCCACTTGATCCCAGAACAACTTTGTAAGGTATCTTTATTTCCATCTTATAAAGAAATAACCTGAGATTCAGGGGTTGTTGAAATTCATATTGCTGATGAGACTCCAACCCAGGGAATCCATCACTATGGTCATTGCTCCAAAACACTACACATAGCTCTCCAATCAGAGATAATCTGTAGGCCCTTTCTTCTTCTAATAGTGTAGACATAAGCATTTGCTTCTAGAACTTACAAGGTATGCTCCATCTTTGGCCAAACCACCTACGGCTTCCCATTACAATGAACTCCACAAATTTAAAACAGGAATCAGACACTGAAAAGAGTTTATCAGTTTATAAGAATCCTAAGCTCTTCTGCTGTAAAGTTACAGACTAGGGTTGGGGGGCAAGGGTAGAGAGACTGCTGCCTACTAAGGGCTAACCTCTTCAATTCCTGACCCTGGTGTAGAGCTGATAGCTCAAACTCTTTTGAACAACTTGCTACTTGGGAGGAGCAGAAATCCTGAAGAATACCTCACATACATTCCTACTCTCCAATGCAAAAGGAAGAATGTAAAAGCAATTCTTCCCTCAAGGAAAGGGAAATCAGGAGGCATCAGCAGAAAAAGGAGGGAGGTATCCAGTTCTTTCAGTAATAGGTGATAATTCATATTTGAACCCCAGCAAATACAGATCCTAATGTCTAATTACTGGAAAGAGTCACAAATAACTACATCTTACCACTGATATTAATCCAAATAGTTCAATAAAATAAATTGTTCATGACCTTAAACTAACAGAAATACACAATTTAAAAATAAGAACAATTGAAAACTCCATTCCAACCAACCTAAGATGGTACACAAAGATGGCCTTCCCACTTGGCCCACGCTACACTTTAAAAATCACAGGCATAGAGCAGGTGCTAGTGTTAAAATGACAGTGATAGCCACACAGTTACTTTCCATTAATGATACCAAGTTTTTAAAATAATCTAACTTGCATGTCTGATTTCCAGTGACACTCTACTGTAAACTGATTCTATAATAAACATTCTGTACAATAACAAAAATCCATTTTATTTGTGGACTCACACATCTAAACTGTCACGTGTGAGCTTTTCCAATCTTATACAAACTATTAAACCCCAAAGGGCTTCACAGCCAGTGATTAAACACATACAGTATTACACACAT